>NC_000018.10:50026576-50327243 GCF_000001405.40 Homo sapiens | reverse complement strand
TTCTTCATCAAGGAGGTATTTCCCCCCTTTCAGTCGAGATATTCCCACTCTGTGATCAGTCAAGTCAGCCAAATACTACACAATATGTTCTCCAAGATCTCTACGCATGGAGGGTGCTCCTAGAAGTCCATTGAGGGGTGAGCATTGCTTATCATTTCTGATTTGAGGTTCCTCTAAACCATGCTTTATGAACCACACCTTTTTGTGCCCCTTGCCTTTGTCACACCAGTTTTAAGGGGCTGCTCTGAAACCATGGCTCGAGGAGGACACCAGGACCACCTAAAACCCTTCCATTTGGGGGCCTCAGTTTTTCTGTCTTCTGAGAGGGGAGCAGAGAGAACACTCTGAGCCTTCTGAGTTTCTAGCAGTTTTTTTCAATCAAGGGCCAAGCAGCTCAGGGTGTCATAGCTCAGTACAGATTGTGACCAGCTTGGCAAGAGCCTGGCCTTTGCAGTCACCCCTAATGGCTCCAGTCCTCTTGCCAAGCTTGGTTCCACTCAGGCTCCGCCCCTCTTGCCAAGCCCCACCCGTCTCTAGCCCCACTCCTGAATCTATCACCTGAGCCAAGGTGTCCTCACCACCTAACCGCTACCCTCTGATAACAAGGTCTTAGTGCTCAGGAATTCTAAAATGTGGCAGGTGGTCTCACTGTGCTTGGGTAGTTGTCACTGAATGCATCCTTCCCATGGGGGAGTTTGTGTTGGAGTCGCAGGTAAACAATCCGCCTACAGAACTTCCTTCTGAAAACAGCTTAATTTCTTTATTTCTTTCAGGGAATATGAAGAAAGGTCTTAGAAGGAGATGAAAATGAGTATTTTACCAAAATGAAATTGAAAGAAGAAACAACTAAAGGAAAAGAAAAAAATAAAAGAATGAGAGAAAGTAAAAAATACATACATAGAAAATAACGTAAAGTAACAGACAAGATTTTGTGGGTGAAAAACTAGACAAGCAATTCAGGTAGTGTAATCCAAATCTAGAAAAATATACATTGAGAATCTGAAATGTATAGATTAAAGAATATTTCAAAATGGCAATTTACAGTAAATTATAGCCTTAGAGAGTATGTTAATCAATGAATGACACCATTATCAGTATTTGTGCTCTTGTGTTCTGACCTGGCCTACACTGAGAATGAAAGTTCCAAGTATGTTAGAATCTAATCTTGGCTTTGCTGTTGGCAGAAAGTACCTGGAAGTACTAAAGGAAAGTGAGGACAATGTTATCAGTAGCTGGAGGAAGGAGGACCCTTGTTATGTACTGGTTGAAAGTAAAGCAAAATGGAGGCCAAGGCGGGTGGATCACAAGGTCAGGAGATCGAGACCATCCTGGCTAACACGGTGAAACCCCGTCTCTACTAAAAATACAAAAAATTAGCCGAGCACGGTGGCAGGCGCCTGTAGTCCCAGCTACTCGGGAGGCTGAGGCAGGAGAATGGCGTGAACCCGAGAGGTGGAGCTTACAGTGAGCCGAGATCGCGCCACTGCACTCCAGCCTGGGTGACAGAGCGAGACACTGTCTCCAAAAAAAAAAAAAAAAAAGAAAAAAAAAGAAAGTAAAGCAAAATGGTCAGCTGCCATCACATGAAAAATAGAAATTTTTACTTAATGCAATGGATGATCTAGCTAAGGAGATTTCTAGACAGGGTGCTAAAATTTTGTCCTCAGCCTCTCCAGGACAAGCAATGATAAAATTAAGAAATAACTTTAGGAGGCCAGGTGCAGTGGCTCATGCCTGTAATCCCAGCACTTTGGGAGGCCGAGGTAGGGGGATCGCCTGAGGTTGGGAGTTCAAGACCAGCCTGACCAACATGGAGAAAACTCGTCTCTACTAAAAGTACAAAATTAGCCCGGCGTGGTGGCACATGCCTTTAATCCCAGCTACTTGGGAGGCTGAGGCAGGAGAATCGCTTGAATCCAGGTGGCAGAATTTGCAATGAGCTGAGATCGTACCATTGCACTCTGGCCGTGGGCAACGAGAGCGAAACTCCTTTTCAAAAAAAGAAGAAAGAAGAAGAAGAAGAAGAGGAAGAAGAGGAAGAGGAAGAAGAAGAAGAAAGAAAGAAGAAGAAGGAAGAAGAAGGAAGAAGGAGAAGGAGGAGGAAGGAGGAGGAAGGAGGAGGAAGGAGGAGGAAGGAGGAGGAAGGAGGAGGAAGGAGAAGGAGAAGAAGAAGGAGAAGGAGAAGAAGGAGAAGAAGGAGAAGGAGGAGAAGGAGGAGAAGGAGGAGAAGGAGAAGGAGGAGAAGGAGGAGAAGGAGAAGAAGGAGAAGAAGAAGGAGGAGGAGGAGGAGGAGAAGGAGAGGAAGGGGAGGAAGAGGAGGAAGAGGAGGAAGAGGAGGAGGAAGAGGAAGAGGAGGAAGAGGAGGAAGAGGAGGAGGAAGAGGAAGAGGAGGAAGAGGAGGAGGAAGAGGAAGAAGAAGAAGAAGAAGAAGAAGAAGAAGAAGAAGAAGAAGAAGAAGAAGAGGAAGAGGAAGAAGAAGAAGAAGAAGAAATAGCTTTAGGCGGAGATCAAATCCTAACAGGAAAACACATGGCATTTTTGAAATAATCATTAGTGAAAACACCATCAGTTTGACTTAAAAGGGACAAAGGTGGCTGGGCACAGTGGCTCACGCCTGTAATCCCAGCACTTTGAGAGGCCGAGGTGGGCAGATCACGAGGTCAGGAGATTGAGACCATCCTAGCCAACATGGCGAAACCCCAACTCTATTAAAATACAAAAAAAAATTAGCTGGGCATAGTGGCACTCGCCTGTAGTCCCAGCTACTCAGGAGGCTGAGGCAGGGGAATTGCTTGAACCTGGGAGGCAGAGGTTGCAGTAAGCCAAGATCGTGCCACTGCACTCCAGCCTGGCAACAGAGCAAGACTCCATCTCCAAAAAAAAAAGGGGGGACAAAGGTGGTTGGGTGCGGTGACTCACATCTGTAATCCCAACACTTGGGAGGCCAAAGTGGGAGGATCACTTGAGGCCAAGAGTTCGAGACAAGCCTGAGCAACATAGTGAGACCCTGTCTCAAAAAAAAAAAAAGATCAAAATATTAGCTGGGAGTGGTGGCATGCATCTGTAGTCCTAACTACTTGGGAGGCTGAGGTGGGAGGATTTTTGAGCCTAGGGGATCAAAGCTGTGGTGAGCCTTGATTGTGCCACTGCACTCCAGCCTGGGTAACAGAGTAAAACCCTGTCTCAAATAAATACATACATACATACATACATAATAAAAATTATAAACTTTATTTCTCAACATAAGTTCTATCAAATTCAAGAAACTTTTGTAAGGAACGGTACCAGCCATTTAGTCCATCCCTAAAAACCTGAAGATCCTGGGAATTTAACCATGTCCATGCAGTCTTTTTTACATTATTAACTGAAGAAAAATGAGTGCACTTTAAAGATTTTGTTAAAATTAGGAAACAAAAAGAAGTCAGAAGGAGCCAAATAAGGACTGTAAGGTAGATTCCCATCAAAACTCTCACAAAATTGCCCTTGTTTGATGAGGGGAATGAGCAAGATCATTGTTGTGGCAGAGAAGGACTCTCTGATGAAGCTTCCCAGGCATTTTTCTGCTAAAGTTTTGGCTAACCTTCTCAAAACATTCTCATAATAAGCAGATATTATCATTCTTTGGCCTTTCAGAATGTCTACAAGCAAAACGCCTTGAGCATGCCAAGACACTTGCCATGACCTCTGCTCCTGATCAGTCTGTTTTTGGGGTGACTGGACCACTGCCACCTCTTGGTAGCCATTGCTTTGATTTTGCTTTGTCTTCAAGATTGTATTGGTGAAGCCATGTTTCATCTCCTGTTACAATTTGAAGAAATACGTCAGGATCTTGATCCCACTTGTTTAGAATTTCCACTGAAAGCGCTCTGCTCTTGTCTGAAGCTGATCTGGGCACAACAGTTTGGGCACCCCTTGAGTGGAAAGTTTGCCAAACTTTACTAATTTTCAGTCAGAATTGTGTAAGCTGAACCAATAGAGATGTCTACAGTGTTGACTATTTGTTTCTATTGTTAACTGTTGGTCTGCCTCAATTTGGGCAGATACGAGATGAATTTTTTCCTTGCAAATTGATGTTGATGGTCTGCCACTGCAGGCCTCATCTCCGACATCATCTCATCCCTTCCTAAAATAAGTTATCCATTAGTAAATTGCGGATTTCTTCAGGGAATTGTCCCCATAAACTTTTTGTAAGGCATCAATCATTTCATGAAACTGCCGTCAGATAGAATGCAATAAGAACAGAGCATCAGTCTGCGATATTACTCCAAAAGATAAATTTAATCACGAGGAAATATCAGACAAATGCAAATTGATAGACTTTCTACAAAATTACTGGCCTATAATTTTGAAAAGCATCAAAGTCATGAATCTCAGAAAAAGCCTGCAGAACTGTTCCTTTCTGAAGGACAGGAAAGAGACATGACAACTAAATGCAAACTATGATACTAAATACAATCATTTTCTTTAAAAGACTGTTATTGGGACAGTTCACAAAAAGTTACTGAGGTCTAAAGATGAAAGTTATTAATGTTAATATATCAGTGCTATCAAAGTTAATGTATCAATGTTAACATTCTGATTTTGATTATTATAACTTGGTCACGCAGGAGAAGCTTTTTGTTTGTAGGAAATACTAAGTTATTCAGAGGTGATGAAACATAAGATTAAGAACTTAATTTCAGCCAGGAGTGGTGGCTCATGCCTGTAATCCCAGCATTTTGGGAGGCTGAGGCAGGTGGGTTGTTTGAGCTCAAGAATTCAAGACCAGCCTGGGAAACATGGCAAAACCCCATCTCTACAAAAAACACAAAAAGTAGCTGGGTGTAGTGGCACGCCCCTGTGGCCCCAGCTACTTGGGAGGCTGAGGTGCAAGGATCATCCAAGCCCAGAAAGGTCAAGGCTGCAGTGAGCCCTGATGGTGCTTCTGCACTTCAGCCTGGGTGACAGAGTCAGACCTTGTCTCAAAAAAAAAAAAAAAAAAAAGAAAAGAAAAAAAGGACTTAATTTCAAGTGGTTCAGAAGAAAGTTATTTTTTGCTTTTCTGCAAATTTGTGATCTATTTAAAAATACAAAATTATTTTTAAGAAAGAGAAAACCAGAAAAAACATGTTAACTTTAAAAAATTATAATATACTGACAAATATACTATGTACACTGATATATATTAAATCAAAGTATAATTGATATGCATTAAAATGTATCCATTCTAAGTATACAGTTTGATGTTTTGACAAATTTAAACATCCATATCACCATTAGCAAAATATAGAATATTTCCTTTGTAGTACACATACACCACCTCATACTCTCAGTCCCAAGCAACCATTAATTTGCTCTTTATAACTATAAATTAGTTTTGCTTGTTTTACACTCTTTTGTATCTGGTTTCTTTATCAATCTTGTTACATGTAGCCATATTTTATTCTATTTTTTAACCAAGTAGTATTCCATTATATGGCTATGCCACAATTAGTTTATTTATACAGTTTTTGGTGGACATTTGATCCCTGTCCAGTTTTGGGATATTACAAATAATACTGCTATAATTATTCACCAATGGGTCATTGGGAACATATGCTTTTAATTCTCTTTTTAAGTACATAGGAGTGGAATTCCTATGTCAGATAGTAAGTGTATGTTTATAAGAAATTGCCAAACTGTTTTGCAAAATGGTTGTATCGTTTTATGTTTTCAGAAGCAATGTTTGAGAGTTCCAGTTGCTTCCCATCCACATGAACACTTGCTATCTCAGTCTTTTTATATTTTCTAACGCGTATGTAGTGTTATCAGAATTTAATTTACACTCTCCTGATGAATAAACAAAATATCTTTTCATGTACTTATTTGCTCTTTGCATGTATCTATTCTTTGTGAAATGTCTGTTCTCATTTCTCGGCTGTTTCTTTTATTGTGTTGCTGTCTTCTTATTACTGAGTTATAGAAGTTTTTACATCTTCTGAATTCAAGTCCTTTGTCAGATACACATATTTCAAATATTTTCTCCCAGTATGTGACTTGTAGTTTCATTTTCTTTAAAAAGTTGTTCAAAAGTCAGGTATTTAAATTTTTTATCATGTCCCATTTATCAATTTTTCCCTCTATGGTTTATGTTTATCCTTTCTTATCTAAGAAATAGTTATCTTTTTTCCTTTTCAAATGGATAGCTATTTTTTTCTGCACTATTTGTTGAAAAGACTATGCTTTATCCAATGAATTACTTTGGCGTCTTTGTTGAAAACCACTTAACCATATACGTTAGGTTTCTTTTTCTCAGCTCTTTCGTTCTCTTAATCTGCATTTCTATTCTTGCACCACTATGCCCTTTTAAATTTGCATGACTCTGTAATAAACCTCAAAATGAGATTTCAAGAGTCTTCTAATGTTGTTGTCTTCACTATTGTACTGCTTTTGCATTCACGTATAACCATTAGAATCCATTTACTAATTTCTACCCCCATCAAAAGCCTGCTGGGACTTGGATTTGGGTTTCTTAAATTTTGAGCAATTTGGGGAGACAAGACACCGTAACAATGTTAAGTTTTCCAAACCATAAGCATAATGTATCTTAAATAGATAAGTAAATCTTATGTTATTTTCAATTTTTATTAGCAATGTTCTGTAGTTTTTAGTTTATAGGTCTTGAACATATTTTATAACATTTATCCTTAAGCATTTTATATTTTGATGTTATTTTAAAAATTTCTTTTGCCACTGTTTCTTAATAGTACGTAGAAATATAATTGAGTTTTATATATTGGCCTTAGACGCTGTCCTTTGCTAATTTCAGCTGCAAGTTCTAATAGCTGTTTCGAAGATTCAAAAAAATTTTAGAAAGATACTCAAGTTGAATAAAACAAACTGCACTTCTTCCTTTCTATCTGTATGCCTTTTGTTTCATTTCCTTGCTTAAATGCACTAGCTAAGCTCTCCCATATAATAATGACTAGAAATATATAGAGTGGGCATCTTACCTTGTTCTCAATCACAGAAAGAAAGCATTTAGACATTCTTTTCCCAATAAACAGGAAGGTAGCTGTAGATTTTTTACTCATGTCCTGTATTCTGTTATTAGGAGAATATAGTTTTATGGTTGCCTTGTCTTCCTGATAAACAAAAACTTTTATCATTATGAATTGTCCCTTTTTATCACCGTTAATACTCTTCATCTTAAAGACTACTTTACATAATAGTAATACAACTAAACAGCTCAGTTGTCTTATGTTTTCATAATATAGTTTTTTTTGTGCACTTACTTTTAACTCATCTCTTTATATTTAAGGTGTAGTTTTTGTAAACAGCATATAGTTGAGCCTTGCTATACTTGGAGAGTTTCTTCATTATCATTTAATTTAACTATTGATATGGTTAGATTTAAGTCTACAATTTTACTTTTTGTTTGGTGCTTTTCCCATCAGTTTCTTCTATCTGTTTACTTTCATTCGCTCTCTCTAGTGCCTCAAAGTAACTGTTTTAAATATTTCTTCCAGAAATTACAGTTGTTATGTGAAAGAAAATTTGTTCAGTAGGAGTTACTTGGATATTATCAGAAACTGGAAGCCTCTGATACATACATTTTAAAGATACTGGAGTTTTTTTTTTACATTTACCAATTTTTATTATAAAGGATATTATAAAAGATACACACTAAGAGATACATAGAACAAGCTATGTGCGAGAAGAAGTGTGGAGTTTCCATGCTCTCCCCGGTGTGTCACCCTCTGGAGCCTCCACTTATTCAGCCATCCAGATGCTCTCCAAACCCAGTCCTTTTGGGTTTTTATGGAGGCTTTGTTACACAGGTATGATTGATTAGATCCTTGGCCATTGATGATCAATTTAACTTTCATCCTCTCTCCTGTCCTCAGAGGTTGTGAAGTGAGGCACAAAGTCCCAACCCTCTAATCATTAAAATATGCTATTTTTAAATTTTGCTATAATGTCATCAATCCAGTAATCTCTTTTTTGAATGAAAAATGAAAAATGTATTGTTTTTCTCCTCTTGGTCCACGTAATAGTCCCGATTATTTAATATAATAAATGTATTTAATTTCTCTTTTGCTTTATCAGAAAAACTTGCCCTAACAGATTCTTTGATGCAATTTGACTTTGATTTTGCCTGCTTAAATTTTTTAGTACAGATTTTAACTGGCATTTTCCCATCCAAGTTCTAACCAGGCCCAATCCTGCTTACGTTCTGAGATTGGATGAGACTGGGCACACTCAGGTTGGTATGCCATAGAAAACCTGGCGTTTTCTATTTCAGACTTCTGCATCTGCTGCTACTGTGCCTTCTCAGCATACCACATCACCGGTGTTTGTCCATCTTGCACTACTTCCAACTGGCATATGATTTGACCTATTATCTCCTTTATATCTTTAGCCTTTTTTTTCTGAATAAATGTGATAAAGGTATGTGACCTTCAGGAAGGCCTCCAATGCAGATTTTTTTTATAGTATCAGCAAGATCTTATCAAAGTTGTCACACTATAATCCCTCTCTCTGCTTTGCCAACTTCATACCTATTTTTTTCTTTCAAGTGATGATATTCTTTGAATAACTAGTTATTTCTTTCTTCCAGCATGTGTTTGTTTTTCACTCTCAGCTTGATTTGTTGTGCATACTTACACAATTTATCTTTTATATTAGTCATTGTGTTTTTCTATTTCATAATCTTTTTGTGCATATTACCCCATTGTTTGAAAACAATATATTTTTACTTTGTAGTTTCAGTGATCATTTCTTTAAGGTTTTTTATCGTATAATATATTCATTTTGTGCGTTCATGTTGTCACATGTATTCACTTTCCTTCTTTTTACATTCTGTGATAGGAGGTCTAACCAATATCTTTTGGTTCAGAGGGTAACTTTAGTGCGATAAAGCTCATTGTGTAGGTTACTACTTTAACATTTAGTTTTCAACATTATTGAGAAGGCACATCATGGTTATATTTTAGTTCAGACGAATGAAAATATTGGAACCTGATGATTCAATGTCTTACTCTGTTTATGTTGCTATCAAGGAATACCTGAGGTTCAGTAATTTACATAGGAAGGAGGTTTATTTGGCTCACAGTTCTGCAGCCTGTACAAGAAGCATGGCACCAGCATCTGCTTCTGGCAAGGAATTCAGGCTGCTTCCACTCATGGTGGAAGAGGAAGGGGAGCTGGTGTGTGCAGATCACATGGTGGGAAAGGAATTGAGAGAGAGAGGAGGAGGTACCAGGCTCTTCTCTACAACCAGTTCTCATGTGAACTAAAAGTGAGAACTCACTCACTCCTGCAAGAAAGGCACCAAGACATTAAGGGATCTGTCCCCAGCATCCAAGTACCTTTCACCAGGCCCCATCTCCAACACTGGGGATAAAATTTCAACATGAGACTTGGCAGGGCCAAATAAATTATAACATATCCCAACCGGCTTGGTGGCGGGTGCCTGTAATCCCAACTACTCGGGAGACTGAGGCAGGAGAATCGCTTGAACCCGAGGGGCAGAGGTTGCAGTGAGCCGAGATCACACCACTGCACTCCAGCCTGGACAACAGAGCGAGACTCTGTCTCAAAAACAACAACAAAAGAACAAAAAACAAACAAACAAAAAAACATATCCAACCGTAATATTCAATTTCTCTTTGCTTTGTTTTTCATTTATTAATTTGAGTTCAATGCTGCTTTCTCAGGTATTACTGCATAAAGTAGTCCATTATACTGAATATTGTTTTGGCTAATATTTCTTTGCCCAGTTTTATTATCTTTTGAATATCAAAATTCTTTTATGTTAAAATGTTAATATCCTCAATATATTTTCTCTGATCTTGATTTATAATTTTCATAATTTTTTCACCTGGCCCTTCTGAGATCTTATGATCTTGATTCTTTTATTTTGTTCAGTTCCACTCTTAGCATGGCAATTTCATTCTGTAATATGTCCTTTTTGTACAATAGATATTTTTCCTTTTCCTTGCCTTCAGAAATCTCAGAATTCTTAACGTTTTAAGTGGATAATTTCTATTTCTTTCTGCTTGCAAAGTGATGGCTGAAAATTTCATTCTGGTAGTTTTAAAAAATGGCCTCAAACTCTTTGAATCCCTTCCCATCAAGAGGTTGGTCTGTTTCTCTTCACCTTGAATGTTCGTGAGTTTCTGACTGCTTTGACCACTGAGTATAGTAGAAGTGATGCTATGTGACTTCCAATGCTAGCTCATAAGAGGCTATACAGCTTTTGACTTGCTCACACATACACACAGTAGCCCTAAGCCGCCATATAAAACTATGACTACTCCAAAGTCACTATGCTGTGATGAAGTCCAATCTACATTGAGAGGCCATATGTAACTCTTGTCATTGACAGCACACACTTTACTGTGTCATTAAAGCACACACTTTACTGGTCATTATAGCACAGGGACCAGACATAAGTGGAGAAGCAACTAGGTGATTCAGGCCTAAGCCATAGGAGTCATGCCCAGCAATTTGTCTTCCCAGATGAAACTTCAGATTTCCAGTGATTTTAGCACTGTTGTCAAAAATCAATTGACCGTAGATGTATGGGTTTATTTCTGGACTCTCAATTTATTCCATTAATCTATATGTCCAGCCTGATGCCATTACCACACTGTTTTGATACATACAGCTTTTTTTTTTTTTTTTTTTTTGAGACAGAGTCTCATTCTGTTGCCCCGGCTGGAGTGGAGTGGTGCGATCTTGGCTCACTACAGTATCCACCTCCCAGGTTCAAGTGATTCTCCTGCCTCAGCCTCCTGAGTAGCTGGGATTACAGGCACCCGCCATCACACTCAGTAGTTTTTTCTATTTTTAGTAGAGATGGGGTTTCACCATGTTGGCCAGGCTGGTCTTGAACTCCTGACCTCAGGTGATCTGCCCACCTCGTCCTCCCAAAGTGCTGGGATTACAGGCATGAGCCACCACACCCGGCCTGCTAGTACTCTTTTTCTGAGTACTCTTTTCCTCTGCCTTCATGAAAATATCTTTCACATCACTAAAAACAAGGCTGTACTCAGGTTTGTATATAAAAGTATTTTCAAATTAATTAATTAATTGAAACATTTATCAAGTGTTGCATCAATTTACTTAATCTTGAGGGTAATTAATTGCTTGAAAGGAATTATGATGTCTAATGTTTGCATAAAGTCTCTCATTATAGGATCTATTCTTGTTATATAATCAGACCCAGCTAAAGAGAAAGAAGGCAATTATCTCAGAAACTCTGCAGGAAACTTATTAAATGGGCTCATACCAATGAGGCAGGGAACTTAACTTCTGTCTTTTGACAATTTCAATGTACCACACAATTTTAATATTGAGACTACAACAGTGAAACGAATAAACTTGTGAAGAAATAAAGCCACCTGTGGGAACAGATATTTCACAAGGTGCAGCAAAAACTGCCTTAAATGAACAAGCAAATGTTGTTGGTACATGTTCTTCTAGAATAATGACATATACCTAAGTGTGAAAAGGCAATGCTGCAGCAAAAATTTGTGTTTCTCTAGTGTTCCTTCCATTCAGGTAATATAGGGGGAGGAGAGAAGGCTTGCTATGATTAGTTGACTCTATTCTTGCCTAACTGCTTAACACAGTATCTCCGTGTGGTGTCCTTGCTTGAGTACACATGTGTGGTTTCCTCCTGCCAATTTCTGAAAGCATTTGTAAGGTTTCAGTAACCTAGCCCTTAATGTACGAAAAATAATGACCAATTACTTACTGAGCTCCACTGAATAAGTCTACTTATTGCAGACTAAGTGTCTACATTCCTTGTCTCTAATTCTGTCATCAATCTTATAAGACAGAGATTCACCCCATATTACAGATGGGGAAACTGAGGTTCAGAAATGTTGCATTATCAGACCAAGGTTCCACATCTGACAAATGGTAAAGTCAGAATTTGAATGGAGGAGTCAGTTTCCCTGGCTCCAGTGCTTGTGTTTCATCTGTGACGTCATGATGCTGCCGCCCAGCTGCACTCCCAGACATCCCCTCGTTTCACAGACTTTTAATGACTCTCAAATAGTCACTCTTAATTTGAATCTTTTCTGTTCATTCTAGATCTTTAATAATTCTGACTTTGAAAAAAGATTAGGTAAATACACAGCTGCACCACACTTGTCCACCATCTGGAAAAAAAATGCCATGCTCTGAGAAATTTTAACGTAAGATTCTTAACACAGAAACACAATTTAATTGACATAATGAACTTCAAGAATAAAAAGATATTTGTGCAAGCTTTAAAGCAAGAAAGAAAAAATATCATGCACAATAGAAAAATCAGGCTAGTCAAAAATTTCTTCACAGCAATATTTCTGCTCAATATTTTACTTGAAAGACTTCAAACTTGCAGAAAAATGGAATACTGCTACTACATAGAACACCAAGATTTACCAACTAATATTTTCCTCATTTGTTTATCTCTATCTATGTATGGATTAATCACTTTTTTATTTTTGTATTCTCATTTTCTTTGAAAATTTTGTTCTCAACCATTTGAAGTTAGGATGCAAATATCACAACACTTCACATTTTTGTTGAAATGTTTCTACTTATGGGAAGATGAAATGTCCAACCCAAACAATGAATGAAAGATATCTTAAATTCTGACTACCTATAATGTGAGCTGGATGCCAGAGAGGCTCAGAGGTAATTGGAAATTAGAGCATTGGCCTCTTATTTAAACAATATAGGTGAATCAATGTAGGAGCTTTATGGTAGGAAATTTCTCCAATATTTAGTAATAAGAGATTTATAAGACTTGAAAGCATGAGTTAATCTATTTGAAGAAAAAGGAGTACATATCTCAGTCAGAATTCCAGCAAAATGTGCAGATAGTATTTAGGGAAAGCAATAAGCAATAGTAGGTTCCCTACAGTTTGCAACACCAGGGAACTATTACTACATCTAGCCTGGAAGGCAATGTTTATGGAAACCTATTGAGAACAGCTGTATGGGAGAGGGCCATCTGAGAGGAGCTGTGAAATTTGCTAGGGTACTTGGTAACCCATAGAGAATCGACAGGGAAAGATCTGGGACAGTAAGCACCCTCCCTCATTCACTTCCCAGGACAGCAACCACCCTCCCTCATTCACCTCCCAGTCTCTAGGTCTCCTGGTGATCCTCCCCAGTGATTAAACCAGCTGTAAGCCAAAAGTCAAAGGCTACTCATGAAACAGTCCACAAAGGTCAGCCCTCTGAGGCAGAGAGTACGGTGGCAAAAGGTAAACAGTGCATTTGTTGGACAAAAATGAAAGACAAAATTGTTAGACAAAATTATCTGCATATACTTTCTACCTACCATTCCCATTTTGGTAGAATAATTTTTACAACACAGACATAGTTACACACACACAAACAATTGTAACTGAGTACTATATATAGGTTACATAATTATATTTATAATATAAAGCTATTGTAATATAAAACAGTTGTAATACAAATCTGATTATAACATAAATAGACTTTGCTATTTTGAATAGTACTGCAATAAACATAGGAGTACAGGTGTCTTTTTGATAGAATGATTTCTTTTCCTTTGAGTAGATGCCCAGTAGTGGGACTGCTGGGTCAAATGGTAGTTCTATTTTTAGTTCTTGGTAAAATGTCCAATGTGTGGTAAGTAAATACACCAAGACACAAAGAATTGCAGCAGAGAAAGAGGTTTAATCACAAGGCAGCCAAACAAGGAGACTGGAGGAAACCTCAAATCCACCTCCTCAAGGAGTTTAGGATCTAGGGATTTTAAGGGGTTTGGATGGTTAGTGGGCCAAGGTATAAGGATCACTGATTGGTTGAAGAATGAAGGGTGACGTCATGGAACTAAAGAAATTGCATTCTTGCATTGAGTCAGTTCTCCTTTTGGTGTCTTCAGACTGGTGGGCATGAGCTGTCCTGCTAGAATTCAGGATCTGGGCCAGGCATGGTGGCTCATGCCACCATGACAGAGATTCATCCCAGCACTTTTGGAGGCCAAGGCAAGAGGATCTCTTGAAGCCAAGAGTTCAAGAGCAGCCTGGGCAACAGAACAAGATTCTGTTCCTACAAAAATAAAATAAAGTTAGTTGGGTGCGGTGGTAAGCACCTATAGTCCCAGCTACTTGGGAGGCTGAGGTGGAAAGATCACTTGAGCCCAGAAGTTTAGAGGCTGCAGTGAACTGTGATCATGCCACTGTACTCCAGCCTGAGTGACAGAGCAACATCTTGTCTCTAAAAATAATAATAATACAATTTTTAAAAAAGAATTCAGAATCTGAAAATCATCTTGAATGGAAAGTTTCAGACTTCTAATGCTAAAGATGCTATCTATAGGAACAATGAGGAAGTTCATGGTCTGTGTTCTGGCCTACGTGACTTTCGGTTAGTTAGCAATTACAGCGAAGTGGGCCAAAGTGTAGCCTGATTAATGCTTGACTGCCCTTCAGCCCAAAACCTGGCATGTTATTATGAGGATGGTTTCAAGAAGACAGAATGAGAGAGGAAAAACTAAAATGTAAGAATAAAATAAAGCAACTGAGAGAATACTAACGTGAGAATATTAAAAAGAATTTGGAAATGCCAATTTACAGAAATAACAGCCTTAAGAGTGGATACACATCAGTCATACCCTTATATGTTGGTAAAAATATGCATCAGTATATAATACAATGTGTAGAAAAGAACTAGCAAAGCAGACCTGAGACTGCTATTCTTAGAAAGGCCTGCTTGCAAAGTTGGCCCTTGGCTGACATCTGGGAACTTAACTGGTAAACAGGTACCTACACTGATATAAAACTTTCCCTTGGTCGGGCACAGTGGTTCATGCCTGTAATCCTATAACCTTGGGAGGCTGAGGCAGGAGGATTGCTTGACGTCAGAAGTTCAGAAGTTCTAGGCAATATAGCAACACTCCGTCTCTACAAAAATATTTTATAAATTGGTCAGGTGTGGTGGCACACATCTGTAGTCCTAGCTACTATGAGGCTGAGACAGGAGGATTGCTTGAGCCTGGGAGTTTAACGCTGCAGTGAGTTCTGATCAAACCCCTACACTCCAGCCTGGGTGACAGAGCAGGACCCTGCCTCTAAAAAAGTAAAATAAAATAAAACACTTTCCCTAAATGATAAGGGTGGCTCACTGTGCCTAGACTGTGTGGACAGTATGGTTTATGCTGAACAACTGCTTTCCATCTGGGTATCTGGAATCATGGTACATGGTAGGCAGGGAATGCCTATATGTCCAGCTCCCAGTAAAAGCCTTAGGGACAGTCTCTAATGACACCCCGATAACATATCACACATTGTCACACTCATTGCTAGAGGAAGTATGTCTTGTGCAACTCCACTGGGAGAGAACTCTTGGAAACTTGTGCCTGTGGTCCTTTGGACTTTGCCTCATGTGCCTTTTACCTTTGCTCATTTTGCCTTGTATCTTTTCATTGCAGCAAATCTTAGCCATGATTATGACTATGTGCTAAGTCATGTGTGCCCTTCTGGCAAATCATCAAAACTGGAGCTGGCCTTAGGAAGCCGCAACACATGCAGATATTGATTTTGTCTGTGCTCTAGAGTTCTGTGTTCAACCTCAAGTTAGCATGGAGGAACCAAAGTGCGATTTTGTAATTGAATTCTAGATATTAGCTTCAGTCTTACCCCTGGCAAGAAGTACCTTGAAAGTTTCTGTCCTAGAGGTCTTTGGTAGATCTGTGTTCTCCTCTCCTGCCGCTGTGGTCCCCACTTGAGCTGATTCTTAGTTCCTTGTTCTGCATTGCCTGTTCCCATGCCTGGAATTCTAAACCTTGGAGCTTAATTGCATTTTTAAATCTATGTCCTGATCCAGGTCCACTGTGATCCTCAGCTTTCAGAACCCTGGTCTTCACCATGCCCAGTCAATGCTATGGCTGCTCCGTTAGCTTTTTCATCTAGTTTCTCCCGTCCTGAGTTTCCCTGAGCCTATGCCCTAACTTCAGCCCAAGGCTAATTACAGCACTCAGAGTAGGAAGATTTATTATTAATATCGAATTTATTACTACTGGCTGTACAGCCTGGCAAAGGACTTAGGCTCCTGAGTCTAAACTGCTTAAACTGAACATGAATAATATAACCTTTCTTCTGTTTGCCTAATAAGGCACTTGTGAGGGTCAAATAAGATGTTTTTTTTGTTTGTTTTTGAGACAGTCTCACTCTGTCACCCAGGCTGGAGTGCAGTGGCACAATCTCGGCTCACTGCAACCTCCGCCTCCCAGGTTCAAGCAATTCTCTTGTCTCTGCCTCCCAAGTAGCTGGGATTACAGGCGTGCAACACCATGCCTGGCTAATTTTTGTATTTTTAGTAGAGACAGGGTTTCACCATATTGGCCAGGCTGGTCTCGAACTCCTGACCCACCTGCCTTGGCCTCCCAAAGTGCTAGGATTACAGGCATAAGCCACTGCACCCAGCCAGATTTTATATGTGTAAGTATTTATCAACTATGGAGCACTACACAGTTACACATTTCACATATTATGATTATTGCCATCATCTCCAAGCTATACCTACAGATAGAGTCACACAAATTTGACTTTTCTAAAAAGTCCTTACTAACCTTTCTCTAGGCCAACCACAAAAAAATCAAGCACTGGAATTGTCATACAAGACTTTAAAGCAGCCATGTAATCATCTTCCACAAGGTAAAGGTGAATGCCCTTGAAATGAATGGAAAATCAGAAATTCTCCACAGATGAAAAAGGCCCAAATAGAAACTTCAGAATTGAAAAATACAAAAACGTAATTAACATAAAACTGAGTGACATGGTTTGGGTTTGTTCCCACCCAAATCTCAACTAGAATTGTATCTCCCAGAATTCCTACGTGTTGTGGGAGGGACCCAATGGGAGGTAATTGAATCATGGGGGCGGTCTTTCCCATGCTATTCTCGTGATAGTGAATAAGTCTCAAGAGATCTCATGGGTTTATCAGGCGGTTCCGCTTTTGCTGCTTCTTCATTTTCTCCTGCTGCCGCCATGTAAGAAATGCCTTTTGCCTCCCACCATGATTCTGAGGCCCCCCAAGCTGTGTGGAAATGTAAGTCCAATTAAACCTCTTTTTCTTCCCAGTCTCGGGTATGTCTTTATCAGCAACGTGAATATGGACTAAAACACTGAGTCACCGTGTTAGCTCAATAGCGGAATGGAGATGACAGAGGAAGAAGTTGGGGAATTTAAAAATAGGTCAACACAAATTATACAATCTGAAAAATAGAGAAAAATAAGACTGAAAAGCAATGAAGCAGGCACAGTGGAATGCCTATAGTCCTAACTACTTGGAAGGTTGAGGTAGGAGGATCACTTGAACCTAGAAAAAGTCAACACCAGCCTGGGCAAGATCCTGTCTCTATCTCAGAGAGAGAGACAGAGAGAGAGAGAGAGAAAAGAAAAGCAGTGGACAGAGCTTTGAAAACTTTTTGAACAATATAAAAAATCCAAGTTAACCAGGCATGATGATAGCTCACACCTGTAATCCCAGCACTTTGCAATACCAAGGTAGGAAAATCACTTGAGCCCAGGAGTTCAAGACCAGCCTGGGCAACATAGTGAGATCCTGTCTTTACAAAAATTAAAAATTAAAAAAAATATAGCCAGACATGGCAGCATGCACCTGTAGTCTCAGCTACCCAGAAGACTGAGATAGGGGGACCACTTGAGCCCAGAAGGTCAAGGCTGAAATAAGCCTTGATGGCACCACTGTACTTCAGCCTGGGTAACAGAGAGAGAGAGAGAGACCCTGTAAATAAATAAATAAATAAATACATGAAAAAATTAACTTCTATATAATTGGAGTCTCAGAAGAAGAAAATGAGATTAGTGCGCACAAAAATATATTTGGAAAAATTGGCTAGAACATCTCAAATTTAGTGAAATACATAAATTTACATATTCAAGAAGCTCAATGAACCCCAAACGGGCTCAAAAATAGACTAAAAAAAGAAAACCATACCCAAACATGTTGTAATTAAACCACCGAAACCAAACGTAAAGGAAAATTACTGAAAGCAGCTGAAGGAAAACAACACATATAGGGGTACAATTATTGCAGGCCAAAAGAGTGAGGGTCGTGATCAACTCAGTATACCACTGGAGGCTATATGAGTAAACAGCAAACTGTTCTCATAAATGCAGAATGTTGGCAAACTGTCAAACTGCGTCTGCCACCCAGAAGGAATGCTGAGGGCAGTCACACCCCAAGCGCAGTGTTTCCTGTGATTAGGTACATCTGAAGCCTGTTAGTAATAATATGAACCTGTGATCAGTTAAGCAGCTGACCAATCGTTACCTCCTCTTCCTTGCTTTTTCTACCCAATAAATACGAAGGGCTGTAGAAGCTCAGGGGCTGCCTTTGCTCACTAGAAGCAGGGAGCTCTCTTCTTCTTCCTCTGGCCCCTTCCTTTAAAACAGTTTCTGTTGTCTTAAGTTTTCATTTCTATGTTCGTCCCTTCATTCACTCTTGTAATGATGGTCTCAAGTAGTGACAGTAGTAACTGCCCCACTGACGGTCTCAAGTAGTAACCGTGGCAGTCTGTCACATGCAATGATTGAAATGCAGACTTTTCCTTAGTAACCAGAGAGTGAAAAAAAAATTTTTTTCCAAGGGCTTAAAACTGACCAAAGGTACTGTTTTCTGTTTAAAGAAGAGATTAATGAAAATAAAAATAGCTGCTTCACAGTAGAAAATTTCTCATTTTTGTTCATGAAATCACCACTAATAGAAAAACGTACAGAGTGGAAGAAAGCAGAATTGGGCAGAGTGAGATGTTGAACTGCCATAGCCGTTCAACATGAGATGTTGAAATCCACCGCCCAGCACATGGAGCTCTGAAGCTGGGACAACCTGCAAGAATTGCCCAGGATTGAGGCAATCAGGAAAGGCTTTATACTCCATGTCACTGATGCGTCATTGGATGTGAACTGTCCAGGAAACGGGCGTGACCTTCAGTGTGTAACTCTCTTTGGCTTAGGCAACTCAGAAGAGGACTTACAATTGAAGGCTTTCTGCTAGCAACGCTTTCTGCTAGCAACACACCCTGCAACTGGAGGAACACATTCTTGAGTCTGGAAGTAGAACCGGGTGCCCCACAGCATCCGTTATTCCTACACATTACACTGGTAAATTATTTATCCTTCAGAAGGTGCTGTCTCGATTTGCACTCCTCTGTTATTAATGGCACTTTTTAAAAACTGAAATTGTTTTTTTTTACGTAATTTCTCCAACCACACGGTGAGTGTCTCATGAGAAAGAATGTTGTATTCACCACCACCTATTTCCTCAGTCTCCACTTTTCGGGCTGAACCCGAGAGCCAGCGTGCAGCGCAGCTGGGGGCGTGACCGACATGAGATGAAAACTGCGCAGACTCAGCAACTCAGCCCCAATAGGAGGGCACGAGCCCCAGCGTCCTCGGTTTCCATAGTGACAGAGCCTACTTCTGGTCTCTAACCGCCACGGTTTCCCTTCTTAGCTCCGGGCGCACCCAGGAAAGACAAAAATACGCATAAGGCCAGCCGTTTGACCCCTTGCTGCGGAAGATAAAGGGCTCCACTCTAAACGTGGTGATCCTGGTAAACGCAGGAGTTGGGGGAGCGTGCAAGACCCTGAGAATTTTCCTTCTTTACCCGCCCCCAGGCCTAGCCCACCCACCTAGACCGCGATCAGCCCTCCCTTTATAAGGGGAGTGTGCTCTGGTATAAGATTTGTTAGGTGATTAAATATAAAGAAAACCTGTTAACCACCTACCCTACCTTCAAGAAACATCCCCCACTAGCCAGCTTTAATACATAAATTATGTCTCTGGAAAATTGTCACTTGGGGTCTTGAAGGCCCATTAGTCTGCAAGTCACCCAGAAGGTCAGTCCCCTTGTGAAGGGGTGTGTATGTCCCAAGAGGGACACAGGGCTGGGAGGCAGAAGATCTGGGCTCTGAACTGGCCGTTACCCAGCTTTGTGATCCGAAACTCGCTCTGCTCCTCTGAAGAGTGGTTTGTGGAATGTGATGGAGCTGTGGGCTTCTCTCAAGCCTCTGTCTCTCAGCCTTCTAAGACTGCATTTCGTTATCAGTTCACCCCTGGGAGCTGCTTGGCAGAACTGGCCCTACACACCAGGAAACTGGAGGAAGGATGAAAGACTGGAAGGACTGTGGTTGTGGAGGAGACCAAAGGAATGCCGCCCGCGGTAGAATGTTGGCAGGTCTTGCATAGCGCTACAGACACAACATGTGGTGGCCTAAGCACCCTAATTTCTTTGTTTCTGCCTAGCCAGTATAACAGTCCAGAAAACCTCCTTTCCTTTAGGAAATACTCAGGGATATTAAAATCGAATTCAGAAAAGAATTGGCTCATGCATGAAACTATTATAGACTAACACAATATCTCTAGGTCCCAGAACATTAGAACCCGGAGCTAGTAAACAATCTGGTGTGTGCAGACTGCAGGCTTCAAGGCAGTGTTTATAGATAGACTTGACAAGCAACAAAAACAGATCTATTTTGATTGGATTCTGTATTCAAACTTAAAGATCCTCTTCCAACCCAGAGATTGGACTTCAGGGCTCCAGAAAATTCAGTTTAAAACTATGACTTAAACAATGCTATTAACTTGATCTATAGGTCGTTATGTATCATTGTATCATATATAATTATATATATATATATACACACACACACACTATATCTATTAGAATATCCCCACCCAACAAAGAACAGAATACACATTATTTTCAAGTACACATAGAGCATTGATAAAGATACATCGCATTTTAAGCCATAAAACACACCTTAACAAATTATTAAAAATTGAAACTATACAAAATGTTTTCTCTAAACATAAAATAGTTAAACTAAAAATTACAGATGTCTGAAAAACTACTTGATATTTGAGATTTAAACAGCATACTTCTAAATAACCCATGAATCCAAGCAGAAGTAGATGTCAATTGGTAAATATTTTGAACTAAATGGAAGTGAAGAGTTCAAAATTTGTGGGATGCAGCTAAAATGGTGCTTAGAAAGACATTGATTAGAAAAGGTCTCAAAATTAGTGATAAACCACCTTAATAAACTTGAAAGAGAAGAGCAAATAAAATACAAAACAAGCAGAAGAAAGGGAATAATAATAAAATTGAAAATAGAAATACAATAAAGAAAAATAAAAAACTCATTCTTTTAAAATATCAATCAATAAGCCTCTAGTCATACTGACAAAAAAGAGAAGACAAAAATTACCAATATCAGGGTCACTGAAGAACCTACAAGTACTACAAGGATATTGCAAGAATATTACAAATAATTATATGCCTATTAATTAGACAATGTAGATGAATTGGACACATTTTTTAAAAGGCACAAACTACCAAATTTTATTGAAGAAATAGCTAAACCTAAATAGTCCTATATATGTTAAGAAAATTAAATTTACATTTAAAATCCTTCTCCACTAAAAAACAATAAAGACTCCAGATCCAATTGGCTTCACTGGCAAATTCTATAAAACCTTTTAAAAATAAATAATACCAACTCTACATAAACTGTCTAAAAAATATAAAGGAAAATAACTCTGTCTGATGCAGTTTATGAAGGCAGTATTACTCTGATACCAAAACCAGGAAAAGAAATTACAAGTAAAGAAACTTAATATCTCTCATGAACATAGCTGCAAAAATCCTAAATGAAATATTACCATATCAAATCCAGCAGTATAACAAGAAAAGGTTTTAAGTAGCGATTAGTTGGGATTTAATCTGGGAATGCAAATCTAGTTCATTATTGAAAATGTATCTATGTAATTCACCATATCAGTAGATGAATGATCATCTCAGCAGATTCAAAAAGAGCATTTGAAAAACTTCAATATCTGATTGTAACAAAAAGGGGACATTGGTAAACTGAAAAAGGGCTGCTATAAAAAACCTATAGCTAACAGCATACTTGATGACTGAATTCTTTCTTATCAGGCCAGGAAACAGGTAGGAGTGTATACTCTCATCACCTATGTTAACCATTGTACTGGAAGTCTTAGCCAATGCCATAAGGCAAGAAAAAATAAAAGGCATAAAATTGACGAGGAAGAAATAAAACTATCTATCCTTAGATAACATGACTGTCTACATAGAAAATTGCAATAAAATTTTTAAAATCTAGAATAATTGAGTTTAACAAGGTTGTAGAATGCAAGGGCATGATACAAAAATCAGTTGAATTTCTATAAGCAATGAATATATGAAAATCAAGATTTTAAATAGAAATCTTTAACAAAATATGAAAATTTTAGACATATATATATATATACACACACACACCAATATATATGCTAGTTCTGTATGCTGAAAACAAAAAAGTGAAGAAAAATTAAAGCAAACCTAAATAAGTGGAGATATATAGCATGTTTATAGATTGAAAAACTCAGTTTGGCCAGCCACAGTGGCTCACGTCTGTAATCCTAGCACTTTGGGAAGCCAAGGTGGGTGTATTACCTGAAGTCAGGAGTTTGAGACCAGCCTGGCCAACATGGTGAAACCCCATCTCTACTAAAATACAAAAAGAGCACTTACAAAATTGAAAATAGAAATACAATAAAGAAAAAAACAAAAATACAAAAATTAGCTGGATGTGGTGGCATGTGCCTGTAATCCCAGCTACTCAGGAGGCTGAGGCAGGAGAATCGCTTGAACCCAGGAGGTGGAGGTTGTAGTGAGCCGAGATTGTGTCATTGCACTCCAGCCTGGGCAAAAGAACAAGACTGTGTCTCAAAAAAAAAAAAAGAAAGAAAAGAAAAAAGAAAGAAAAACTCAGTCTTGTTAAGAGGTCAATTCTCCTTACACTATCATTTCGATGCAATTTCAATCAAAATCATGGCAAGACATTTTATAGAAAATTGATATGGAAAGGCAAAGGAATGAAAAAACAGTTTTGAAAAAGAATAAAGTTGAAGAAGGCTTACACTATCTGATTTCAAGGCTTCTTATAAAGCTACAGTAATCAAGAGTGTGTGATTTTAGACAAAATTAGAATAGAGGATCACAGTAGAGAATCTGTAAACAAATACACTTATATATGTTCACAAACATACAAAGGTAGTTCAATGGAGAAAGCAGTTTCTTCAACAAATAACTGAAGTAGTGAAATAGTGCCGGAGCCACTAGATCCATAGGCAAAATCATATCATATGTGGCCAGGAGTTTGAGATCAGTCTGGACAAAATAGTGAGACCCTATCTTCACCAAAAAAACACCAAGTGTGGTGGCGTCCACCTGTAGTCGCAGCTACTCAGGAGGCAGAGCTGTGAGGATGGCTTGAGCTCAGGAGGTCAAGGCTGTAGTGAGATATGATTATGCCACTGCACTCCAGCCTGGGCAGCAGAGCAAGACCATCTCAAAAAAATTGTAAACAAATATTTCTAGCAGTGAGATATGATTATGCCACTGCACTCCAGCCTGGGCAGCAGAGCAAGACCATCTCAAAAAAATTGTAAACAAATATTTCTAGCAGCTTTATTCCTAACCACCACAATGTAGAAACAACGTAAATGTCCTTCAATAGGTAAATAGATAAACAAAATATAGTACATCCATGCAAAGAACTACAACTCCGCTATTAAAATGAAGAAACTACTGATACAAGCAACAACATGGGTTTCAAAAGCATTCATCCAAGTGAAAGGAGCCTACGTAAAAAAAAATCCTTTTATATGATATTTCGGAAAAGGCAAAATTATAAGAACAGAAAATAGACCTGTGGTTTCCAGGTGCTAAGGATGAGGGACAGGTTGACTAAAATGGGGCGGCACATAAGAATCACTGAGGATGATAAGAGAGTTCTGTGTCTTGAGTGGGGTGGTTGTTACATAACTATGAATATTTGTATGCTAATATAAGTAGACTTCATGTAAACTAAAATAAATGAACTATAAAATACATTTAGTTCTGACCATGGATGTAATGAATTCCTATCATGTCACTTCTGCATCTGTTTTGAAAGTAGGTTTAACTTTCTCATTCCAGAAGCTGGCTTAGTCACCCTGGACACAGTTTCCAGCTTTCTGCCTATTCCTAGTTTCTCAATGTTCTTAATCCACATATCTACCTTATACAACTGGCTCTTGGTTACCACCTCTCCACAAGGCAGCTAGATACAACCCACTAAACTGGCCCAACTGGCCCCACTGACCCCACATGCCACACAGACTACACAGATATGCCACAGTGACTTCTCAGTCACAGCATGACCCCATGGGATGCATGCCTGCTTGCTCTAAACCCACCACTTAGAACTCTCTGAAGGAGACCTGCTTGGGTAAGAACACCCTGGACCCCAAACAAAGGCCTTGGCCCATGGGTTCATCTTTCTGTCTGGCCCCCGGTTGAGCATATTGTACCTGCAACCTTCCTACTGGCCCTCATTTTTACTCTTCTCATCTTTGGTGCTGTAAGAAAATGCTTCTGCTATTTCATGGGTTTTGTTGCCTCTGTCCATTCTACTGGCACACTTGAACCTGACTTTTCTCTTGGTCAGAGCTCTCCTAGATTGGCTATCTTGGTAGAAATAAACTGGACACAGGTCAGACAAGAGCCACAAGAGCATCTGCCAACATAAGTTTCCTGTGAGATGGACACTTGGACACGCAGGGCCCGACTTCTGGGGGCTCCTTGGTAGGATGCAGGGCTCTCATTAGAGTCCCCATGGGGTCCCTCTTGTGGAGACACAGGCAGGAGGGACCCCATGGGGACTCTAATGGCAGCTGAGGGGCACAGCAGGAGCTGCGGGGTCTGCGGGGGGCCAACCGTGGTCGCCGCCCTTTCCCGCCCGCTCCGAAAAGGGCGCTCCTGCCTGCCCACCCCCATTTTAAGCCAGTACAATAAATAGCAAAATAGCAAGGATCTTTCCCTACGTGCTATGAAAGGCCCAACCGTGAGCTCCTGGAGCGCTCCTGGAGGGAGTGGAGATCTAACCAGACCTTTATGACTATTATAAGGCACAAAGAAACGTATAAACTGAAGCTGTATTAAGACCTGCGACTTTTCCAAGAGGAAAGGCGTTAGACGGCCTTTCAGGCAGAACCCAATAAATATCCAGCCAGAGAGACCGAGGTTGATCTGAGGATCGCGCAGATTCAGCTTCTCAGTGCCAAGAGGAAGTGGCTAGACACTTAGGCATTGGATCATCCACCTGGATAAAAAAGTAGCATGTGAAAGGCACACTGTAAACGTACATGACCAAATTCCCCAGAGACGACAGGTGCAGTGCCTCAGGTCTGTAATCTCAGCACTTTGGGAGGCCGAGGTGGGAGGACTGCTTGAGCCCAGGAGCTCAAGACCAGCCTGGGCAACATAGGGAGACCCTGCCTCTAAAAAAAAAAAATTCCCTGGACCCCCACTAAGGCAGTATTATGGTTTATGGCCATTCTCCAAAGACAGACCTCAAGACCAAATTAGAGAGGAATACAATGAGATAGTGGTTTCATCTTTCTCGATACAAGGCAGCAGTGTTAGACACACAAGAGGGATTTTTGACTTTCAATGTAAGCACAGCTCATACACTGATGCGTAGGGAGGGTTGGCAAAAAGCTCAGAAAATCAAGTGTGAGTTGGGGCCAAGTTGGGAAGGTTTTGTCCACATCTGGGAAAGATGTCAACAAGGGAGAACCTGAGGTATCTGTGGGACCAAAAGATAGTCTCCTGGGCACAGATACAGCGATAGAAAGGCTGGTAGAGCCGTCACAGTGTAAATAAGGAAGCTGACATTTCCAGAAGTAATTATGGGAGAGCGGATCTAAGAGATATAGACACAGGAAAGACAAATGAATGTTTTAAAAATTCAATTTATGAAGTTCAGGAAAACAGATGATAGGGACCTATTTTTCCTCCAAGACAAGAGGAAAAGATCAAGTCCAACTGTCGTCCCACCAAGAGCCATCTACGTTGTCCCTACTGTCAGACTAAGGGACACACCTAAAGCCGATTAGCAAAGTACTTGCTGGTGCTCAGTAGGTGGTCAGTGACTAGATCTGCTGTACTTTTCAGTCCTATACATGCCAGTGGCTGTCTTACTTGGCAACTAAGTAAAGCACTTCCTGGCGGCAACTTTTATTTGTGTTATTTTACACAATCCATGAAAGGTTTACCATGGTCCTTGCGTTGCTCACTCCTATAAATAACATAGTATGTTCCAAAAAGGAGATCTGGACACCCAAAAAACCAAGATCTGGCCCAAAGATTCTTCCTGATAGGCTAAGGCAGGGGTTTGTGCAGTGCTGAGTTACCTTATTAAGGAAGAGTTGTAAGTAATCTTAAAATACTATAGTGATTGAAAAAAATCATTGCCTTCCCTCTTCTCTCATTTTTGTTAAAGGAAAATATTTATCCAAATGAAAACAGAAGCCTTGACATATGTTGTTCTTTGTAGTGTTACAAATTACTTCTCAAAAAACAAACCCTTTTATATAAATAAGCAAAAATAAATACATATGTTATAAATTCATATTGAATTACATCTAATAACATGTTTAAGAACAAAGGTTTTATGGTCATTTTTTTAATCCAAACAAAAACACTGCTGATATCAAAGTAAAACACTAAAAACTACTGCAAACTATTTCAAAAGAATTACACAAAAATTATTTTTTGTCTCTTTGTTTTCACACAATTTCCTGGTATGCTTGAGACCAATAGAAATTGGAACAATTATAGTTTTTTTTTAAAAAAATAGTTTTAAAAATTAAAAAAAATAAAGCAAAGCTAAGACATAACTTGGAAGCCTAGAATAAGCGTTCTGAAGTTGGAAACATTTGTTTTATCTTCCTAAACCTAAAGAAAGGGTCAGTCAGGGGACACAGCAGGGGGACAAAGTAATATCACGGTGTGGGTGACAATTTGACACAAAGTGACAATAAATTTTATTCAGCTGTGGTGTGAAAAGTGGTGTCTGGGAAAGAATAGCAATAAACATGCTTCAGCCTCCAGCAGAAGGTCTCCCCCCTTGTGAACCTGCAAACCTGCTATCTTCCTTCTATCTCAGCACTCAAGGGCCACAGAGAGTAGAAGGGATAGGGGCTGACTTGAAACCACCTTTGCAAGAATCGTAACTGAGAAAATTATGACAGTCAAAGAGATATGACCTAACTGACTTCATCCTGCTTCTAACCTCCAAGCTGTCCTTGTTCATTCCTGGGTGTATGTGGAACTAACTTTGGGAGGAATTTAGATTATAGTTTAGGTTTGAAACAAATGCCAAAACAGCTCTTTCCCAAAACAAGCCCCCTTCTTGCCTGGGGACTAGACTGCCTTTGCAGGTCTAACAAATTAGCAACAAGATTAGAAATTACGGTTTAGGAGTCACTGTTGCAAAACCTGAGATCACTGCTTGAGATATTTTTGCAGACCCTACATTCCGATGTACCAGTTGACACCATCCAGATCGATAAACTGGCTCTTCTGGTCTTGTAACCCGCCCCCCACTCCGCCACCACCCTCCCAATGAACTCAGCACAAAAGAACAGCTTCAACTCCCTGTGATTTCATCTTCCACCTGACCAATCAGCACCTCCCACTTTCTGACCCTCTACCCACCAATTTATCCTTAAAAACCCCATCCCTGAATTTCTGGGGAGATTGATTTTGAGTAATAAAATGGCATCTCCCATGTGGTGTGACTGGCCTCATGTCAGACTTTTTATTTTTTTTTTCCTTTTTTCTTTGTTTTTTTGAGACAGGGTCTGGCTCTGTGGCCCAGGCTGGAGTGCAGTGGTGCAATCACTGCTCATGGCAGCCTGAATCTCCTGGGCTGGAGCAGTCCTCCTGCCTCAGTCCTCCGGGAGCTGGGACTATAGGCCGCACTACCACACCCAGGTAATTTTTATATTTTTGTAGAGATGGGTTTCACCATGTTGCCCAGGCTGGTCTGGAACTCCTGGGCTCAAGGGATTCTCCCAATTCTGCTCCCTAAGTGCTGGGATTACAGACATGAGCCACCCCACTGGCCTAAATTGTTTCTTTACTGCAATGCCCTGGTCTTTATTTGTGCAGCATACCCATTGGGATGTTACAGACTCAGTCAGATAATCGAGGAAAGGGGCTTAGGTCGCCTGCCCCAAGAGCCCCGTGACTCTGGCTCTCAGCTGCGCCACAGCCTCCAGTTGGCTCAAGTGGCAGGTTTCTTAGCCTTGTGCTCCAGGTTGTGTCAAGTTTCATGAGGCCCCTGACATTCTCACTGCTTTCAACCTGTGGCTTCCCCGGGCTGTGCTCCTCGTCCCGCCTGTCCCCAGGTGTGGGCTTGTAGGACCTAGCCATGCGATCTGTCGCCACCCGCCCCCCCACCCAACGCCCGACGTGGAGACAAAGGGTCTAGTCCCTCCAGGGCAGGAGCGGCTTGGCCGCGGGCTTTTCCTGCCGCCGATCCAGCTTTCCCTGTGACGGTGAAGGGCCGCGGGGCTCCGCCGAGGGCCACCCAGGGCTGTGGGGCTTCCCGGAATGGTGCGGACTCGGGGACAGCCCGCGCCGCGACCAGGCCCTTAGTGCTCCAGGTGCGCGCCGGCCGCCCGGACGCGGGGTTCTGATCCTCCCAAAAGCGGGTCAGAGGTTGGACACACTCCACCAGGCCAACCGACCCCACGCAGGGCCCGACTTCTGGGGGCTCCTTGGTAGGATGCAGGGCTCTCAGTAGAGTTCCCATGGGGTCCCTCTTGTGGAGACACAGGCAGGAGGGACCCCATGGGGACTCTAATGGCAGCTGAGGGGCACAGCAGGAGTTGCGGGGTCTGCGGGGGGCCAACCGTGGTCGCCGCCCTTTCCCGCCCGCTCCGAAAAGGGCGCTCCTGCCTGCCCACCCCCATTTTAAGCCAGTACAATAAATAGCAAAATAGCAAGGATCTTTCCCTAAGTGCTACGAAAGGCCCAACTGTGAGCTCCTGGAGCGCTCCTCGACGGAGTGGAGAGCTAACCAGACCTTTATGACTATTATAAGGCACAAAGAAACGTATAAACTGAAGCTGTATTATTAAGACCTGCGACTTTTCCAAGAGGAAAGGCGTTAGACGGCCTTTCAGGCAGAACCCGATAAATATCCAGCCAGAGAGACCGAGGTTGATGTGAGGATCGCGCAGATTCAGCTTCTCAGTGCCAAGAGGAAGTGGCTAGTTTCAGCGTCCACGGTTCCCATGGTGACTCTCCTCACTTCCGGCCGGGCGCAAACGCACCCCTAGCCACCCGCCCTAATACGAGGATAGCCCGTGACAACCAGAATGCAGTATCCCTAAAGCCTCTGCAGTCCCTGCGATTGTGGGATCCTGACTATGTCAGGATTTTGGCTTTGCAGGGTGTGGCAAGGTGAAGGGTCTGGTACTCCCTCTTGGGGGTCGTGGAGCGTTGGGGGTGGGTGTGGAGAAGGAGGCTTGGGGAGGAAGGGAGTTAGTGACCTGGGCCCAAGACCCTAGAGACTTGTCCAGGTGCCCCCACTCCCAGGCCCAACCAGCCCAGCCCTACTGGACTGGCAGTGAGGGCTCACTTTAAGAGGAAAGGGTGACGTCCCATGTTACTAAGTCAGACTTAATATTATTAAGG
This sequence comes from Homo sapiens, assembly GCF_000001405.40. NCBI lineage: Eukaryota > Metazoa > Chordata > Mammalia > Primates > Hominidae > Homo > Homo sapiens. The sequence goes on along the minus strand of NC_000018.10, from coordinate 50,297,687 downwards.
TGGCAATACTCCTGAAATTGTTCTACGCATTCAACGCAACTCCTGTCTCCAAGCTGACTTTTTTTGCAAAATTAGACAAGCCGATCCTCAAATTTACATGAAAATTTAAGGGACCCAAAATAGCCAAAATAATATTGAAAAAGAACAAAGTTGGAGGACTCACATTTCCCAGTTTCAAAATTCTATAAAGCCACAGTAATCAAGACATACAGATACTCAGTACTGGCATAAGGATAGACATATAAATCAATAGAATAGAATTGAAAGTCCAGAAATGAACCCTCATATTATGGTCAATTGATTTGATTTTTCTCTCCCTCCCTCCCTCCCTTCCTTTCTTCCTTCCTTCCTTCCTTCCTTCTTTCCTTCGTTCCTTCCTTCTCTCCCTCCCTCCCTTCTTTCTTTCTTTCTTTGTTTCTTTCTTTCTCCTCCTTCCTTCCTTCCTTCCTTTCCTTCCTTCTTTCTTTCTTTCTTTCTTTCTTTCTTTCTTTCTTTCTTTCTTTCTTTCTCTCTTTTCTTTCTTTCTTTTTCTTTTTTGATACAGGGTCTTGCTCTTGCCTGGGGCTGGAGTGCAGGGTGAAGTCACACCTCATTGCAGCCTCAACCTCCCAGACTCAAGCAATCCTCCCACCTCAGCAGGCATATATAAATGGAATCATCGAAATTTAAAATTTGCACTTCAAAGAACACCATCAAGAAAGTGAAGACAACCCAGAGAATGGGAGAAAATATTTGCAATCATATATCTGATAAAGGACATGTATACAGAATTTTGTAAAACTATTACAACTGAATAATAAGAACAAATAACACAATGAAAAAAATAGGCAAAGTATTTGGTTAGATAGTTCTCCAAAGAAGATATATAATGGCCAATAAACACATGAAAAGATGCCGAACATCATTAGCCATCAGGGAAATGCAAATCAAAACGACAGTAAGATACCACTTCCCACCTACTAGCTTGACCGTAATCCAGAAGACAGATTACAAGTATTGGAAAGGATGTGAAGAAATTACAACTTTCATAACTTGCTGGCAGGAATGTAAAATGGTGCAACCATTTTGGAAAACAGTCTGGCAGTTTCTTCAGTCAGTAAAACATACCATATGACCCAGCAATTCCACCCCTAGTTGTATACTTAAGAGAAATGAAAATGTGTGCACCAAGAACTTGTATATGAATGTTCATAGCTGCAAAATCCATAACAGTCATTATGTGGAAACAACCTAAATGTCTATCAGCTGATGTATGAATAAACAAAACATGCTATGTTCATACAATGGAATATTGTTTGGCCATAGTAAGAAATGGTACCAATACATGCTACAATGTGAATGAACCTTAAAAACATGCTAAGTGAAAGAAGTCAGTCACAGAAAACCACATATAATATGATTCTATTGATATGAAATATCCAGAATAGGCAAATATACAGAGATAGAAAGATTAGTGGTTGCCTATGGGGAGGGGCTTGGGGAGTGGTATCTAAATGGTGCAGTTTCTTTTGGAGGTAGTGAAAGAGTTCTAAAAAATGACTGGGAGGCCAGGTGCATGGCTCAGGCCTGTAATCCCAGCACTTTTGAAGGCTGAGGCAGGAGGATTGCTCGAGCCAAGGAGATCAAGATCAGCCTAGGCAACATAGCGAGACCCCATCTCTATAAAAAAAATTAATTAAAGGAAAAAGATGATCAGGGCAGTAAATACACAAGTCTGTGATTATACTAAAACCATTGAAATGTAAACTTTTAATGGGTAAATTGCATAGTATTTGGATTATATCTGAATAAAGCTGTTTTTAGAAAAATACTCGATGCCTTTCACTAGCGTTCGGAAAGATTTATTTAAATGCATAAAGATTGGTTAATAGAAAAAAGTGGGTTTTGAAAGAAGGAACCCCTTTTTTTTAAGGAAAGGGGTGTGATAGGATTTGAAAGATGAGGAAAGCTAATGAGGGCCCCTAATTCCCCCACCCCACATCTCTCATAGGCCAGATTTAAAATATACAAATTCCATACCTGGAGAATTATCATTGGGATCGTGAACACTTTTACTCTCCCCTAGACTCCCAGGATAGTTGTCCCCTTGCTATGTGTAGTGTGTGACATGGAAAAGGGGATTGGCCCAGGCAGGAGACAGTGCCTGAATAGGTGGTTAACCAGCCATGTGTTCCTGGGTTCCTGCTGCTCTAAGTGACTCTTGAGATTTTCCTGAGCCTGCTTGATTTGATTGTAATTGAATTGTGAGAACTTGCTGTGTAGAGTTGGTCCTGCAGGCTTGGAAATGGGAACAGCAGGTACCTTCAAGGACAGAAACAGTGAAGGAGGCCTGGGGAATGCTGCGTGCTGCAGATTATTGATGGGCCTTCCACAGTACTCCAGACGAAGGCAACTTAAACTGTTGGTCAAGCACCTCTATTCTGTTGTTCCTTCAAACCAACCCCGAGAAGCCACATTAAAAACCCCCTTTGCACATAGACAATTACAGAGATGGTAATGAAACCAATTCTGTGTTCACAGCACTGCAGGAAACACAACTGTGGATTCAATTCACCTTGTGTGGTTTACTCTTCAAGAGATGCTTAGTTCTTACCTTCAGGGAGTTTATAATTTCATTGAGGAAACAACTTGCTCATATATGAAACCATTGCAGATTAACAAAATTACAGGAGTGTTCTGGTGTCTGTAACGGCAACTTTTGGAAGAGAACACAGGGATAATCAAGAAAAAAAATTATCATGAACACAGACCAGTACCAAAGGGTTTTATAATGCTCCATTTTGTGTATGACAAACCTCAGATTTGCTCTGTCTTCTGTAGGACCAAGGACATCATGATCTGGGGCTAAAAAACACAAACTGGAAGCTTCTGCAGGCTATAAAATTCAAGGTGATATTTACAGATGAGCTTTGCGATGGATAGAAACTGACCTATTCAGGATAGAAATTGGTTCGTAGGAGTTGGGTAGGAATAAAAAGTAGAAGAATCTACCACCAAACCAGAGAAGCAAGCCTATTTAATTCTTTTTGGTTTTTTCAGAGGGCGTAAGTGGGAAAGGAAGAAGTCAGATTAGAAAACTGGTGCACTTGTTCCTCTCTAGGAACCTGAGTGTGATAAGAAATGTGGGCCAGGTGCGGTGGCTCACACCTGTAATGCCAGCACTTTGGGAGGCTAAGGTGGACAGATCACCTGAGGTCAGGAGTTCGAGACTAGCCTGGCCAACATGGTGAAACCCCATCTCCACTAAAAATATACAAATTAGCTGGGTGTGGTGGTGGGCACCTCTAATCCCAGCTACTCAGGAGGCTGAGGCAGGAGAATCACTTGAACCTGGGAGGCGGAGGTTGTAGTGAGCTGAGATTGCATCACTGCACTCCAGCCTGGGTGACAAAAGTGAGACTCTATCTAGAAAAAAAAAAAGAAATGTGGCTGTTAGGGACGGGGAAGCTGTAGTAGGGAGGGAGCAGATTAGAATTAAAGCTACTAAACAAGTCCTCCTCATCAATGATATTAAATGACTGGTTCATGACATTTGGCAGTCTTTAAACATTTCAGAGACATCAGCTTGAAAGTATAATATATGAGGAAAAAGGATATTTGTGTCAGGTGTCCTAAGACCATCCTCAGGTTCAATGACTCACTAGAAGAACACACAGAATACAAAAACACTGCTAAGCTCCCAATTAGTTTGTTACAGCAAAAGAATACAGATTGAATGAGCAAAAAGGCTCATAGGCTATAGTACAGGAAAGACCATGCTTCCAGTTCTCCTCTCCTAGAGGAGTCATATAAACAGCACTTAATTATCCCAGAAACAGTGTTGTGATAACATGAATGAAGTATTGCAAACCAGGGAAGCTCATCCAAGCTTTGGTGTCCAGGGTTTTTATTAGGGGATTGGTTACATGAGTATGGAGGGTGCCATTGCTGACCTTGGTTACTCAGTCTCCGGCCTCTCCAGAGTTCATATTGATACCCTGTGGCCCAAGGTCCCCACCACAAATCACATTGCTATCATAAACTATCTGGTGTGGACCAAGATCCTAGGTAAATATAAACATTCTTTTTTTCTTTTTGAGACAGAGTCTTGCTCTGTCATCCAGGCTGGAGTGCAATGGCGTGATCTGGGCTCACTGCAGCCTCCACCTCCTGAGTTCAAGCAATTCTCCTGCCTCAACCTCCTGAGTAAGTGGGATTACAGGCACCCGCCACCACACCTGGCTAATTTTTGTATTTTTAGTAGAGACAGGGTTTACCCATCTTGGCCAGGCTGGTCTTGAACTCCTGACCTCAGGTGATCCACCCACCTTGGCCTACCAAAGTGCTGGGATTACAGATGTGAGCCACTGTGCCCAGCTGAACATTCTTATTAGGCAAGTAATTCTGAGCACTTTAAGGTTATCTCCCAAGAGCCAGTCAAATATCAGATTTTTTTTTCATGTGAAGGTTTGAACAACCAAGGCCTGCTGAGTTAATCTTTTACCGCATGGCACTATTTGGAGAGTTCCCATTCTGGACCTAATTCATATTATTCTCTCAGATGTCTTTCTAGGAGGATGTTAATTTTGCCCATTTTTATAGATGAGAAAAAGTTCTCAGAAAGATTAACTACACTCTGCAATGTAAAGCAGCTAGTATTAGTAGAGCCTAGAATCAAACTCAAGCTGTAACACTTTGTTCTTGAAGGCATGAACTGTAAAATATACCTCTAAAAACTATGACTTAAGATATTGCAATAGCCACAGAATATTTCAGTGTCATTGAAAACATAAGATAGATATTGAATCCCTTGGTCTTATTTTTCTGGCATGTTTCAGCAAATTCTGCCTGAATTTGTGCCTGAATGGACATTAACCTCATGAGAGACCTACAATAGTTCCTTTGCATTCAGAGTCTGAGTTCTTTCCAGACTAGGGATGCTGCATAGAATGGCCTGGGCTCTAAATATATCCCTCCCACTGGCTGCTGTTTTTGCTGATTCTCAAGTCCACTCTCCCCTGGGCCAAAGTGGTTGTCAGTACCACCGTCACCCATCCTGGCTCCTCCCTGCTCCTTATTCAATTCACCTGCACTTGAATGACTTCTAGGCTTGGTTCCTGCTCTCAGCCCCTGTGTCCATTTGGAGAGTGAGTACCTGCTTTGATTCTTGCCCAAGGTCCAGTCTTGACCCAGTCCCTGCCTCCCGCAATCACAAAATGCCAGAAAGATTAGAGGGCCACAGTCTGTTTTTCATACTGTTTTAGACCATTGTGATATGGCTTAGTCACTTCCCAGTTCTAACTCAATGGGACCTAGCCCTCTGCTACACCCCTCTGCTCTCTCCCCACCCCAGCCCTGCCCTACCTAATCCACACTGAGTCTAGGCATCTGTAGATACCTTAAGCCCTGATTTTTTTTTAGCCAATTTTGAGTTCATTTGAATATTATATCAATGTCAGTAAATGAATTTAATAGTCATTATAATAGAATGATTTTCAGACTGGTCCAAAAAACAGAATTCAACTAAACTGAACAGGTGGATATGCTGGGCAAAGGGATAATTTACATCCCAGGTGGGATGGAATGGCACGGTGTGAGATTTCATCACAATACTCAGAATGGCATGGTAATTAAAACTTATGAATTGTTTATTTCTGGAATTTTCTTTCTTTTTTTTTCTTTTTTGAGACAGGATCTTGCTCTGTCATCTGGACTGGAGTTCAGTGATGCAGTCATGGCTCACTGCAGTCTGGACAGCCCGAGCTCAAGCAATCCTCCTGCCTCAGCCTCCTGCATAGCTGGGACCACAGGCACGTGCCACCATGCCCGGCTAATTTTTTTTTTTTTTTTTTTTTTTTGAGACAGAGTCTCACTCTGTCACCCAGGCTGGAGTGATCTCGGCTCACTGCAAGCTCCGCCTCCTGGGTTCATGCCATTCTCCTGCCTCAGCCTCCTGAGTAGCTGGGACTACAGGCACCTGCCACCACGCCTGGCTACTTTTTTGTATTTTTTAGTAGGGACGGGGTTTCACCGTGTTAGCCAGGATGGTCTCAATCTCCTGACCTCGTGATCTGCCCGCCTCAGCCTCCCAAAGTGCTGGGATTACAGGCGTGAGCCACTGCACCCGGCCTAAGTGTTTATAATTTGTAGAAACGAGGTCTTGCTATGTTGCCCAGGTTGGTTTCAAACTCCTGGGCTCAAGGAACCCTCCCTCCTCGGCCTCCCAAAGTGCTGGGATTACAGGCATGAATCTCTGTGCCCAGCCCTCTTGAATTCTTTACTTAATATTTTCAGACCATGGTTGATCATGGGTAACTAAAACTTCAGAAAGCAAGACTGTGTATATTCCTCAGCGAATGATTCCAGTACTGATTTTGTCTGTGCTTGCTGGCAAATTAGAATTGAAGTGCTAAGCATGGTTTTGTCATTGAATTTCGGATATTTATGTCATCCTTGCTGTTTGCAAGAAGTGTCTGGAAGACTTCCGTCCCCCTCCCAGGAATCTTTGGTAGAGTTGAGCTCTCCTTTCCCTTTCCTGTGATCCCCACCTTGTGCTGAGATCCTGTACTTAGTTTCTCATTCTGTGTTGTTTGTTCTCCTGCCTAAGAACCTAATCCTGATTCCTGGTGTCTGATCCCCTGGACTTCTGATCCATTTCCTGAACTCAGGTCCACTGTGACCCTTAGCTTTCAGAATCTGCTCCATTCTGTGCTTGCCTCATGAACTTTTTTATCTAGCTTCTCTCGTCCTGGGGCTTCCCTGAGTCTATTCCCTGATTCCAGCCCACAGCCCAACACTCACAGTAGGAAGATTTTACTATTAATATCAGATCCATTATTACTGGCTGTGTGACCTGGCAAGGGACTTAGGCTCCCTGAGTCTCAATTGCTTTCACTGCAGAGTGGGGACAATAAGGCTCCTGCTCCATTCACCGTATAAGGCAATTAGGATCAGATAAACTATCATGTGCGAAAGTATCTTGCGAACTATCAACCATTAACCAAATAGAAGATTTTTAAAATTATGACTATTACCATCATCATCAAGCTAGACTTATGAAAAATTTACTATTTGACAAAATACTAATCTTTGTTTGCTTCACCATGTCCATACCAGACTGCACACAGATCAAAGTGAGCACCAATAGTGTAAACTGGGAGCTCCTCAAGGGCAGCATTTCAGATGGTGCTGGGGATTTGAGAAAATATGAGAGATGTTTATATTTATTTTTATCTCATTCCTTTAAATATGTATTTTATGTGGTTTCTGATTTTTGCACTATATTGCTGTGGTAATGTGTAGTATTTATAAAATGGCTGTGAATGCTGACAGTTTTTTACTGACAAGGGTGATGAATTTACAAGTTTGCACTGGCCGGGCGCAGGGGCTCACGCCTGTAATCTCAGCACTTTGGGAAGCCGAAGGTGGGGGTGGATCTCTTGAAGTCAGGAGTTAGAGACCAGACTGGCCAACATGGTGAAACTCCATCTCTACTAAAAATACAAAAATTAGCTGGGTGTGGTGGCACGGGCCTCTAATCCCAGCTACTCGGGAGGCTGAGGCAGGAGAACTGTTTGAACCCAGGAGGCGGAGGTTGCAGTGAGCCGAGATTGCCCGCTCCACTCCAGCCTAGGTGACAGAGTGAGACTCCGTCTCAACAACAACAACAAAAGTTCGCACTAATCTAATAACCTAATAAGGCTCTGATATAGGAACCTTCATACACTGCTGGTAGAAATATATGTATCAACCATTGAAAGACAAAATTACAACAAATTTAGTTACAGATGTAATGGCTTTTACTTGCAATTCATGAATTGGGGCAGATCCCATTATACAAAATAGAACGAGAGCTTTTCCTGGGAAATAGCAGAGCAGTGAATTTTGTAAGGTTGGAGCAAGGAAAAAGAACAATTTTTTTTTTAAAGCTGATTGGTTAACATCAGATTGCTTCAGGTTGCTTTTTTATAAAGGTTAAAGCAAAGGGGACTTTCAAGCTAAAAGTGGCTTGTATGGGGATTTGGCTATTATCCTGTCTCTTTCTCCTTGGAAGGTCAGATGAACAATTTAGTTTTGGCTTGGTGGCATGGAACTTCAGCGTGAGTGACTCCATTTTGGTGGGGCCTAGAGCAGGAGCTCTGTCCAAACTAATGACCTCCTATAAATTTGAACATGTCTTACAATATTTATAGCCAATTACAAAGTAATTCTACTTTTAGAATTTTATCTCTAAGGAGAGTCAACTAAGAAGAGGCAAGAGACCAAGCTGCAATGCAGGAGTTTATTGGGGCATTAGGAACTGCAATTCAGGAGACACAGATTCAGCTCGAAGTCAAATTGTACTCCAAAGATAGGAAGGGGAGAAGGAGTTTTTAAGAAAAAGAAAAAGGAAGCTAAGGGTGATTACACAAGTTCTTTTAAAGAAATTATTATTGGTGGAGGCGGCTGGCTGGCATCAGTCCATAGTTCATTGGTTGTTGTTCAGGAGACGCAGCACTAGTGAAATATAGCTGGTTTCCAGGACTGTGTGGTCATTGCAGTTTGGACCAATTCAAAGGTTCGAGGCAAGTTCCTGTTGTGTTTTAATTTTGTTTTGTTTGTTTTCCTTTTTGCAAGTTTGCAGGGAGTCCATAGAATGGCTTCCAGGCGGGCCAGGCACGCGGTGGTTCACGCCTGTAATCCCGGCACTTTGGGAGGCCGAGGCGGGCGGATCACCTGAGGTCGGGAGATCCAGACCATCCTGGCCAACACGGTGAAACCCCATCTCTACTAAACATACAAAAAAAATCAGACGGGCATGGTGGTGCATGCTTGTAATCCCAGCTACTCGGAAGGCTGAGGCAGGATAATCGCTTGAACCCGGGAGGCGGAGGTTGCAGTGAGCTGAGATCGCGCCATTGCACTCCAGCCTGGGCAACAAGAGTGAAACTCCGTCTCAAAAAATAAGTAAATAAATAAAAATAAATAAATAAATACATAATAAATAATAAATAAAATAAATAAATAAATAAATAAATAAATAAATAAAGCCTGGCTTCCAGGCTCCATCTTACAGCTGTTAACCAGAGTTACACCTGGTATATCACATTTGTATATTTGTAAATTTGTATATCACATTTCACAAGAAATAATCAGGGATGAGCATACAGATCTATGTTTAAGAATGTTCGTTGCAACTTTATTTAGAATAATATTTGAAAATGTTCTAAATGCTAAACAATAAAGAAATGGATAAGTAAACTGTGTTTAGGCTTATTGTGCAGCTTATAGAACTAAAATAAGATTTGATATTAGTTTAAGAATTGTTTTTAAATAAAAATAAAATAAATAGAAGCCGAACCGTGCCAGGCCTGGCAGAAGAATGACAAGTGGGAGGAGTAAAAGCCGGAAAGAGTGGTGGCAGGTGAAGTCGGAGACGACAGAGGAACTGGTTTCCTCCGCCCCGCAAGGCACACAGCCTGCCGACGCCCCATTAATACATGTGGAAGGGGAAAGAGACTGAATGGAGGAATGAATACAACTTGATCCAGGTCGTGCTTCGGAAGCGGTCACTTTACCTGTGAACCTCTCTGCCTGACAAACGGGCAATGTACGGAATCAACCACCAAGATGGCGGCGCCCGTGAAGAATCCGCAATTAGGTCGCCGTCATATGTCGCCTAGGAACGTACGGAATTCGACCCACGTACGGAATCGGATTCCAAGATGACGGCATCTATGAGGAAGTCACGCAGTAGGTGCAGCCATGTTGCCTGTACGTCGAGGCCGTACAAGCAGCCGCCGTACGGACTCTACTGACAAGGTGGCGGCGCCCTCGGGAAAGCCACATTAGAGCGCGGCCATGTTCCCGGCGAACATATGGATTCGGCCACCATACGGATACGATAAGCAAGATGGCGGCGCCTGAGGGGTCTTGGGGGCTCTAGGCCGGCCACCTACTGGTTTGCAGCGGAGACGACGCATGGGGCCTGCGCAATAGGAGTACGCTGCCTGGGAGGCGTGACTAGAAGCGGAAGTAGTTGTGGGCGCCTTTGCAACCGCCTGGGACGCCGCCGAGTGGTCTGTGCAGGTTCGCGGGTCGCTGGCGGGGGTCGTGAGGGAGTGCGCCGGGAGCGGAGATATGGTAAGTAGCGGGTCCAGGGAGGGGTTCGGCGGTGGAGGTCGGTCGGTTGGCAACAGTGGGGTCTGTCGGCCGACTCAGGGGTCTGTGGTGAGCCATAACCGGAGTCTGTGGACTGAACGGCGGGAGTCTATGGGCAGAATGATGAACCATCTGGGAGTTCTATGGTGAGCCACGGTGGGGGGCTCCTTAATAGAAGTTTAGTGGGGACTCCGTGTGGCAGTTCCGTGGGAAACCATGATCGGGGGTTCTTAGGGCAGAGGGATAAGCGGGTTGTAAGGAGTCACATTGAGTGGTCTGTAGTGAGCCGTGACGAGGAGTCCGTGTCCGGGTATCCGTGGACAGCCGCGACTGGGGGTGGGTGCGGGTGCCAGGTGGGTCTATGAGATAAACAGGGAGGGGTGCGTGGAGAACCGCGATGGGAAGTCCGCAGTGAGTTACGCGGGGTCTGTGAGGCGCCACGATGGAGGGTCGCCATGACCCATTAGCGAGTGTGGACGCAGGGAGCGGGTGTCGGTGGGTGCGTGATGGGAAGTATGGAGCAGAGTAATAGGATGTCAGAGGAAGGGATGGGGGTCAGTGGGGACTGTGATGGAGAGGTTTTTTGGGGGCCCCGATGTGAAATCTGCAGGCAGAGTGGGGATCCCTGCTGACCACGGTGGAGTTGTAATGGGGGGATGAGCCGCCACGGTGGGGGCTGCTTAAGGATCCGTAATGGGGGTGTCCTGCAGGAGGGAGATGGTTCAGACCCAGAGCCTCCAGATGCCGGGGAGGACAGCAAGTCCGAGAATGGGGAGAATGCGCCCATCTACTGCATCTGCCGCAAACCGGACATCAACTGCTTCATGATGTGAGCGCGGGAGAGATGGGCGGGGCTGACACTGGCAGGGTGGGGTGAGGCCGATGGGCCGCGCCCCTCACATCTCCATCGCCTGCCCCATCCTCTGCAGCGGGTGTGACAACTGCAATGAGTGGTTCCATGGGGACTGCATCCGGATCACTGAGAAGATGGCCAAGGCCATCCGGGAGTGGTACTGTCGGGAGTGCAGAGGTGAGGGCCATGGATGGACAGGGAAGGCAGGTGGGGCTTCAAGGGAGGAGGAGGAGCCACAAGGGGGGGTTATGGGGATTAGTGATACACGTCTGTGGTGAGCTGGAATGGGGCTCCATTGTGAGTAATAGAAGATCCCACGGGAAGAGGCAGCTCTGCCCTGGACAGGGGTGCAGAGTAGGTGGGTGGGTCAGTAAGGGAGCGAAGAGGAAGAAAGAGGTTTTGGGACCATTCAAGCCATCCAGTGCTCACTCACTTTGGCCCTACTCTCTGCCCCACAGAGAAAGACCCCAAGCTAGAGATTCGCTATCGGCACAAGAAGTCACGGGAGCGGGATGGCAATGAGCGGGACAGCAGTGAGCCCCGGGATGAGGGTGGAGGGCGCAAGAGGCCTGTCCCTGATCCAGACCTGCAGCGCCGGGCAGGGTCAGGGACAGGGGTTGGGGCCATGCTTGCTCGGGGCTCTGCTTCGCCCCACAAATCCTCTCCGCAGCCCTTGGTGGCCACACCCAGCCAGGTGAGTGGCTGCATAAAGTGAATGGATGTGTAAAGTGGTTCCGTTTCAGCCCTGCCTGGGTCCATGATTTCTGTTCTGGGCCCCCTCCTGCAGCATCACCAGCAGCAGCAGCAGCAGATCAAACGGTCAGCCCGCATGTGTGGTGAGTGTGAGGCATGTCGGCGCACTGAGGACTGTGGTCACTGTGATTTCTGTCGGGACATGAAGAAGTTCGGGGGCCCCAACAAGATCCGGCAGAAGTGCCGGCTGCGCCAGTGCCAGCTGCGGGCCCGGGTGAGCATGGACAGAGCTGGGTAGGGTCAGGTGTGGGAGAGCTGGTGGGTCCATGCATGGTTAGTTAAGTCTAGGCATGGATAAACCAGGTGGGATTGGGCCTGACTGTATCCTGACAGGTGGGAAGGGGCCTGTCATGTCCAGATGAATGGGGCATGACCTGGTATGCTGGGCTGGCAGAACACCCCCACCAACCCTGGGTAGACAGAGTGGGGCCAGGTGTTTTCAGGTGGTCATGCATGTTGGTACAGATCAGGCAGGGCTGAGCATTCCTGGCAATGAGGGGTAGCGGGGAGGTGTGTCTGGGGAGGTAAGGCCAGGCCAGGTGGGTAGGGCTAGGGCAAGGCCGCCCTCCATCCACCTGGGGCTGACCTGGGCCTTCCTCCTGCCGGCACAGGAATCGTACAAGTACTTCCCTTCCTCGGTGAGTCCAGCCCCCCAGGGTGGGGTGGGGCATGCGGGCAGGGCGGTCAGGGCCAGTCCTGAGATTCTGCCCTGCAGCTCTCACCAGTGACGCCCTCAGAGTCCCTGCCAAGGCCCCGCCGGCCACTGCCCACCCAACAGCAGCCACAGCCATCACAGAAGTTAGGGCGCATCCGTGAAGATGAGGGGGCAGTGGCGTCATCAACAGTCAAGGAGCCTCCTGAGGCTACAGCCACACCTGAGCCACTCTCAGATGAGGACCTACCTCTGGATCCTGACCTGTATCAGGACTTCTGTGCAGGGGCCTTTGATGACCATGGCCTGGTGAGCAGACAGGAGCATCCACTGGTGGAAGGGTGGAGGTTACAGAAGCAGAGAGTATCCCTAATGAGGAGACAGAGGGTATGGAAGGCTGATATGGGACATGAGTAGGTGGTGGGGTTGTCACGAGCGGGGCAGGTGGGTCAGTGCATGCCCTGCTTGCAGCCCTGGATGAGCGACACAGAAGAGTCCCCATTCCTGGACCCCGCGCTGCGGAAGAGGGCAGTGAAAGTGAAGCATGTGAAGCGTCGGGAGAAGAAGTCTGAGAAGAAGGTGATGGAGAGGGTAAAGTGGATGTGGAAAGGCAGAGGGTGGGGTTGAGGGAGAGGCAGAGGTCAGAGGCTGAATGGGGCAAGAGCCAGAAAGGGCTAGAATGGAGCAAGGGTCTGGGGTCTGGGGCTGACTTTGACTCCACCCTGACCTGACTTGTCTTGCTCAACAGAAGGAGGAGCGATACAAGCGGCATCGGCAGAAGCAGAAGCACAAGGATAAATGGAAACACCCAGAGAGGGCTGATGCCAAGGACCCTGCGTCACTGCCCCAGTGCCTGGGGCCCGGCTGTGTGCGCCCCGCCCAGCCCAGCTCCAAGTATTGCTCAGATGACTGTGGCATGAAGCTGGCAGCCAAGTGAGTCATTCCTGAGAGGTTCAAGGGAGTCAGGAAGTGCATGGTAGGGCCTGACCACAGCCTTCTGTATGTCTACCAGTCAATCAGCTATCCACCAGTCACCAAACAGCCACTACCCACTCACCCATCCACCTACCCACCCACCTGCCCGTGTGTCCATCCAGCCACCATTCCGCCAGTCACCTATTTACTTCTCCTTTTGCCATTTGCGTCTATTTTGCCATTCTCACTTACTGATCACCTCACTCATTCTGTTGCTTGCTACCTTCCCTGCAGCCGCATCTACGAGATCCTCCCCCAGCGCATCCAGCAGTGGCAGCAGAGCCCTTGCATTGCTGAAGAGCACGGCAAGAAGCTGCTCGAACGCATTCGCCGAGAGCAGCAGAGTGCCCGCACTCGCCTTCAGGAAATGGAACGCCGATTCCATGAGCTTGAGGCCATCATTCTACGTGCCAAGCAGCAGGCTGTGCGCGAGGATGAGGAGGTGAGCAAGCAGGGGCGCAGCAGAGCAGGGCCTGTACTTTGTCCTTCCCAGCCTTATTGTTCCTTCCATTCCATGCAGAGCAACGAGGGTGACAGTGATGACACAGACCTGCAGATCTTCTGTGTTTCCTGTGGGCACCCCATCAACCCACGTGTTGCCTTGCGCCACATGGAGCGCTGCTACGCCAAGGTTGGGGTGTCAGACTGAGGGGGCGGACCATGTGGGAACATCAGTGGGCCAGTGGGGGACAGATTTGTTGTCTGGGTGGTGTCTTGGGAGGGCATGCAGCGCACATCCACAGTTCCCTCCATTTGTGCTCATCCCTCCAGTATGAGAGCCAGACGTCCTTTGGGTCCATGTACCCCACACGCATTGAAGGGTAAGTGAGGGTGCCACGCAGTGAGAGGTGGGGGGTTAAGGCGGGGGTCAGAAGTGGGATGTGTGTGGAGCTGGGGCAGGATACGGGCAACCAGCCAGGACAGATGGACCTCCCTTCCCTCCCTCTACTGCCCTCTCTACTCCAAATCCCCAGGGCCACACGACTCTTCTGTGATGTGTATAATCCTCAGAGCAAAACATACTGTAAGCGGCTCCAGGTGCTGTGCCCCGAGCACTCACGGGACCCCAAAGTAAGGTTTTCCCTCAGCTCCTCCCATTTTGCCCCTCCTCCCTGCCTCGCTGTCCCACATTCATCCCTTCCTTCCTCACCTCACTTTTCCTTCACTTTTTCCTCTCAGCTTCCCTGCTGCTTCACCCTCCATTCCTCCTTTTCCATGCCTCCTCACCGTTCCCTGAACCCTCCATTCTTTTCCTTCTCCCTCCTTGAGCCCCCATTCCTATTCTCCCTTATCACCGCTATTCATCCCCCCAACCTGGCCTCCTTGCAGGTGCCAGCTGACGAGGTATGCGGGTGCCCCCTTGTACGTGATGTCTTTGAGCTCACGGGTGACTTCTGCCGCCTGCCCAAGCGCCAGTGCAATCGCCATTACTGCTGGGAGAAGCTGCGGCGTGCGGAAGTGGACTTGGAGCGCGTGCGTGTGGTAGGTTTCTGTGCGGTTTTGGTGCTGCATGTGGTAGGTTTCCATGTCGGACGTGGCCGGGGCAGGCGGGGCTGCAGGTGTTCCTGCTTAGGACTCCTGCCGCTCCCTTGGCAGTGGTACAAGCTGGACGAGCTGTTTGAGCAGGAGCGCAATGTGCGCACAGCCATGACAAACCGCGCGGGATTGCTGGCCCTGATGCTGCACCAGACGATCCAGCACGATCCCCTCACTACCGACCTGCGCTCCAGTGCCGACCGCTGAGCCTCCTGGCCCGGACCCCTTACACCCTGCATTCCAGATGGGGGAGCCGCCCGGTGCCCGTGTGTCCGTTCCTCCACTCATCTGTTTCTCCGGTTCTCCCTGTGCCCATCCACCGGTTGACCGCCCATCTGCCTTTATCAGAGGGACTGTCCCCGTCGACATGTTCAGTGCCTGGTGGGGCTGCGGAGTCCACTCATCCTTGCCTCCTCTCCCTGGGTTTTGTTAATAAAATTTTGAAGAAACCAAGGAAGCTGTCTCCACATTGCTGCGGTTGCAACTGTTCCAGACTTCTGGATAAGATGGGGGGCGCCTGCACCCCGCGAGAGCCCAGGGACCCACATTCCCAGCCTCCCACGGGCAGAGGGTCTACGCAGCGCGCCTTCAGTGTGGTGACACCGCCCATGCATGCTCCTGTCTCCCACCCAGAGCTGTCGTCCGCTGTGGACGCCAGGCCCCGCCTTTTCCCCACAAGCCCCACGTTGGGGATCCGCCTCCTGCAGGGGCGCGCCCTCCCGCGTGCCTCAGTTTACCTGCGGTGTGGCACCGCCCCTTTCCCCGCCCCGCGCGCTCCCACAGCTGTTCGGCGGGGAGGAGGGAGCGGGACACGACCCCCCCTGGGGTTGATGTTCGGAGGGACCCACGAACACAGGATAGACCCCAGCGAGAGGTGGGAGAGGAGAGCGCCGGCAGGGCCAGGGAGTGCGCAGGCGCGAAGCAGCTTCCTTGCCGCGTTCGGTATCGGCTGTGGAGACCGCGGGAGGGAAGGGAGGGCGCAGGCGCAAGCCCTCCCCGACCGCTTCCCTTCAGGTTGAGGCTGGAAAGCGCATGCGCCAGCTAGATGGGCAGCGAGGAGAGCCGCAACTGCCAGTCCCTCGAAGGGGTTAGCTGTCGTTGAACGTCAGCACGCAGATGCAACTGGCTCTCGGCAGGGGGGCGCGCGCACCGCTGCGGAGCGCCGGCCCGTAGGCGCGGGAGCCTCCCTATTAAGGGCACGCGACATCGAGGCAATAGTGCGCAGGTGCTTAGCCAGAGGCGGAGCCCGAGAGGCAGGCAGCGGACTTCCGGTTCCGGGAGCAACGAACAGCCGCGGAGGCGACAGCTACCGCTTCAGAGGAGGCGGCCGCGGAGGAGGAGGAAGGGGAGGAGGGCGAGGCGGGAGGTGCAGGAGGGACCCTCGCCATGGGTCCACGGGCCTAGAGTGGCGGAAGATACCGGCCTGGTGCCAAACTGGTGAGACAGCCTTGGGGCTGGACGTGGAGAGCGCTCAGGCGGAGGATGGGAAGGAATTGTGGCTCAGAACGCTGACGGGGAGGAATGAAGGGCCCTCAGGCCGATAAGGGGGAGGAATGGCGGCGTCGGAATACTGACGAGGAGAAATGGGGGGATTTAGGCTGAGGACGGGAAGGAATGCAGCTCTGAACTCTGACAGGTAGGAGTGTCGGGATCCTGGGACGAGGACGGAGAGGAATGGTGGAGATCAGAACGCTAAAGGGAGACATCGGGGCATCTGAAGTTGAGAGAGAAATGGGGGTTCAGAACTCTGAGAGGGAGAAATGAGGGGCCCTCAGGCTGATGACAGGAGAAATAGAGGCTTTGGAATGCTGAAAGGGAGGAATAGGAGGCCCCATATAGAGGACGAGGAGCAGTAGGGGATCAGAATGGTGACAGTTAGGGATGGCATGATCCCGGGACAAGAACAGAGAGAATGGAGGAGGGTTCGGAATGCTGAGGGGAGAAATTAGGGTCTCTCTGGATGATAAGGGAGGAATGGAGGATGAGAACAGTA
This sequence comes from Homo sapiens, assembly GCF_000001405.40. Lineage (NCBI taxonomy): Eukaryota > Metazoa > Chordata > Mammalia > Primates > Hominidae > Homo > Homo sapiens. Next base: position 50,280,806 of record NC_000018.10, on the reverse strand, counting down.
AGGAGGAGAAGTGGGGAACTTTTTGGCTGTAGAGGAAGGTTTGGGAGCTCAGACTAGGGAGAAATTGTGGGTGAGAACATTGAAGGAGAAGAAAAATAAGGGGGGAGGTCTTGGGCTGAGGAAGGGGAGGCATGGGAGGCTTCCAGTGTGAGGAATGGAAAAGATGAGGGGCTGTTCAGGCTATGGGTTGGAGCAGTTGTGTCTCGCAGAGGAAGTCGAGGTTGTAACACTGAGGTAGCAGGATAAGAGGACATCAGGCAGAGAAGGAATGGAGTGGTTAAAACACTGAAGGAGGGAAATTAGGAACTCCTGGGTCAAGGAAGGGGGGAATGAGAGACTACTGAAGTCAAGTAGTGAGGGCAAGAGAAATGGGGCCCTTTGGGGCTGAGGATGGGGACTATGGGGGTCTTGGGGTGATAAAATAGAGGGATAGAGGCCCTTAGGTCAGTGACAGGGAGGAATGAGGGGGAAGGATGAAAAGTTTCTGGATTGGCAGTGAGGAGAAATGATGGGTTGTCAGTCTGAGGATAGAGAGGAGTAGGGGATTAGGACACTGAGAATAAGAAACAGGGATCCTTGGGTTGAGGAATGATGATATCCTAGGCCCAGAATAGGAAAGAATGGGGTGAGAATATGAGGGGTTTCTTTTCCATATATGGGCTGGTTGCCTGTGGCAGGTCCTAGGGCTTGGGCAAGCACTAATGGATACCAGTGATTTGTGTGGCCTGGGGCACAGTGTTGTCCCTTCCTAGAGCCTCAGTTTCCCTCATCCCTTCCACCCCCTTTCAGGCTACTGCTGCTTCCTGTGGCCTCCATGGCTGAGGACTGGCTGGACTGCCCGGCCCTGGGCCCTGGCTGGAAGCGCCGCGAAGTCTTTCGCAAGTCAGGGGCCACCTGTGGACGCTCAGACACCTATTACCAGAGGTACTGGGTGGGTAGTGGGCAGAGTCAGGAGTGGGGTAGAGCCTGATTCTGGTAAAATCAAATGGTGTGGTTAAATTTATGGATGAAGTTTAAATTATGCACATACAGTTAATCCTTATTAGCGGATTTTATGTTTGAATTTCACCTACTTAATAAAATTTATTTGTAACTTAAAAGTCACTACTCACAGTGCATTTGTGATTATTCAAGAATACGTACAGAGCAGTGAAAAACTGTCACTCAATGCATGTATTTCTAGCTGAGGCTGAAGGAGCCCTTTTCAGCTTTAATACTGTAAACAGGTGTCCTTTTCGTGGTCTGTTTAGTGTCACATTTTTCTAATTTTTGTACTTTTTGGTGATTTTGCTTTTTAAAATGGTCCCCAAGCATAGTGCTGAGGTGCTGTTTAGTGTTCTGTGAGAAGACTATGTCGTGCTTTATGGAGAAAATACAAGGCAGATAAACTTTGCTGGTTATCTGAGTTACAATGCTGTTGGCTGTAAGTTCAATGTTATGCATCAGAATTATGGTACAACCAGAAAAAGAAGGAAATTTGCCAATATGTGCACAAAGCTGCTTCAGAAAGTACAGAAAGCATTTATAGTCTTGAAGCTATGTAAGAGATGAGAAAGCAGCTACATTGGTGGGTTCATGAAATGACGATCAATAAAGCATAGTTGACAGCATTGTTGAGGAAAGCCAAAGTCATGTTACCCTGGGTTAGGAAAATATTAAGGTTATATCAGCTAGTGCTGGCTGACTTGCACATTTCAAAAGGCGACATGGCATGAAACATGTTAAACCTGCATGCAATGCAGGTTCTGCTGATCAGGAGTCTTCCGAAGAATTTTAAAAATACCTGTTAAGTGTTGTACAGGAAAGGGGTTGTGTGGAAGAGTGGTTTTCAATGTCAATGAGATTGGCTTGTTAAACAAGAATATTGGCAAAAAACCTTACATAACACATACGGCCTCCAAGTCCCCTGGTTTGAGTCATTCAAAGACCATGCAAATAATCATTTGTAAAAAAAAATATGTATTAAGTAATGTGTGTTTAAACAGAAACACACACAAAACAAAAGTTCAGATGCTCTCAGGAACCTAACCCTGTATTTCTTCTAGGAGCAATGGTTTTGTATTCAATGTTCATGATAGCTTTGTAGAACGTAACTACCATAACTAATGAGAGTCAACATAGATGTTTATAAGCATTTACATGTGTTTAAGAAACATTATTAAGTTTCTATATTCTTTCTGATTTTTTAAATCTAAGTTGCTATCTTTCCAGGTAAATATCAAATTACAAATTACTTTTTGTTTATATTTAGTTATAATTTATTCACATATTTATGTACTTGTATAAAACTTTCAAAACTTAAAAGTGCAGTTGTCAAGAACTATAAAGAACCTGAGATTTCATTCTTAGGACAAGATAATAGTGAATTTGTCAGAATTTTGTAGATGCTGGTAGGAGGGGTAAGACTCCTGGGTTACAGATCAAAGACAGTTTATTACAACAGTTGCAGGATCCAGAATACAGTAGTCTCCCCCTTATCTGCAATTTCATTTTCCACAGCTTTAGTTACCTACAGTCAACCACCATCCAAAAATATTAAATGGAAAATTTTAGAAATAAACAATTCATTAGTTTTGAATTGTGTGCCGTTTTGAGTAGCGTGATGAAATCTCACACCATCCCGCTCAGTCCTGCTCAAGAGGTGAATCATCTCTTTGTCCATATCCGTATCCATATCCATGTTCTAGACACAACCTGCCTGTTAGTCACACAGTAACCATCTCAGTTATCAGATAGAAAAAACACAGTACATATTACATTAGGGTTTGGTACTATCCACGGTTTCAGGCATCCACTGGGGAACTTGGGATGTATCCCCTGCACGAGAGGGGGAATTACTGTATTACTATTTTTGTGCCAGTTTCTGAATCCCAATTCCTACAGCATGACGTGAAGAGGGTTGTATTATTATAGGAAAAGAACCGTGAGCTTAGAGAATCAGGTTTTTTTTAAATAATATTAAGACAGTAAGTATGCTTTCCCTTTGGAAAAAGTATACTTTCCCTTCCTCCTATGGAAGGAGACCCTATCTCTTATCTTCCAAGGTTGTTTGCTTTACAAACATCCTTGGAAAGATAGTTTATCAAAAAGGACAATCGTTGTCTCTCTTGCAGGGCATACAAAAATGCAAGAAACCCATGGGGGTCCCAAAATCAATTACTTATACTTTAATTTGTATGTAGTTGCATTTGTTTATATGTTTTTAAAACATATTTGTGTTTTCTTTACTTGATATATACTTGGTACATAATGCTAACATTTATATGTTATATTTGTGTTATATATATATAACACAAATATAATATATTTGTGTTCCTATTTGTGTTTATTTTTACTTACATGAAATAGTTCCAGTATTACTAGTATTATATGTTGTAAATATGTTCATCTGTTTACATTTATATTGTTTCTAATGTTTCTATATGTGTTGGTATTTATATTAATTTTTTTATGTTTTCAAGGTTAGTTGAGGTGGGGGCTGGGCAGGGCTCACAAGCCAATTCCAGGCTGCCTCCTATATCCTGCCAGCCCTGTCAAAAGGTTGTATGAGTGAAATGGCATTGGCTCCACCTGGGTGCTAACCCATCATGGCCCATCCCTAGCCCCACAGGAGACAGGATCCGAAGCAAAGTTGAGCTGACTCGATACCTGGGCCCTGCGTGTGATCTCACCCTCTTCGACTTCAAACAAGGCATCTTGTGCTATCCAGCCCCCAAGGTACTTCACAACATGAGATACCTAGGTAGGGGTGGATGTGCCACCCAACACCCAACCACTGACCCATATTCCTCCTTCCCTTACTTTCCAGGCCCATCCCGTGGCGGTTGCCAGCAAGAAGCGAAAGAAGCCTTCAAGGCCAGCCAAGACTCGGAAACGTCAGGTTGGACCCCAGAGTGGTGAGGTCAGGAAGGAGGCCCCGAGGGATGAGACCAAGGCTGACACTGACACAGCCCCAGCTTCATTCCCTGCTCCTGGGTGAGTGTTGGTCTAAGGTGAGCCAGATGGGTGAGGGTTGTGATTGGGGGTGCTCTTGGAGCCCCACACCTGCCTTTCCCATCCCAGGTGCTGTGAGAACTGTGGAATCAGCTTCTCAGGGGATGGCACCCAAAGGCAGCGGCTCAAAACGTTGTGCAAAGACTGTCGAGGTGAGTGGCCTCCAGAGGATGGGGCATCGGGAGATAGGAGCTGGAGCAGGTCCAGTGTCATGCTAGGCTGGGGTTTGAATGTGGATGTCAGGACAGAGGCTACTGGCATGGTTGGAGGTTGGATATTGGAGATAGCAGGCATAGGTAGAGGTTGAATAGTGGAAGTCAGGGCACAGGCAGTGAGTGAAGTCAGATGTCTGTTGCTTCCTTTCCACTTTTCTTCTTCCCTCTTCCTCCCCACAGCACAGAGAATTGCCTTCAACCGGGAACAGAGAATGTTTAAGGTAAGCACAACCTGCTTCCTCTTCACAACTCTGCAGTGGGAGCAGGATGTGATGGAGCTGGTAGAGTCTGAAGGGATGATGATGGGTCCACAGGATGAAGAGTCATTTTATAGGGTGCTCTCCATAGGTCAGCAGACACAATAATGGGAATTAATGGGGTAATTAATCCCCATTACCATTAGTGCATCAGTAGACACAGTGATGAAGTGAACAGGGGACCAGTAGACATACTAATGGCCTCAGTGATGGTGACTAACCAGACCTTCTCAGATACGGTGATGAGGCTAATGGGGGACTAAAATTCATGGTGATGCCAGCTGATGTAGGGTCAGTAGACATGGGAGGACCAGTGCTTCTGGAGCAGGCCCGTGATCTCGTCCCTACCATTCCTGGCAGCGTGTGGGCTGTGGGGAGTGTGCAGCCTGCCAGGTAACAGAAGACTGTGGGGCCTGCTCCACCTGCCTCCTGCAGCTGCCCCATGATGTGGCATCGGGGCTGTTCTGCAAGTGTGAACGGAGACGCTGCCTCCGGATTGTGGAAAGGGTGAGTTGGGCAAGTGGAAAGAGCCCAAGGCTCACCTCGGCCCCTGGCCCCCATGGGCTTGGCCCCATGCTTCATGCCTCTGCTCCCACCTGCCCCCCGCCAACAGAGCCGAGGGTGTGGAGTATGCCGGGGCTGTCAGACCCAAGAGGATTGTGGCCATTGCCCCATCTGCCTTCGCCCTCCCCGCCCTGGTCTCAGGCGCCAGTGGAAATGTGTCCAGCGACGTTGCCTACGGGTGAGTTGGGCTGGAGGGAGCAGAGCTCATTCTGCTGTTAAAATCGTCGCTGCCTCTGCTTCCTTTCAACCTGGCCTTGCCTACCTCATGTCTTTCTTTTCTGCCTAACCCTATGCTCGCCTTTCTGGCCCCGCCTACCTGCCTCTGTCTGCCAGCACCTTGCTCACCGCCTGCGTCGCCGTCATCAGAGATGTCAGCGACGCACTCCCCTGGCTGTGGCTCCCCCAACTGTGAGTGCCTCACGCCACCCTCTGTCTGCCTGTCCCATGCATGCTTTCTGCACTTAGGGTGTGGGGAGTTTCTGTGTCTGCCTGGTGCCACCAAGCTGAAACCACCCTTTCTGATCTTTCCCAGGGTAAACATGCCCGCCGCAAGGGAGGCTGTGACTCCAAGATGGCTGCCAGGCGGCGCCCCGGAGCCCAGCCACTGCCTCCACCACCCCCATCACAGTCCCCAGAGCCCACAGAGCCGGTGAGGCCCCAGTGGGTGGAGGGAAGGCACAACCCTGACCTTACCCAGTACCTGCCCTGACCCCACCCCATTTGCCTCTACAGCACCCCAGAGCCCTGGCCCCCTCGCCACCTGCCGAGTTCATCTATTACTGTGTAGACGAGGACGAGCTAGTGAGTGGCCCCACCCTACCTGGATAAGCCTAGAATCTCAGGACGCTTGGTTAACTTCAAAGAAGCAGATGCTGGAATGAGCCTATTGGGGAACAGCAAGGCACAATAATGGGTCCTAGGATGGGATGAGTAGATAATGGAGGACTAATACGGGGTCAGCAGGTGCATGAGAGTGCTTCATGTCACATATACCAACACTCTGGTAGCTGATGTGGGGATTGACAGAGGAGCAGCTAGCATAGTGACTGGGGTTCACCTAGGATGAGCGACAGAGTAGGCACAGTGATGGGAGCTAATAGAGAGTTATCAAAATGTTGCTGGAAATGGGGGTCAGAGACATTTTCTTGGTAGCTAGTGGTGGCCTAGGAAATACAGCAGTGGATACTGTAGTGGAGCAGCCACAGTCCTAATGGTATCGAGGGCCAGCTGGCACAGTGATAGTGGCCAATGTTGAACTAGCGAATGCTGAGGAGTGACTAGTGGGGAGTCAGGAGGCTGAGACTAGTATGCAAGTAGCTCCGTCTTATGGGGCTAGAGGAGCACCAGGACCAGCACTGGAATAGGCGTTGAGGATGGCCTCTCCTAGTCCTAGTTGACAGCACCACCCATTCCCCCCACCCCAGCAGCCCTACACGAACCGCCGGCAGAACCGCAAGTGCGGGGCCTGTGCAGCCTGCCTACGGCGGATGGACTGTGGCCGCTGCGACTTCTGCTGCGACAAGCCCAAATTCGGGGGCAGCAACCAGAAGCGCCAGAAGTGTCGTTGGCGCCAATGCCTGCAGTTTGCCATGGTGGGTGGGGCAGGAAGGGTCAGGTGGACGGGATAGGTTGGGCCAGGCGCCCCAGTGCCTGGAAGTGGTGGGCAGGCTTGGTAGGTGGGTGGGTGGGGCAGTAGCTTTGGTTGAGGATTAACAGACATTGTTCTTGGCTTAATGAGTCTAGGTGGCATTGGTGTTGCTAATAGGAGACTAGCAGGCTCAGTGATGAAGGGCTCATATGTAAGCAGATTCCGTGCTGGGACTGATGGGAGATTAGCAGGCATGTGGAGCCGGGCAGGGTGGATGTGATTGGTCAGGACACCAGGTAGCCATAGCACCCTATCTTTCCCCATAGAAGCGGCTGCTGCCCAGTGTCTGGTCAGAGTCTGAGGATGGGGCAGGATCGCCCCCACCTTACCGTCGTCGAAAGAGGCCCAGCTCTGCCCGACGGCACCATCTTGGCCCTACCTTGAAGCCCACCTTGGCTACACGCACAGCCCAACCAGACCATACCCAGGCTCCAACGAAGCAGGAAGCAGGTGGTGGCTTTGTGCTGCCCCCGCCTGGCACTGACCTTGTGTTTTTACGGGAAGGCGCAAGCAGTCCTGTGCAGGTGCCGGGCCCTGTTGCAGCTTCCACAGAAGCCCTGTTGCAGGTGAGGGCCCCACCCTGTCCTGCCTTCCCAGCCTCACCCAGCTGCATGCCAGGGAGCTGAGACCAAGTCTGCTGCAATCCTCCCTCACGCAGGAGGCCCAGTGCTCTGGCCTGAGTTGGGTTGTGGCCTTACCCCAGGTGAAGCAAGAGAAGGCGGATACCCAGGACGAGTGGACACCAGGCACAGCTGTCCTGACTTCTCCCGTATTGGTGCCTGGCTGCCCTAGCAAGGTGGGGGCAGTGATGGATGTTCTGTTGGTGCCGTAGCGGAGTGGTCTGTAAGCAGAGTGATGATGAGCCATGATGGTTCTCTTGAGCAGAGCAATAGATGTGCTGATTGCGACGTTTCTGCAGAATTACCCCGCCTGTCTAACAGACACCCTACCTCCCACAGGCAACTAGCTTTGCCCGCTTTGCTATCCAGCTAACAGAAAAACGGAGGTCAGTGAGGAATGGGAATGGGAAAGCTTTGTAGGCAGAGAGATGGACTTTCTGTGTTGAAATGTGATGGAAGTAGGATTTGTCAGCACAGTGAGGGGTTGGCTGATAGAGACTTTCCTCAGGTGAACTCTGCCCTTCTAATGGTTGCCTGTTTCCTACTTCTCCCAGGCAGTAGACCCAGGCCTGCCTTCTGTGAAGCAAGAGCCACCTGACCCAGAGGAGGACAAGGAGGAGAACAAGGATGATTCTGCCTCCAAATTGGCCCCAGAGGAAGAGGCAGGAGGGGCTGGCACACCCGTGGTCAGTGCTGGGGATGCCCCACCCTGCCCTGACCCTGCTGTAGCCCCAACAACCACATTGACCTATGGTGTTAATTCTTCTCTAGATCACGGAGATTTTCAGCCTGGGTGGAACCCGCTTCCGAGATACAGCAGTCTGGTTGCCAAGGTGTGCCCCACACAGTGAGGGGTGGGGAAGGAGTGGGTGTTGGCCAGATGTGGGCCCTGAGTTTTGAAAGTATAGCCGGCAGTTTGGCATGGTGTGGTGGGAGGTAAAGGCCCATACCCACTATGCTGGTCACAATTAATGAGGGGCGTGTGTGTAGGACCCTAGAGATTTCTCCTGAGATCCAGCCCAATAGCATTCCAGGTTAGGACTCTCCTTTGGGGGTAGGGGAAAGACTTGGTACTCTATCATGAGATTTGAAAGAAAAAGATAGGGAGTCTGGTCCCTATTTTCCTAAGGAATTTCTATAGGGGTCAGCTTTAATATATAAATTCTTATTCAGAGAATAATCATTTGGGTCTTGAAGGCCTTTAGAGTCTCCAGGAGACCTCTGGGTGGGCTGTTGCCTGACATTGAGCAATGTGTACCAGAGAAATGGTGCTGGGCTTGCCTGGGCAGTGGTATGGGCAGGAGATCTGGGTTCCGAGCTGGCTTTGTGAGCTGGGTTCACACGTAGTTGTGTGATCTCTGGTTGCCCTGCACTTCCTGGAGCGGCCTCTGTGGAAGGGCTTGGGCTGGATCTCTTGAGCCTTTCCTGAGCCTATTGAGGTTATTAACTTCAGATGCCTTGCAGAACTGTCCCTGTAGTCCTGGCATAGAACAAAGGGTAGATGCCTGTAAGGACTAGGGTGGTTGGGAGGACAGAGGAGTGCTGGCTCCTGCAGAATATTGACAGACCCTGCATAGAGCCCCAGACACTGGCGATGTAAACTATTGGCCTAAGCACTTGGATTCCTTTGCTCCTACAAACCAGCCCACCAGGCTAGAAACCCTTTCATCTATACTTGGCCAATTACAGAAGTATTGATTGAGTTCCTGTTGGGTGCACAGCATTGAGGACAATGAGCCCTGCAAAGCTTACCCTTCAGGAGACACAGGATACCTACCTTCAGGGAGCTTATAATCTGACTATGTACAAGCTGTCTATAATGGTAGTTTTTAGAAGATATAAAAAAAGATAAAGGATAATTAAGGGGAAGTGGATGGAGGACACAGAATAGTAGGAAATGGTTTTGTAATGCTCCATTGCGCACATAGCAAACCTCATTCAACATACAGACCTGCTCCCTTTTCCCTAGGTCCAAAGACCTTAAAAAACCTGGAGCTAGAAAGCAGTAGACTGGAGGCTTCTACAGACTGTAGGATTCAAGGTGATATTTGCAGACTGGCTTTATGAGAGACAACACTGATCTACTAGGGGCTGGACCCTAGATTGGTTGCCAGGGCTTGTGTGTGAATCAACCCTAGGAGGAAAAACCTACTACCAAACCAGAAGAGCAGGCCTAAGAGTACTTTGAGCTTCTAGAAGAAGTAAGCGGGAAAGGAAGAGAAAGAGTAGAAAGTTGGTGCATCTTCTCCTCCCCAAGAGCCTGAGTATAAGAAGTTGGATTTTAAGGGTGGGGGAGCTGGGTTGGAGAAAGGTAATATAATTAAAGCCACCACAAAACAACCTAAACAAGCCATGTTCATGAGTAATTGTAAGTGGCTTCTGGATGAGACCTGGCAGTGTCTCTACATACTTCCTCAGGGAGATAGCAATTGAAAATGTAATTGAATAAATAAGGAAAGGAACTGCTATTTGGTGTGTTCCTCTGTGGACCCAGTTTATTTAATCCTTAAAATAATATTTTTGGGAAGACATTGATTTTGTCCATTTATGTGGATGGGAAAACTGAGACTCATTAATTTGTCCAATGTCGAACAGCTGGTGTTAGTAGAGCCTAGACTCAAACCCAGCTTTTAAAGCCCTTGTTCTTTACTCCACTAAACTGTAACCTGTAATCCTGTATGCACTAACAGGAGTTTTCGGTGACCTTGAAAACACAGATTACTATAATTACTATAATAAATCCCTTACATTCCTGTCTCTAGCATGGTTTAGGGAGTGCCAAGGCTCAATGTAGATGGGGTCACCTTGTCAGAGCATCTGTTCATACAGAAACTGGGTTTCCTGCAGACCCCAGGTGCTGCATAGGATTCCTCAAACCCTACAGGATATATCTCCCCACTGGCTGCTGTCCATTTTGCTTGTTACCCTGACTCCCCCTCTTCAGCCAGAGCAGTCTTTGTAACTAAAGCTGCCAGCCTGGCTCATCTTTCCTGACAACGTGCATCTCCTGCCCTGTGATCACCTTTGTGCTTGGCTCCTGCCCTCAGCCTGAATGTGTTCTAGGAGGCTGAATTCCTGCTTCGAGTCCTGCCCAAGAGCCAGTCTTGGCTCAGCCCTACCTCACTCTCTCCCAATTCTTCATTCATAAAGTGCCAAAAAGATTAGACCTGTAATTTGTTAGCCAGCTTTACAGGGCCAGGACTGAGTGAGTGCCTCCTTAAACTTTGTATCCTGTGTGCCTCCCTTGCCTTACCCTAGTCCCAGCCCTGCAGCTTTAAGTAATTCAGACATGGATTAGCCATTTCCCAGTTCTGTCTCATACAGTCCAGCCTCTGCCACCTTCCCCACCCCTTCCTTTATTCCATCCTAACTAGTTCAGCCCTAGTCAAGACTGGATAGACTGATACTGCTTTGTTTCCCCCAGGAACCAACCACCCAACCCCAGTATTCTGGTAATTTTGACAATGATCTATATGAAATTTATTTGATTGACATTTAGACTCATGAGTTAAGCTTCTGCTGACCATTTATGTTAGGGTACAATCAGAGGAGCAGAACCACTAAGATAAAGATTATGTATATATGTATTTTAAGGGATTTATTATAGGGATCTGACCGCATGCCATTGTGGGAGCTGGTTAAACAGTCTCTGTAAGGCTGTTGTCTTTGCATCTAATGCTGGAGCTTGAAGTCTGCAGGGCAGGCACTCGGGAAGGGAAGATGGATGTAAAGTGTGGGAGACCGAGGACACAGTGGAGCCCACGAGCACGAGCTGGAACCCACGAGGATGGCCTGGAACCCATGTCAGTCTCTCACCACCTCCAGCTTCGATGATGTGGGTGTCCTGCAGAAGAAGCTGGTGCCCTTCCTCACAGAGTTAAATATGCATCTGGCCCAGGAATTAGAGAAGCTGAAAGGATGATCCTGGGGAAGGTGGAGCAGCTGCAGGCCTGGCTGCAGGCCTGACTACTGCCCACACCAACGAGGTGATCTAGCAGATACATGGCAACGTGTGAACTGCAACAACGCCTGGTGCCCCAGCACCAACCTTCCAAGTGTAAAAACAATGTGCTGCTGCTTCACTTCCGCCCTCCGGTTATCAAGCAAAATGTCTCTTGTGGCCCATCTTACTGGAAGAGAGTTCCGGGAAACATAGCCTCACCAAGGTGACACATTACAAAGCCACCCTACCATGAATCCGCTCCCAAGGGTCTCACTGCTCACCTGAGGATAACTCAATATAACTATGTGGCTGAAAATGCAAAGCTGAAGACCATGGATTTCATGGTGATTCCAGCAAGTACAGAGATTCTATGAAGCCCACCCAGAAAAAACTTGCTGGTCCTGGCTATTTTTGTGTCATTTATTCAAGTATTGAGAACCTGGCCTGTGGTAGGCACTGTACTTAATACTAGGATACAGAAATGCAAAAGATACGGCCCATGCAATTTTATTAAATGCATCAATATGTATTACAAATGGTGAATGGATTTCCAACTTTATCATGGAATTTAATGCTGAATATATAGAATTCAGAAAATTGTTGGGAGGACAGCCCTTTTGTGAACCTTGTTTGGGGCACAGTAGGAATTGGAAATAATTTAGTTTCTATCTCTAAGCTGTTCTATTTTAAAATTATTTTTAAATTTTTATTGTCCCACTTACTTACATGCTTAGTGTTTCTTTTGGGAGTGGTTTGGTGGGAACAGTGTTGACTGCCTCTGAGAAACTGGGATAGTGGGTGGGAAGATCAAATCAAGGTCACTTCTTTCCAAGGACCCTGAGCGATTCACTTACCTAGGCCGCGGGGGCGGGGGGTTGGCTGAAGGCTGAGGCTCTTGGTGCTCAGCACTGGCCGGACACCTTCAACCTGCTGGTGGGTCCGCCAGGGGGCGCCGGGGCGAGAAAGCCCGTAGTTCCCAGCCACAGTCACCCACCGGGGCCCTGGAGGCACCGCTCGTCACCCATCACCCCTGGCCTGGCCGCCCTGGGGCGTGGTCTCCGTCCGGCGCAAACCCCAGTACTTGGGCTAGGGCCAGAGGGAAGCTGAGTCCCCCTCTTCAAATAGTGGTAAAACAGGCAAAACCGAACCGGGGTTAAATTTCGGAGCTCGCCCAGGGTGAGGGCGGGGCTCGACGACCTAGGACGTTCGAGTGCGGCCGGGTGTCGCCAAGGGTCGGTTTACCCCATCGCCTCAGAAATTCCGACGAGGCCCTTTGGGCTGCACAACCTTGGGAATCCCCAACGGGCGGCCCCGAATCTGCGCCGATTTTCCCAAGCCGTACTTCGGGCCCAAGGCGTTTTCATTGCCGCCTTCCCGGAGGATGTGTGGTGGGGGTGGTTCCGCCCGGACCGACGGGCGGGCCCGGAGCCCGTTGGACTCGAAGATCAAAGAACCGCCCCTCTGGACACTCCAGGAAACCGAGACGACCACCTAATTTGTTTGTTTTCTGTTTCAGGCCACGTAAACTCTTAGTAAATGCAAATGCGTATTTTACTGAACTGCAATTGAAAGAACCGTTATAGAAAAGAACACAAAATGACAGAATTATTAAAAGAGAAGAAAAACATTATTTCGTGGCTGAAAAGCTGAACCAGCAATTCAGGAAATGGAATTCGTATTTAGAAACATACCACATACAAAATCCGAAGTGGGTGGTTTACAAATGATTAAGGAATGCTAATTTACAGTAAATTGCGTCCTTAAGAGGGCATACACATTAGTTGTACTTATTATATGTCAGTTTGACGTAGGTACTGATTTGTTGCATGTGCTCACAAGTGTTCTATGCTCACCCCCACTTTAGAATGGGAGTATCACAGTGTCATTCTTAATTGGCTTTTAGGTATTACCACCTTGCTCTTGACTGGAAATGCAACTGTGGTTACCACCTGTGCTGCAGGTCCGTCCTGGTTCCCTGATTTGTGTTTCCTGTTCTGCCTGGATCCTGATTCTCAGAAACCAGTTACTGGACTTCTGATCCACATCCTGACCCTGGTCCACTGTGACCCTCAGACTCTTAATTATGCTCCACCAGGTCGTGCCACTGCCCCACTAGTCCATTTGATCTGCCCCCATCCTAGGATATCCTGAGTCTAAGCCCTGGTTTCTGCCAATGGCAAATAGGAAGATTTTATTAACAGGTTTTAAAAAATTATTATTATTACTGGTTATTTGGTTTGACAAGGCACTTAGGCTCCCTGAGCTTTGCCTTAGCTGGAAAATAAGGATAGTATTACTTGCTATTCTATCAACCCTGTAAGATATTTGCGGCCACGCGCGGTAGCGCACCCTGTAATTCCAACACTTTGGGAGGCCGGCGGGAGGGGCAGTGGGGAGGATCGCTTGAACCCAGGAGCAGGAGTTCCAGCCTGAGCAACATAGCGGGACCCCCTGTCTCTTCAAAATTTGTTTTTAAATTAGCAGGGCGTGGTGGCGCAGGCTTTGTAGTCCCAGATACTCTGGAGGCTGAGGCCCAGGAGGACGAGGCTGCAGGGAGCCATGATCACGCCACTGCACTCCACCCTGGGCGACAGAGCGAGACCTTGTCTCAGAAAAAATCTGTGAGGTTAAAAGGCTGTGTGTGTGAAAATATCTTGGAAATTGTAAAGAACTACACAAATATAAGGTTTTCCTGTGATTATTACCGTCATCAAGATTAACCTACAGATAGTGCAAAATTTAAGCTTCCCAAAAAATGTTCGCTAACCTTTTTCATACTTTTAGACCATTACAAGATATAAATAGCAAAGTCAACTGGAATTGTAATTAGAGCTTTGATTTTTCTTGGGCTAGAGGTTTTTTCTGCCATTCTGATGAACCCTGGAGGAAGGGAGCAAGGTCGGCGGGATTTGGCCGAGGGGCGGGGTGAGGACTGCGCAGGCTCAGCTTCTCAGCTGGAAGAGGAAGTCCCGAGTGCAGGCGTCTGCGGCCCCCATGGTGACCAGACCGACTTCCGCCCGACCCGCCCACCTCTACCGGCCCCTAATCCCGCGAGGCGCACCATGGCAACCAGACTTCTGCGTCGCGGAAGCGGGTCCCGCAGGTCGCCACGGTTGGGGGAAACGCGGCGGACGCCGCCCCCGTCCCGAAGGGGACTCGAAAATGTACAGCCAGCGGTTTGGCACCGTACAGCGGGAGGTTAAGGGCCCCACCCCCAAAGTGGTGATCGTGGTAAGCACAGGATATGTCTGCCAGACCCTACAGCTTTCTCCATCTCTCCGCACTCCAGGCCTGGCCTATCCCACTTCGGCCCCCACCCGGGGCCTTCTCGAGGGGAACGGGTGTCGCCTGATGCAGTGGGTTGAATTTTGAAAGAAGGAAGATAAGGTCGCTCACCTATCTACCCCACCTCTCACCCACTCATCTCCCTCTGTTTTCATCCTTACAGCCTTTCATCTGCCCCCAAAGTTATAATATTTAGGTTCTGTTTTTGGAGAATCACCACTAGGGATCTTAGGGTTTTTCAGTCTCCAAGACACCGGAAGGATGTCTGTCCCCCATGCAGTGGCGAGTGTGTGTTATGGAAAGGGCACCCGGCCCAGAGACAGATCTGGGGGCAGGGCGGGCCTATGATTTGGAGCTGGTCTTTCACTCCTAGGAAAATCGTCTGAGGAAGGGGAATTAGGTTGTGAGTGGTTATAGCACCCAACGCCTTTCCTGTGCCAACTCAACCAGTAACCATTGCTGGACAGAAGTGTCCCTTCAGACCTGGGAAAAACTCAGGTGCCTGCCTCTAAGGCTGGAGTGGTAGTAGGCCAGGAAAATGTGCTTGCTGCAGAATTTGATGGTTCCTGCTGAGAACCTCAGACACTATTGGTCCATACATGTAGATTTTTTTGTTTCTACAAATTAGTTTCTACCCACCAGAAAACTAACATGTAGGCAGAGTTATTGCTTGAGCCCCTGCTGTGTGCGCAGTATTGTGGGAGATACAGGGGTGGATACAATGATCCTGGAAGGTTAACTCTTTATTGAAGCCTGAGCCCTCCCTTCAAGGAGCTTATACAAGTCAAGTATCCCTTATCTGAAATGCTTGGGACCAGAGATGTCTAGGATTTCAGATTTTTTTTTTGGATTTTGGAATACTTGCATATACATAATGCAATATCTTGGGGAGGGGACCCAAGTCTAAACACAGAATTTATTTATATTTCATTACCTCGAAGGTAATTTTATTTTCCCCTTGGGGATGCTGAATAAATATGTGTTGTTTGCTTGTGTTTTGACTGTGACCCCTTACATGAGGTCAGGTGTGAAATTTTCCACTTATGTCATCATGTGGGTGCTCAAAAAGCTTCAGATTTTGGAGCATTTCAGATTTCAGATTTTCAAATTAGGGGTGCTCAACTTGTAATCCAATTGCAAAAAAAAACTTAGGTAGAATGAAACCACTAAAGGTTAGCACGGTAAATAATGATGTGCTATATTGTCTGTGATGTCAGTTGATGGATGAAAGATCAGTGATACAGTTTTATTATGCTCCACAGTGCACATAGCAAACTTCAGTCAACCTATAGACCTGCTCCTTCTTTAGGTCCAAGTACTGTAAGATCTGGAGCTGGAAAGCAGTAGATGGGACACATAAGTAGGCTGTAGGGTTCAAGGTGATAATTATAAACACACTTCATGAAGGACAGAAGATCTACTTTGGGTTCTGTATCCAAACACTGGGCTCAGGGGCTGAGCCATTGTTGGGTGCTATTACTTGTGTTGGGAACCAATAAGGAACAGAAAACAAACAAAAACACTAAACCAGAGAAGCGGGCTTATTGAATACTTTGCACCTAAGAAGAATTAAGAGGAAAAGGAGGAGGTTAGAGTTGGTGCATCTGCTCCTCCGGTGTCTGAGTGTGATAAGAAAGATAGATGTTAGAGGTAGCAGAATTGTGTTGCAAGAATTAAAGCCACCAGCAGATGAGACTTGGACCCTAAACAATTCCCCAGGAGAAACCTGTGAAAAATTTAATGTCTGAAGTAATGGGACATCAAAAGGAGCAGCTATTTGATGAGTGTCTCCTAGGAATCCATTAGGAGGATACTTATTTTGCTCATTTGACAGGTGAGAAAACTAAGATTCAAAGAGATTAAGTAACTTGCTCCATTCAATTAGTAATGGACAGAGGCCAGAATCAAACCTAGGATGTAAAGCATTGTTCTTTAAGACAACCGAACTGTAAATTGTAATCCTAATAACTATAACTGGAGATGCTACAATAACAGCCTTCAGTGACCTTGAAAACCCACAGTAGTTAGTAAAATATCCTGTGTTTTCCTGACTTTAGCATGGTTTAGAGCTGTGATGTCCAATAGGTAGCCACTAGTCACACATAGCATTTGAGCACTTGAAATGTGCCTAGAGTCACATATTGACAAGATAACATCTTGGATATATTGGTTAAATAAAATATACTATCAAAATTAACTTCCCCTGTTTCTTTTTACTTTTTTAAATGCAGCCACTTGAAAATTTAGAATTACATATCTGTTTTGCATTATATTTATATTGAACAGTACAGACTTTGAACAATACCACGACTGTGCTGGGATTGGCATCACCTTTTTTGAGAACTCCAGGTCATACCCCTAACTTATCAAGAGATTGGGTCCTTCCCAGACCAGAGTCCTTCACATGATTCCCAAGCCTTAAAAGGCTTCCTGACCCCTTGGGTACTGCTCATGGTATTTGTCACCTCTTCAGCCAAAATATCCCTCAGCCCTGTTTCCTGTCCTGACAACTGGAGCCAGTGTTTCTAGATTTACTTGGTGTTTCATTCCTGTTCTCAGCTCACACTGGGACCCTTAATTCCTGCTGTGTATGCTGCCAAGGGTGCCACTGTGATCCTCCTCTGCTTTATTTTCACAGATCTATATTCATAAAATGCCAACTGTATTGGAGAACAGTCATCTAATTAGCTGGCTCTAGGCTCCAGATAATTATGACATGGATTAGCTACTTTCCATGATATAACCCCCAGCATCATCTTCTGTCTCCTTACCACCCCAGGCTTGCCTTATCTTGTTCAGCTAAATCTAGGTACCTATATGTGTACCCTGAGCCCTGAATCTTTTCATTAAACTGTCTTCAAATGTTGATTTTCTTTCCTCAGGAGACTTCATTACAAACACCTAACCCTAGTATTCTGGTAATCCTGATGGTGATATTCTAAATGTAAAAGATCAGATTGACTCTCTGTCTCTTAAGAGTTTTGTTTCTGTGAATCAGCACCCCAGTATCTCACAACTTACCTAAGGATGACTTGATAAAACTGTTCCTGAAAATACAAAGCTCAAGACTATGGATTTTATGGTGGCTCCAGGAGGTGCAGAAATTGCATCAAGCCCACCCAGCAACATTGTTTCATTCATTCACTCATTCATTCATTCATTTCTATTGAGGACCTCACTGTAGTAGGCATTATGTTCAATGCTAGGAATACAGAAAGGAAAAAGATATAGGCTATGTGATTTCATTAAGTGTATCTATATATATTCAAATGGTACATGCATTTCTAACTTTTTTAGTGGACATTTCTGTAAAAACAGTACATTTATAGAAATTCAAAGTAGCCCAAAAGGTCAGGAACACACTCTTTGCATTAAAACTTCTGGGCACCATAGAAATAGGAATAAAGTTCTACCACCAGCTTTTTTTCTTTTCCCTCCTCTCTTCCTCCCTCACTTCATTTCTTCCTTCTTAGTCAAAGATCTTTCATTATCACAACTCGTTATATATCCATATACATATACACATATATATACACACACACATATACATGTATATACACACATGTATATTTTTTCTATATATTCGCATAGTAGCACCTTTTCATTGAAAGTATTTTGATGTGATAACTATGGTGTCCAACCGTGAGAAATAATGTGGAATAATGAGTGGCAATGTCAAGGTCGGGAATTAGAAGACCTCTAATTCTTGTTTTATCTGCCCTATTTGAAGCAAGTTCAGCAAATCACTTAATGTCTCTGGGTTTGACTAGACAATCTCAACAGAGTCCTGTTCACATTTTTAACTTTGTAATTTCCATCAACTATTTTTCAAATGGCACATTAGAAATATTTGAGACTGTTTTGATGACATCTTAGGTATAGGCTCAGAGAATGAAACAAGTTACTCTTTAGGTGCATAAGCTGTATTCAGTTGTAGTAGGATGTATTAGTTTTTTATACCCAATTTTATTTAGTATGAGTATTGATTGAGAGCATAACTAATTGAAAATATGCAGTTGATTCTTTGGCTTATTATAAGTGATAGTTGGTTTTTGTTTTCAGAGATCCAAGCCTCCTAAAGGCCAAGGAGCTGAGCACCATCTAGAAAGAATCCGACGCAGCCATCAGAAGCATAATGCTATTTTGGCTTCCATTAAGTCAAGTGAGCGGGATCGCTTGAAAGCTGAGTGGGACCAGCACAATGACTGCAAGATTTTGGACAGCCTTGTGCGAGCAAGAATCAAGGATGCTGTGCAAGGGTTTATCATTAACATTGAAGAAAGACGAAATAAGTAAGGCTCACAAACCTGGGACATAAACCATGAAATATTCCTAAAACCACAATTTGAGATTGACCAGTCAAAAATCAAATTTAGCAAGGATCATGGCTGAGATGTTTATATTAAATCCATAGCTATTGCTGGTTAATATTTTTAATATTTTTATTTGTGATAGCCTGTATTTTGATGAAAAACAATATATTGTTTCATATTTCATTATTTTGATTGAAACCTGTTCATTTTACTCTTTTGTTAAAAATATATATTTCGTATCTTATTTGTATGTGATCAAATAAAATATGGTGCAGTTGGTTGGGCTTAGTGGGTCATACCTATAATCCTACCACTTTGGGAGGCTGAGGTGGGAGGATTGTTTGAGCCCAGGAGTTTGAGACCAGCCTGGGCAACACAGTGAGACCCCATCTCTACAAAAAATAAAAAAACAGCTGGGCATAGGGGCACCTGCCTGTAGTCCCAGCTGTTCAAGGAGGCTGAGGTGGGAGGATCACCTGAGCCCAGGAGGTCAAGGCTGCAGTGAGCCATGATCACACTGCACTCCAGCCTGGGTGACAGAGCGAGATCCTGTCTCAAAACAAAAACAAAAACAAAAACAAAAAAACAAACCAACCAGTCTTATTCTGTGGAAGACTGCAGTGATCTTTCTTTTCTTACAAATTAGACCTATAGTTCTGAAATTGAATATAACGATGCATGTAGCATGACAGTTTTCTTTTTTTTTTTTTTTTTTTGGCTTTTTGTTTCAGGCTACGTGAGCTTTTAGCATTAGAAGAAAATGAGTATTTTACAGAAATGCAATTGAAGAAAGAAACCATTGAGGAGAAAAAAGATAGGATGAGAGAGAAAACTAAATTACTAAAAGAGAAGAATGAAAAAGAGAGGCAGGATTTTGTGGCTGAAAAGCTAGACCAGCAATTCAGGTAATGAAATCAGAAAACACACAAACAGAATCCAAAGTTGGTACATTAAAATAGATTTAAGAATGCTAATTTAAAGTAAATTAGTCTTAAGAGGATATACAGAGTAGTTGTAACTTTAAGTCTTGGCAATATATTACATATCATTGAATAATACAGTGTGTGCTTGAGAACTATGTTCTAATGTTCTGTGCTTGCTTCTCAATTAGAATGGAAGTAACAAAGGAGATTATGTTACTGAACTTTAGGTATTAACCTCACCCTTGCTGTTGGCAGGAAGTTCTTCAAAAGCCCCTGTGCCAAGGAATCTTTGGTAAAGTTGGGCTTTCCCCCTGCTGCTGTAGTCTCTACCTGTGCTGCATGTGTGCTTGGGTTCCCTGGGGGGTTTTTCGGTTGTCATTTTTTGAGACAGGGTCTTGCTCTGTCATCCAGGCTGGAGTGCAGTGGCATGATCATGACTACAACCTCCACCTCCTGAGCCCAAAGTGATCCTCCCACCTCAGCCTCTCAAGTAGCTGAGACTATAGGCACGCGCCACTGTGCCCAGCTAATTTTTTTGTATTTTTTGTAGAGATGGGGGTTTCGTCATGTTGCGCAGGGTGGTTTTGAACTCTTGGACTCAAGTGATCCACTCACCTCAGCTACCCAAAGTATTAGGATTACAGGCATGAGCCACCATGCCCGGCCCTCTCTACTCTCTTCTTTATTGTCTGTTTCCTTGCCTGGTATTCTGATCACTGGGGTCTGATCACCTGGACTTATAAGGCACTTCCTGACCCAGACCCATGGTGACCCTCGGTTTTCAGACCCCTGGTCTTTACTGTACTCAATCTACTCAATCTGGTACTGTGGTTGCCTCTGTATCCCTTTTCATTGTGGTTTTCCATCGTAGGATACTCTGAGTCTGTGCCCTGATAGACTACCCACTACTGTGCACTTACACAGAGGGAAGATTTGTATGGGAGTACCCAAGAGTGATCCTCTGGAGATGATCTATAGTGTTATATAATCAGAAGCTTGGCAGATGCTTTTAGTTTCACAAACCAAGACATTCCTTACCTCTAAAGCAAAAATATACTAAATAGTCTCCCTCCCTAGAGCTACAGCTCTTAGAACAAGAGCTATTATATATTTATAATGTTACTATAATTCCTCAGTTATATTTTCAGTGCTTCTGATACTTCTAAGAGTGTAAACATTAAGAATTGCTGTTATTTGGCTGGGCACAGTGGCTCACACCTATAATCCCAGCACTTTGATCACTTGAGGCCAGGAGTTTGAGACCAGCCTGGGCAACATAGTGGGACCTTATTTCCACAAAAAATAAAAAAATTGGCCGGGCGCAGTGGCTCATGTCTGTAATTCCAGCACTTTGGGAGGCTGAGGTGGGTGTATTACCTGAGGTCAGGAGTTCAAGACTGGTCTGGCCAACATGGTGAAACCCAACTCTACTAAAAATACAAAAATTAGCCGGGCATGGTGGCACACGCCTGTAATTATTGACTATAGTCATCCTGTTGTGCTATCAAATAGTAGGTCTTATTCATTCATTCTTTTTTTTTTTTTTGGTACCCATTAACTGTCCCCACCTCCACCCCCAACCCCCCACTATCCTTCCCAGCCTCTGGTAACCATCCTTCTCTATCTCCATGAGTTCAATTGTTTTGATTTTTAGATCCCACAAACTAGTGAGAACATGCAATGTTTGTCTTTCTGTGCCTGGCTTATTTCACTTAACATAATGACCTCCAGTTCCATCCATAGTGTTATAAATGACTGGATTTCATTCTTTGTTATAGCTGAATAATACTCCATTGTGCATGTGTACCACATTTTCTTTATCCATTCATCTGTTGATGGACACTTAGGTTGCTTCCAAATCTTAGCTGTTGTAAACAGCACTACAACAAACATAGGAGTTTAGCTATCTCTTCAATATACTGATTTCCTTTCTTTTGGGCCTATACTCAGCAGTGGGATTGCTGGATCTTATGGTAGCTCTATTTTTAGTTTTTTGAGGAACCTCCAAACTGTTCTCCATAGTGGTTGTATTACATTCCCACAAACAGTGTACAAGGGTTCCCTTTTCTCTGCATCCTCACCAAGATTTGTTATTGCCTGTCTTTTAGATATAAGCAATTTTAACTGGGGTGAAATGATATCTCACTGTAGTTTTGATCTGCATTTCTCTGATGATCTGTGATGTTGGGCACCTTTTCATATGCCTGTTTGCCATTTGTATGTGTTCTTTTGAGAAATGTCTGTTGAAATCTTTTGTCCATTTTTTGATTGGAATATTGGATTTTTTTCTTATGGAGTTGTTTGAGCTCCTTATATATTCTGGTTATTAATCTCTTTTCAGAGGGATAGTTTGCAAATATTTTCTCCCATTCTGTGGGTTGTCTCTTCACTTTGTTGATTGTATCTTTTGCTGTGCAGAAGCTTTTTAACTTGATATGATCCCATTTGTCCATTTTTGCTTTGGTTGCCCGTGCTTATAGGGTATTGCTCAAGAAATCTTTGCCCAGTCCAATGTCCTAGAGATTTTTCCCCAATGTTTCTTGTAGTAGTTTCATAGTTTGAGGTCTTAGATTTAAGTCTTGGATCTATTTTGATTTGATTTTTGCATATGATGAAAGATAGGGTCTATTTTCATTCTTTTGCATATGGATATCCAGTTTTCCCAGCATCATATATTGAAGAGACTGTCTTTTCCCCAGTGCATGTTCTTGGCTCCTTTGTCAAAAACGAGTTCACTGTAAGTGTGTAGATTTGTTTCTGGGTTCTCTATTCTTTTTCATTGGTTTATGTGTCTGTTTTTATGCCAGTACCATGCTGTTTGAGGTACTATAGCTCTGTAGTATAATTCGAAGTTAGGTAATGTGATTCCTCCAGATTTGTTATTTTTGCTTAGAATAGCTTTGGCTATTCTGAATCTTTTGTGGTTCCATACAAATTTTAGGATTGTTTTTTCTTTTCTTTTCTTATTTTCTTTTATTTCATTTTATTTTGAGACAGGGTCTCACTCAGTTGTCCAGCCTGGAGTGTATGTTGCCCAAGGTGGAATGCAGTTACAGGATCTCAGCTCCCCGCAACCTCTGCCTCCCAGGTTAGGTTCAAGCAGTTCTCCTGCCTCAGCCTCCCAAGTAGCTGGGACCACAGGTGTGTACTGCCACCCTCAGCTAATTTTTGTATTTTTAATAGAGACGGGGTTTCCCTATGTTGCCCAGGCTGGTGTCGAACTCCTAGTCTCAAGTGATCCACCCACCTTGGCCTCCCAAAGTTCTGGGATTATAGGCATGAGCAACTGTTTTTTCTGTTTCTGTGAAGAATGTTATTGGTATTTTCATAGGGATTGCGTTTTGTCTGTAGATTGCTTTGGGTAGTATAGAAGTTTTAATAATATTGATTCTTCCAATCCAAGAACATGGAATATGTTTCAATTTTTTGATGTCCTCTTCAATTTCTTTCATCAGTGTTTTATGGTTTTCATTGTAGAGATCTTTCACTTCTTTGGTTAATTCCTAGGTAATTTTATTTATGGCTATTGTAAATGGGATAACTTTTTAAATTTCTTTTTCACGTTGTTCAGTGTAAGCATATAGAAATGCTATTGGTTTTTGTATGTTGATTTTGTATCCTGCAACTTTACTGAATTTGTTTTGCAGTTCTAAGACTTTTCTTGTGGAGTCTAGATTTTTCCAAATATAAGATCGTGTCATCTGCAAACAAGGATAATTTGACTTCTTACTTTGAAATTTGGATGCCCATTATATCTTTCTCTTGCCTGATTGCTCTAGCTAGGACTTCCAGTGCTATGTTGAATAATAGTAGTGATGGTGCATTTTGCCCCTTTTTTCAGATACATCTCTCAGTGCAGTGATGATCACATGAATGACCCATGGAATGCCCTAAATCATCGATTTCATCTGTCTTTTAATTTTAGAGTAACTGGCTAAAGTTTTTGTATTCAGAAGGGATTTTTACAGTCCAAAATATTACCTGGAAGTGTTTAAAACATAGCCATTAGCATTCATTCATTCAGTAAGTATTTTTGGGCTCCTACTTCATGCCAGGCTCTGTGAGAGTGAGTGTCACTTAGGTTGTTAGGTCATCTAGTATGAGTGGGGCAAGGTGTGTATCATGTTAAGCCAGATTCAGGAATGGATGATCCAAAAATACCTGAGTTTAAATCTGGTGGAATACAGAAGGAATACAAGAGTTCATTTTTCATAGCACTCAAAATTTGAGTAGACCAGAAATCCAAAGGTCAACAGATGTGAAAAAGCAGCAAAATGACATCTGTGGAGGGATCAAGACATGGTGCAGAGAAAAGCTTCTTCCATCTGCTCTTTCTGTCATGAATTCGCTATTAATAATATGGACAGCCCTAAACCCTCAACCCTCTTACTAGAGGCCAAAAGGAGAAGTAAGCCATTGCAGTGAGTAGTAGATAAAAGTTGCAGATGCAGCTGCTAAAAGTAAATTCCCTCTCAAAAGGAGAGGGAATGGGAAGTTTCAGGGCTTGGGGAGCTGCTGAAGGAGGGCAGTGAAGAAACCCGGAGTAGTAACGCACAGGGCCAGACGCGACTTGCCACCCTCCTTGGCTTGTAGATGGATAACTGAGTTCTACAGGTAGGGATTTGTCTAGGTCTTAAGCTTGAGGTAACCAAAAGAGGATTAGACTTGGATTTTCAAGCCTGTGTAAAGCATGCACTCATACCCTGTCCTCAGTGGGATTTGGACATCTTTGCTACTGGTTGCTGGGGGGAAAAGATGCTGTGGGTGGAAAATGGTATATTAGCCAAGTGACTCTCAATGGACCATTCATATATTTTCTACTCCCTAGTAAATTTATCTTAACATATTAAGAAAACAAAATGGTTCGTAAGTGGTTGTGCTTTTAAAATTTATGGATTTAGCAACATTTTACAGATTTCACTTGTATGACTGAGTTTTTGCTAGTTAGATGAATTGTTAAAAATCTTAAAGAAACGAATGTATCCTATAGTAATATAATTTGAAAACAAATTGTTTTTAGTGTTTTGAATGAAGCACTGCCAACTCCTCAGCATAGATCCTCAGACATACTTTTGAGTAAGGATGCGTTATTAGACCCTATTACTGAAAATATAGTTGAGGCTTTAATATGTATATTAATATAAAGCAGAATGAAAATTTTCCTCTTTTTTTTTTTGTATTCCATTGTATAAATATACCACAATTTATTTCTTCTCCTGGTGACAGTCATTTCAGTTATTTTCAGTTTGGGACTCTTATGAATAAATCTACGATGAATAGACATGTCCTTTGATGGCATATGCATTCATTTCTCTTTGATATATTCAGTGGCATTCATAGAATATTTGATACCTGGAGTAGATCATTTTTAGTGATCCCTATCTTCTATACAGCAAAATTATTTTCAGCAATAATAATGAAATGAAATGGATAATAATGACAAGAAAAAATTACCAGTGGTTTTTTTTTGTATTTAATTTTTAATTTTAAATAATTATATATTTACAGAAAGTGCACAGATAGTACAGAGATCCCATTTACCCTTCACCTAGTTTCCCTCAATGGTTATATCTTACATAATTGTAATACAATATTAAGACAAGGAAACTGATAGTCATGGAAGGTGTGTGTAGAGTTCTGTGCCATTTTATCACCTGTAGACTGTGTAACCACCCTACAATCAAGATACAGAACTATTCCATCACTGCAAAAATCTCCTTCATGTTACTCTTCTAGAGTCATGCCCACTACTCTCACCCCCATCATTCCTAACCCTGGCAACAACTAATCTCTATCCCCATAATTTCATCATTTTAAGAATGTTATATAAATGGAATCACACAATATGTGATCTTTAGAGATTGGCCTTTTTCACTCAACATAATGCCTTTGAGGTCCATCCAAGTTGTTGGAGGTATTGTTAGTTTGTCTTTTTTATTGCTGAGTAGTATTCCATTGCATGAATGTACCTCAGTTTGGTTAAACCGTTCACTTACTGAAGGACATTTTGGTTGTTTCTAGTTTTGCTCTATTATAAGTAAATCTGACAGGAACGTTTGTGTACAGGTTTTTGTGTGAACATATGTTTTTGTTTATTGAGGATAATTATCATATACTATTGCTGGATCATATGCAAATTTGTTTTGTTTTGTTTGAGACAGAGTTTCACTCTTGTTGCCCAGGCTGGAATGAAATGGCGTGATCTCGGCTCACTGCAGCCTCTGCCTCCTGGGTTCAAGTGATTCTCCTACCTCAGTCTCCCGAGTAGCTTGGATTACAGGCATGCACCAACCAAGCCCGGCTAATTTTTTGTATTTTTAGTAGAGATGCAGTTTCTCCATGTTGGTCAGGCTGGTCTTGAACTCCCGACCTTAGGTGATCCGTCCACCTTGGCCTCCCAAAGTGCTGAGATTACAGGCGTGAGCCACCACTCCCAGCCATAAATGTAATTTTTTCTTTTTTAATAAACACTAAACTATTTCCTAGAGTAGCTGTACCATTTTATAATCCCACCAGCGGTATATGAGAGATCCAGTTTTTCCACATCCTGGTCCTTTTGGTAGTGGCGTTATTGTTTTGTTTTGTTTTGTTTTTATTTTTAGCTGTTCTAATAGGCGTGCTGTGATATCTCATCATGGGCTTAATTGGCATTTACCTAATGGCTGGTGATGTTGAGCAACTTTTCATGTGCTTATTTTCCATCTGTACATTTTCTTTGGTGAAATGTCTCTTTATATCTTTTGCCCATTTCTAATTAGATTTTTAGAATTTAGCTTGTTTTAGCTGCTAAGTTTTTGCCTTTTTTTTTTTTTAGCTGTTAAGTTTTAAGGATTCTTTATGTATTCTAGACAGTACTTCTTTGTCCGATACGTGGTTTTTTTCCTAGACTATAGCTTATCTTTTTTTTTTAAATGGTTTTTTCTTTTCTTTCCCCAGACATTCAGCAGTCTTGTCTTATTTATCCTATTAAAAGGATCTTTTACAGAGCAAAAGCTTTTAATATTAATGAAATCAAATTTGTCAATATTTCTTTTATGGATTGTGCTTTTGGTACATTATGAAATTTCTTTTTAAATGCCCTGTAATTATACATGGTTAATGATTAGACCCCAGATTAAGGTAGGCATTTCGAGGGTTTGTTTTGGGGTGTTTTTATTAACGAATACCCTAGGATGTTTGGTCAGAATGCCTGTGGATCAGAGGTAGTCTTGCCTCTGTCAGTTGCTGGCAGAGGTGATGCAATGAAACACCAAAGAATCCAGACTCCAGGGCCACACTGCCAGCTCTTCAGTCCCAGTTCTACCACATATGAAATGGACAAACTTAGGTAAGATGCTTAACTGCTGTGTGCTTCCATTTCCTCATCTGTAAACCAAGGACAATAAAAATAATAAAAATAAATTTGCAGTAATGTTCATTGCCATATTGATTATTATGAAGATTACAAGAGTTCATATGTGTTAAAGTGCTTAGAATAGTGTCTGGCAGATAATAAGCACTTAATAACTTTTGCTAATAATATTCCTACTACTGGTTATGTGACTTGGGAAGACACTTAGGCTCCCTGAGTCTCTGTTGCTTTAACTCTAAGATGGGGATGATACCTGCTACCTGCAAACTATAAAGCACTCACAAACATAAAGTTTTCCTCTTATCAATGATTATTATCATTAGAATAAATAAATATTCTGTCTATCATTTAATTTATTTTTTTAGAAACTGGGTCTTACGGCTGGGCGCAGTGGCTCACGCCTGTAATCCCAGCACTTTGGGAGGCTGAGGCGGGTGGATCACAAGGTCAGGAGATCAAGACCATCCTGGGTAACACGGTGAAACCCCGTCTCCACTAAAAATACAAAAAATTCTCCAGGCGTGGTGGTGGGCGCCTGTGGTCCCAGCTACTCCGGAGGCTGAGGCCGGGGAATGGCGTGAGCCCGGGAGGCAGAGCTTGCAGTGAGCCGAGATCGTGCCACTGCACTCCAGCCTGGGCGACAGAGCGAGACTCCGTCTCAAAAAAAAAAAAAAAAGAAACAGGGTCTTACTGACCTAGAGTGCAGGTTAGAACGCATTGGTATGGTCCTAGCTCACTGCAGCCTCAAACTCCTGAGTTCAAGTGGTCTTCTTGCCTCAGTCTCCCAAGTAGCTAGGACTACAGGCGTGTGCCAGCATGCCTAGCTAATTTTTTAAAAACTTTTGTAGAGACAAGGTCTCACTGTGTTTCCCAGGCTAGTCCTAGTCTCCAGCGATCCTCCTGCCTTGGCCTCCCAAAGTGTTGGGATTACAGATATGAGTCACCATGCCTGGCCAGATATCCTATCTAGCTATAGTGAGCATCTCAGCCTGGTGTAGTGGCTCATGCCTGTAATCCCAGCATTTTGGAAGGCTGAGGCAGGAGGGTCACTTCAGACTAGGATTTTGAGACCAGCCCTGGCAACATAGCAAGACCCTGTCTCTACAAAAATAAAAATTTTTTAATTAGCCAGACACGGTGACATGTGCTTATAGTCTCAGCTACTTGGGAGGCTAAGGTGGGAGGATCACTTGAGGCCAGGAGTTCAAGGATGCAGTGAGCCATGATCACGCCACTGCATTCCAGCCTGAGCGACAGAGTGAGACCTTGTCTCTTAAAAAAAAAAGTGAGCAGCTGGGTACGGTGGCTCACGCCTCTAATCCCAGCACTTTGGGAGGCTGAGGTGGGCGGATCACAAGATCAGGAGATCAAGACCATCCTGGCTAACACGGTGAAACCCCGTCTCTACTAAAAATACAAAAAAATTAGCCAGGCGTGGTGGTGGTCACCTGTAGTCCCAGCTACTCAGAAGGCTGAGGCAGGAGAATGGCATGAACCCGAGAGGTAGAGCTTACAGTGAGGTGAGATGGTGCCACCGCACGCCAGCCTGGGCAACAGAGCGAGACTCTGTCTCAAAAAAAAAAAGAAAAAAAGTAAGCAACCCTAAATTAGGGGTTCTCAAAGTCAAGTGAATAGGTCAGTCATTGGGGTTAACAGGTTGAGTTTTTGATCTGAGATCACACAGGAAATGGAGTCAGGGCTGCCTTTGCTTTACTCCAGTTTTCATAGTCAGGCTGTGCCATCCTGGTGCTTGCCCTCCCTGCTGCTCCCTCTTGTTTCCTGTGCTCCGATGGCCTGCATCCAGGTCTCTGATTTTTCTTGCTTCATTGTGTGATTGTACAGATGTGTGCCTCAATAGAGCAGTGCCTCACGAAAGGCTGGGTTTTGTCTTTTTAAAATTTTCCTTTCAGGGAACGCTGTGAGGAGCTCCGTGTTGAATTGTTATCTATCCATCAGAAGAAGGTGTGTGAGGAGCGGAAAGCACAGATTGCATTTAATGAGGAGCTGAGCAGGCAAAAGCTGGTGGAAGAGCAGATGTTCTCCAAACTCTGGGAGGAAGACCGATTAGCCAAGGAAAAGCGAGAAGCCCAAGAGGCGAGGAGACAGAAAGAGCTGATGGAGAACACACGCCTGGGGCTGAATGCCCAGATCACCAGCATCAAGGCACAAAGGCAGGCGACACAGCTGCTGAAGGAAGAGGAGGCACGCCTTGTGGTGGGCCTTTAAAATGCTTGTTAGAGGGTGATCAACGCCATGGGTGTAGTACAGTTTGCAGGCCTGTTACAGTACAGTTTGTCTGATGGCCTGGGCTAGTTCACAGGCACATTTCCATTTTTGGACTCTTAGTGCTGTTTAATAATGTATCCAAATGTGTGGTGCAGAGTTCATAGAAGGGTCAAGTGTGGAAGGCCAACGCACCCACAGGTGGAGAATGGTGGTGGATGATGGGTACTGGGATTAAAAGTAGTTTCTGTTTATACTTTTCTGTTTTCAACTCTACAACTATTTATTACATTATAATCACACATGCCCAGGCAATTTTCACAGTTTTATTGCTGACTCAGCTACGAAAAGGAAGGTTTTCTTTCTTACAGCCTCTCTAAATCCAGGTGTGTGTGTATTTCCAGAAATCCTTTATTCCCATCTCTGAAGTCAAATGCACTAACTTGTCTTGTCCAACTGTACTGATGCATTATCTTTATTATGATTCTACCTTAGGAAAGTAACAACGCACAGATTAAACATGAGAATGAACAGGATATGCTAAAGAAACAGAAGGCAAAGCAGGAAACTAGGACCATTTTGCAAAAAGCCCTACAAGAGAGGATAGAACATATTCAGCAGGAATACAGAGACGAACAGGACTTGAACATGAAGCTCGTGCAAAGGGCCCTTCAAGACTTACAGGAAGAGGCAGATAAAAAGAAACAAAAAAGAGTAAGACATTTTTTTGGTGCCTGCTACCTGCTGGAAGGGATTCCTTACTGAGTTCTCAGTCTTGTGGAAGATGGCTTCAAATATATAGCAGTGCTACTCTGAGTGTGGTCCACAAGCCAACAGCATCAGCACCATCTGGGAAAATGTTAGAAACAGAAATTCCCAGGCTCCAGAATCAGGATCTCCCAATCAAAATCATGACAGGGGCAGGAAATCTGTGTTTCAGCACACTCCCCCAGGTGATTCTGATGCTAACTAAAGTTTGAGAACTCCTGGAATTTGAGAAAGACATTACTCAGAAAGTGACATTTGAGTTGGACCTTAAAGGATATGTAAAGTTTTGTCAGGCAAAAAGAGAAGGGAAAGGCATTCAGTATTGAGTTAACTACCTATACGTTTGGAATTTGGATTGAACTTTTAAGAGTGTTTTGTTTCTCCCACAAGTGCTTTTTCTTGTTTTTACCTGGTTCTTAGTGTGCATGTACTTTGATTTTTAATTAAACTTCTCTCTCTCTCTCTCTTTTTTTTTTTTTTTTTTGAGACAGGGGTCTCACGCTGTAACCCAGGCTGGAGTGCAGTGGCATAATCATGGCTCACTGTAGCCTCGCCCTCCTGGGCTCAAGCAATCCTCCCACCTCAGCCTCCCGAGTAGCTGGGACTACAGACATCCACCACCTAGCCTGGCTAATTTATGTATTTTTTGTAGAGACAGGGTTTTGCCAAGTTGCCCAGCCTGGTCTGGAGTGGGCTCAAGTGATCCTCCCACCTCAGCCTCCTAAAGTGCTGGGATTACAGGTGTGAACTACTGTGCCTGGATAAACTTTTCATTTTGATATGATTGTAGATTCACATGCAGTTTTAAGAAATAATACAGAGAGATTCCTTGTACCCTTTACTCTGGTTCCCTCAATGGTAATATCTTGCAAAACTATAGTACCATGCCAGTCAGGATGTTGACATTGATATAATCAAGATACTGAACATCTCATCATCACCAGGATCTTTCATATTGCCCTTTTATAGACACACCTACTTCCCTCTTGCCCCACCCCCTTCTTAACCCTGTTCTTCATTTCTATAATTTTATTATTTTGGGAATGTTATATTAGTAGAATCATATAGTGTGTAATCTTTTCAGATAGCCTTTTTCACTTAGCATAACCCTCAGGAGATTTGTCCAACTTTTTGGATCTATCAATAGTTGTTTCTTTTTCTTTTTCTTTTTTTTTAATTTTTTTTTTTGAGACAGTCTTGCCCTGTCACTCAGGCTGGAGTGCAGTGGTGTGGTCTCAGCTCCCTGCAGCCTCAACTTCCCAGGCTCAACTGATACTTCAGCCTCAACCTCCTGAGTAGTTGGGATTACAGGCACAAGCCACCATGCTCAGCTAGTTTTCTTATTTTTTGTAGAGATGGGGTCTCACTATGCTGCCCAGGCTGGTCTTGAACTCCTGGGCTCAAGTAATCCTCCTGCCTTGGCCTCCCAAAGTGTTGTGTTTACAGGCATGAGCCACTGCACCCAGCCTTCTTTTTATTCTTTTTTTTTTTTTTTTTTTTGAGATAGAATTTTGCTCTTGTTGCCCAGGCTGGAGTGCAGTGGCGTGATCTCGGCTCACTGCAACCTCCGCCTCATGGGTTCAAGCGCTTTTCCTGTCTCAGCCTCCCGAGTAGCTGGGATTACAGGCGGGTGCCACTGCGTCTGGCTAATTTTTGTGTTTTTAGTAGAGACAGCGTTTCGCCACGTTGGCCAGGCTGGTCTCAAACTCCTGACCTCAGGTAATCAACCTGCCTCGGCCTCCCAATTTATTCTTGAGTAGTGTTCATGGTATAGATTTACCACAGTTTGTTTAGCCATTTACCTGTTGAAGGACATTTGAGTTGTTTCCAGGTTATGGCTATTATGAGTAAAGCTGCTATAATCATTTGAGTACAGGTTTTTCTGTGAACACATTCTCACTTTTTTTTTTTTTTTTTTTTAGGCGGAGTCTTGCTCTGTCACCCAGGCTGGAGTGCAGTGGCATGGTCTCGGCTCACTGTAACCTCCACCTCCCGGGTTCAAGTGATTCTCCTGCCACAGCCCCCTGAGTAGCTAGGATTACAGGTGTGTGCCACCATGCCTGGCTAATTTTTTCTATTTTTAGTAGAGATGGGATATCACCATGTTGGCCAGGCTGGTCTCAAACTCCCAACCTCAAGTGACCCACCCACCTTAGCCTCCCAAAGTGCTTGGATTACAGGCATGAGCCACCACACCTGGCACAAATCATCATTTCTATGAGATAAATGCCTAGAAGAGCAATTGCTATGTCATATAGTAATTGCATGTTTAGTTTTTTAAAGAAACTGCTAAACTGTTTTTCAGAGTAGCCATACCATGTTACATTCCCACCAGCAATACATGAGCAATCCAGTTTCTCCACATCCTCACCAGCATTTGGTGCTATCACTATTGTTCACTTTTAACCATTCTGATAGATGTGTAGTAACATCTCATTGTGGTTTAATTTACATTTCCCTAATGGCTAATGATTTTGAACAACTTTTTATGAGCCTGTTTTCTATCTGTATGTCTTCTTCAATGAAATGTCTCTTCATGTCTTTTGCCCATTTTCTGTTTTTTTTTTTTTTTTTAATTTTTGTTGAGCCAGTATCTCACTCTGTCACTTAGGCTGGAGTACAGTGGCATGATCATAGCTCACTGCAGCCTCCAACTCCTGGTTTTTGTCCATTATCTAATTGACTTGCTTATTTGATTTCTTTTTCCTGTTGAGTTTTTTGTTCACATTTAAATCATTTTTTTAACAGCTTCAAGAGAGAATTCACATAACATCCAGTTCCCCAGTTTAAACCATACAATTCAGTGGATTTTACTGTTTTCACAGATATGTGCAGCTGTCATCACATTTTATTTTAGAACATTTTCACTATCCTGCTATCCCTTCTTCCCCACCTCCTGCCTCCAGTCCTAAGCAGCCACTTATCAACTTTGTGTCTCTATAGATTTCCCCATTCTGGACTTTGATATGAATGGAATCACATGTTATGTGACCTGTTGACTGTCTTCTTTCACTTAGCATAATGTTTTCAAGATTTATCCACATTGTAGCATGAATCACTATTTTATTTGTTTATGTGGCTGAATGATATTCCATTGTATGGATATGCCACATTTTGTTTATGCATTATGTCAGTTGATGGACATTTGGGTTATTTCCACTTTTTGGCTATCATGAATAATGCTACTATGAACATTCATGTACACATTTTTGTGTGGACATATGTTTTTATTTTTCTTTGGGGCATGTATCTAGAAGTAGTACTACTGGGCCATACGGTAACTCTGTGTTGAAGTTTTGAGGAACTGCCAAACTGTTTTCCAAAGTGGCTGAACCATTTTACATTCCCACCAGCAGTGTATGAGGGTTTTGATTTATCCACATGCTCACCAACACTTGTTATTGTCTGTTTTTTTTATTTTACCCAGCCTAATGCATCTGAATTGGTATCTCATTATGGTTTTTATTTGTATTTCCCTAGTGACTAATGATATTGAGCCTCTTTTCCTGTGCTTATGGTCATTTGTAGATCTTCCTTGGAGAAGTCTATTTGAAGGCTATTCTCTATTCTTAGAGAAGTCTATTCAAGTCCTTTGCCCATATTTTAGTTGGGTTATTGGTCCTTTTATTATTGAATTGTAAGAGTTCTTTTTTTTTTTTTTAAATCTCACTCTTGTCGCCCAGGCTGGAGTGCAATGGTGCAATCTCATCTCACTGCAACCTCCACCTCCCAGGTTCAAGCGATTCTCCTGCCTCAGCCTTCTGAGTTGCTGGGATTACAGGTGCCTGCCACCACGCCTGGCTAATTTTTTTGTATTTTTAGTAGAGACGGGGTTTCACCATGTTGGCCAGGCTGGTCTTGAACTCCTGACCTTAGGCGATCCACCCACCTCAGCCTCCCAAAGTGCTGGGATTACAGGCGTGAGCCACCACGCCTGGCCAAGAGTTCTTTATATTTTCTAGATTCAAGTCTCTTACCAGATAAATGACTTGCAATTATTTTCTTTCATTCTATAGGTTGTCTTTTTACTTTTTTGATGATGTCCTTTGAATCACAAAAGTTTTAAATTTTGACAAAGTTCAATTTAGCTATATTTTCTTTTGTTGCTTATGCTTTAGGGGTCCTATCTAAAAAATGGTTACCTACTCTAGGATCACAAAGATGTACTTCTTTGTTTTCTTGTTAGAGTGTTATAATTTTAGCTTTTACATTTAGGCTTTTGATCCATTTTAAGTTTTGTATATGGCATGAGATAAGGATCCTAATTCATTATTCCTCATGTGGATATCCAGTTATTCCAGCATCATTTGTTGAAATAATTCTCTAATTGTTCCCCTATTGAATTGTCTTATCACCCTTGTCAAAAATCAATTACAGTAAAGTGAAGGTTTATTTCTGGACACTCAGTTCTATTCCATCAATCTATATCTCTATCCTTAGTCCAGTATAACAAATCTATATGTCTTGATTACCGTAGCTTTGTAGTAAGTTTGAAATCAGAAAATGTAAATCCTGGCCTGGTGCAGTGGCTCACGCCTGTAATCCCAGCACTTTGGGAGGCTGAGGCAGGAGGATCACCTGAGGTCAGGAGTTTGAGACCAGCCTGACCAACATGGTGAAACCCCGTCTCTACCAAAAATACAAAAATTAGCCAGGCATGGTGGCCCATGCCTGTAATCCCAGCTACTTGGGAGGCTGAGGCAGGAGAATCGCTTGATCCGGGAGGCGGACGTTGCAGTGAGCTGAGATCGTGTCATTGCACTCCAGCCCGAGCAACAAGAGTGACACTCCACCATTGCACTCCAACCTGGACAACCAGAGTGAAACTTCATCTCAAAAAAAAAAGAGAGAGAGAAAATGTAAATCCTCAAACTTTGTTCTTTTTAAAATTGTTTTGGCTATTCTGGCTCCCTTGCATGTCCAGGTATCTGGAAGTTACATGGATCAGCTTGTCAATTCCTGCAAAGAAGCCAGTTGAGATTTTGGTAAAGATTGTGTTGAACCTGTAGGTCAGTTTGGGAAGTGCTGTCATTTTCACAGTATTGTTTTCTGATTCATGAACTTAAGCTGTCTTTCCATTTATTTAGGTCTACTTTAATTTCTTTCAATAATGTTTCTTAGTTTTCAGAGTATACATTTTAACACTTACTTTGTTAAATTTATTCCTAAGTATAACATTTCTATTTGGAAATAAAATTTTTAATTTCATTTTAGATTGATGCTGTCAAATAGGAATACAAGGAGTTTTGTATATTGGTCTTGTATCCTGCAACATTGCTAAACTCGTTTATTAGTTTTTTTTTTTTTTTTTTTTTGAGACGGAGTCTCGCTCTGTCGCCCAGGCCGGACTGCGGACTGCAGTGGTGCAATCTCGGCTCACTGCAAGCTCCGCTTCCTGGGTTCACGCCATTCTCCTGCCTCAGCCTCCCGAGTAGCTGGGACTACAGGCGCCCACCACCGCGCCTGGCTAATTTTTTGTATTTTTAGTAGAGGCGGGGTTTCACCTTGTTAGCCAGGATGGTCTCGATCTCCTGACCTCATGATCCACCCGCCTCGGCCTCCCAAAGTGCTGGGATTACAGGCGTGAGCCACCGCGCC
Organism: Homo sapiens; assembly: GCF_000001405.40. Taxonomy (NCBI): domain Eukaryota; kingdom Metazoa; phylum Chordata; class Mammalia; order Primates; family Hominidae; genus Homo; species Homo sapiens. The sequence goes on along the minus strand of NC_000018.10, from coordinate 50,245,105 downwards.
CAGCCTTATTAGTTTTAATAGTTTTTTTTTTTTTTTTTTTTTTGAGATAGAGTCTCATTCTGTCACCCAGGCTCGAGTGCAGTGGCATGTTCTTGGCTCACTGCAACCTCTGCCTCCCAGGTTCAAGTGATCTTCCTGCCTCAGCCTCCTAAGTAGCTGGGACTACAGGCTTGTGCCACCACACCCAGCTAATTTTTTTGTATTTTTAGTAGAGACGGGGTTTTACCATGTTGGCCAGGCTGGTTTCCAACTCCTGACCTCAAGTGATCTGCCCACCTCAGCCTCCGAAAGTGCTGGGATTACAGGCATGAGCCACCATGCCTGGCCAAGTTTCAATAGTTTTTTAGTGGATTATTAGTTCACTCTTCTTTTTGGTGCTCAGATTGCCTGATTCTAGATCATGAGAGTCCCTTCAAGTGGGCTGTCATGCTCTTTTGATACTGTCCACCAACAGACTTTGATAGTTTTCTTGATTCTGACACAATAAGATGTACCAGGTTCATCCTGTTCAGTTTCTGCTCCAGTCTTATATTGATTATTTTCCCAAGGATTGTTGGTTCTTTTTAGTGGGAAATGGTATTTATCTGTTTTCACACTGCTATAAAGAACTACCTGATATTGGGTAACTTATTTAAAAAAGAAGGTGTAATTGACTCACAGTTTCACATGGCTGGGGAAGGCTCAGGAAACTTAAAATCACAGTGGAAGGGGAAGCAAGGCACGTCTTACTTGGCGACAGGAGGGAGGGAATGAAGAAAGCCACACTTTAAACCATCAGATCTCATGGGAACTCACTATCATGAGAACAGCATGGGGGAAACTACCCCCATGACCCAATCACCTCCCACCAGGTCCCTCCCCTCACACATGGGAATTACAATTCAAGATGTGATTTGGATGGGGACACAGAGCCAAACCATATCAGGTGTTTAATAATATCTACAACCTTGGTATTGGATGAACTCATTGCTATTGGATAGTTACTGCAACATGGCAGTAGCCAACTAAAAATGCCTGCGCTAAATAAACAGCAGGTCTCAACTTTAGCTGCACATTACTATCACCTGGGGGAACGTAAAAGGTATCCATTAATTAGGAATTTCTGGGGGTGGGACTCGGCCCTTGATTTTTTTTGTTTTTGTTTTTTTTTTTTTGAAACGGAGTCTCGCTCTGTCGCCCAGGCTGGAGTGCAGTGGCACGATCTCGGCTCACTGCAAGCTCCGCCTCCTGGGTTCACGCCATTCTCCTGCCTCAGCCTCCCGAGTAGCTGGGACTACAGGCGCCCACCACCACGTCCAGCTAATTTTTTTGTATTTTTAGTAGAGACGGGGTTTCACCATGTTAGCCAGGATGGTCTCAGTCTCCTGACCTCGTGATCCACCCGCCTCGGCCTCCCAAAGTGCTGGGATTACAGGCTTGAGCCACTGAGCCCAGCCAGATGTCAATACTTTGTAAAGCTCCCCAGTGACTCCAAAGTGTAGCTAAGATTGAGAATTGCTGTAATAAAGCACAAAATGACTACCAGCCAGAGAGACAGTGCTCTAATAGTAGAAGTAACTTATTTTGTTGATCAGATTAGGATTTCATATACCTAAATTAAAGTAAATGAAAATAAAGCTGTATCATTGAAAACTATTTGGCAACTACTTTGAGAAACACTTTGGGAAAGTGTTTGAATTAACTTATTCAAACATTTATTATCAAACATTTTAAACAAATACAAAGAATTGCACAATGAGTCCCCACGTGTCCATCACCTCACTTTAACAACCATCAACTGATGGCCATTCTTGTCTCTTCTATATCCCTACCCATTTCCCCCGCTACTCTTGAGTATTTTGGAATAAACTCCAGACATACATCTGTAAATGTTTCAGTACATAGTTCTAAAAGATTGGGATTGGAGCTTTTAAAGATTTTTTTTAAATGTATCCTTACTATAGTATCACACCAAAAAATTTTAACAATATGAATTTTTATGTTACATAGGAAGATATGATAAGAGAACAGAAGATATACCATAAATATTTGGCACAGAGACGTGAGGAAGAAAAAGCTCAGGAGAAAGAATTTGACAGAATATTAGAGGAAGACAAGGCAAAGAAGTTGGCTGAGAAGGACAAGGAGCTGAGACTTGAAAAGGAGGCAAGGAGACAGCTTGTGGATGAGGTCATGTGTACAAGAAAACTTCAAGTTCAAGAAAAGTGTAAGGAACTGAATTACAGTTATATTATAGCTTGCCCTTAATTCAATTTAAGTAACAACCAAAATACTAACAACCATAATACTTATTATGTAAAACACCATGAGGGATGCAAAAAGGATGAAGGCAGGAGGCCTGTTATTGCAAATCTTATCTAATTGGATATATATGAAGAGACCAGCAGATTCCAATCAGTCACGGGGAGAAGTTCTCAAGGTTAAAGGAACAGTACATCATTTGAATACTGTATGTCTTGGTGATTAGAATGAAGAGTGAGAAGGTGGGGCACAGACATACAGCTCCCCCTTGTCCTTTGTATCTGTCCCTCTTTTCTTTCGAAAGTTATCTCCATACAGTTTCGGGAAGTCAGGGACCCTGAATGGAGGGACCGGCTGAAGCCACAGCAGAAGAACATAAATTGTGAAGATTTCATGGACATTTATCACTTCCCCAAATTAATACTTTTATAATTTCTTATGCCTGTTTTTACTGCAATCTCTGAACATAAATTGTGAAGATTTCATGGACATTTATTAGTTCTCAAAATTAATACTTTTATAATTTCTTATGCCTGTCTTACTTTAATCTCTTAATCCTGTCATCTTCATAAGCTGAGGATGTATGTCACCTCAGGACCCTGTGATGATTGCGTTAACTGTAAAAATTGTTTGTAAAATGTGTGTTTGAACAATATGAAATCAATGCACCCTGAAAAAGAACAGAATAACAGCAATTTTCAGGGAACAAGGAAAGATAACCATAAGGTCTGACTGCCTGCGGGGTCGGGCAGAATAGAGCCATGTTTTTCTTCTTGCAGAACGCGAGTAGGAGAAATATTGCTGAATTCTTTTCCCAGCAAGGAATAGCCCTGTGGAAGGAATGCATTCCTGGGGGTAGGTCTATAGACAGCTGCTCTGGGAGTGTCTGTCTTATGCGGTTGAGATAAGGACTGAAATATGCCCTGGTCTCCTGCAGTACCCTCAGGCTTACTAGGATTGGGAAATTCCAGCCTGGTGAAATCTAGTCAGACTGGTCCTCTGCTCTCGAACCCTGTTTCCTATTAAGATGTTTATCAAGACAATGCGTGCACAGTGGGACGCAGACCCTCATCAGTAATTCTAATTTTGCCTTCTCCTTGTGATCTTTATGACCCTTTGAAGCATGTGATCCTTATGACCTACTCCCTGTTTGTACACCCCCTCCCCTTTCAAAATCCCTAAAAAAAAACTTGCTGGTTTTGTGGCTTGAGGTCGCCATCATGGTCCTGCCAATATGTGATGACATCCCAGAGGCCCAGCTATAAAATTTCTCTCTTTGTACTCTTTCTCTTTATTTCTCAGACCAGCCGACACTTAGGGAAAATAGAAAGGACCTACGTTGAAATATTGGGGGCTGGTTCCCCCAATGCTATACCTTTGTTTATGTCGTTGTCTCTGCCTATGATGCTCTTGATCATGAGAAATCTAGATATCTTTCAATGCCAGCTCAATTGACTCATGCCTTGAGCGGCCCTCTGTGTTCTCCCATTTAAAATAAATCCTCTTTCCAGGGCACTGTGGCTTGCTCACATCTCAGATGACCAACTGGCCAGGAGGGTCTTTATTTGGAGACCATACTCAAAGTTTGGAGAATCTTTCCCCTTTTTAATACTTACATTCAATCCACATTGGTTACTAGGTATTTCTTTCATAAAGGGAGTTTAAGCTATTCTTGTAAGGGTAAGCTTTGTTTTAAGGTTTCTGAAAGTTACATCTGTGCTGAGATGACCTTTGTCTCTTGGAAATCCCTGGCCTAGGCTGCATCATACTGCTAAGTGATACATAGTGTCAGCCCTGCGAGATGCTTAAGTTAACTTTATGGCTACCATTAATCTTATAGCCACATTATGTCTCTTATTATTATACTACAGTATGCCACTATGTTCCCTCAGCTTCAAGCAGTGCTTGGTCACAGAAGGATGTTTGTTGAGAGGGTGAATTTCCACCTCCAGATTTCTGCCATTTCCATGTCCAGCCCAATGGACCAGAGCGGCAATAAACACATTTCTTGTTAGGGTACCATTGGATTTCGCACCAGTGGTCTTTGCAAGAGGAAGCTCATCCTGGTCCCATTCATTAATTCTTCACTCCAGGAATTACAATAGCAGTAGAAAATTGTTAAGCCAATATTAGATGGAACTTTTAGAAACTGCGTAGAAAGTTTATATGCTGAAAAGATTTTTATATTCGTCAGTGATGTTAGAAATAGACAATCAGTGCCACGAGGAAAAGTCAGCACAGAGAGAGATGATCTCTCAGCAAGACCATCTTTACTTCCTGCAGAAAGGGTGCTCAGTCACAGATGGAACAATAGCGAGAGCACATCTGGGCAAGGGAGGGGAAGAAGTTCTTATTCCTGACTCACGTGGCCCCTGCTGCTGTGTCATTCCGCTATTGGCTAGGATTGGACTGCACAGGCTAAACTAATTCTGATTGGCTAATTTAAAGAGAGTGATGGGGTGAGTGGTTTGGCAGGAAAAATGGTTATGGAATGAGTCAGGGTAGAGAATGAGGGCAGAGCAGGTAATTGGAATGAGTCAGGGTGGAGCAGGTAATCAGAATGAGTTAGGGTGGAGCAGGTAATCTGAATGAATCAGGGTGGGGTAGGTGATCAGAATGAGTCAGGGTGGGGCAGGTGATCAGAATGAGTCAGGGTGGAGCAGGTAATCTGAATGAGTCAGGGTGGGGCAGGTAATTTGAATGAGTCAGGGTGGGGCAGATGATCAGAATGAGTCAGAGTGGAGCAGGTAATTTGAATGAGTCAGGGTGGAGCAGGTAATCTGAATGAGTCAGGGTGGAGCAGTTGATCAAAAAAGGTCACTTTATGAGGAAGTTAAGTTTAAAAGTAGAAGGCAAAGAATTGAACATACTGACATATTGATTCTTTGAAGATAAATTTAGAACTCATATCTAACAAGTGATAAATGTTATAGAAAATATTGAAAAAACATGGAAAATTTATTGAGACCATTTATAAACAAGGAAACAAAATCAACCATAATTCTACCACCCAGGAATAGCTACTATTCACAGCTTTGTGTATTTTCTTCTAGTATTTTTACTACATATATAATTTTCTTTCACAAATTAGAATCATGTAGTATATACTGTTTTATGGTCTATATTTTTCACTTATCAAAAATATTTTTAAGTCATTTTTTGTCAATTATAAGATTTGTAATGACTGCCTACAAATCTGTTATAAAAACAGACCGTAACTTATTTTACTTAAACACAGCAATGACTCTTTATATTGTTTCTAATCTTTTTACTGTTATTTTAGAATTCCAGATTACCATCTCCATACATACTTATTTTTGGATTGTAACTGGTTGTTTAAGATGAATTTCTGAAATAGACTGTGGTACCAAAGATATATACATTTCAGATGTATATTAGCCAGTTGTATTTATTATTTTGTAAACTCTGTTTCCTTTGTCTTTTTTTTCTATTGGGATGCTTAAATATTTTTAACTTACAAGAGCTTTATTTATTTATTTATTTATTTATTGAGACGGCGTCTCACTCTGTTGCCCAGGCTGGAATGCAGTGGCACGATCTAGGCACTTGTGCCTCAGCCTTCTGAGCAGCTCAGATTACAGGCACGCACCACCATGCCCAGCTAATTTTTGTACTTTTAGTAGAGACGGGGTTTCACCATGTTGGCCGGGCTGGTCTCGAACTCCTGACCTCAGGTGACCCACCTGCCTCAGCCTCCCAAAATGCTGGGATTACCGGCATGAGGCATTGTGCCCAGCCAAGAGCTTTATATATTTAAATAATATTTATTTTATAATAAATATATAATAAATAATAAATTATTTATAATAAACTTTTATTAATATGAATGGCAATGAACTGTTTGTCTTCAAGGAGAGAAAAGTAGGAAGTATTTTAACATTAGTAATCTGGTATGAAAAAGGGTAATTATAGATTTTCAATGAAAAATGATGAACAGAAAATCTAGATTGTAGCATATATGAGCCTAAACCCAATTTATTTCTCAATTGAGATGTGTACTTCTACTTTATCAATCTAAGATCCAGCCTTGATTCTAAGCTCTGCCTTTCTAAAGACAATATGACTCTGGTGCCCAGAAAGATGTTGGCAATTCTTGTCTGAAAGTCATTTGACATATAATTACTTTTGCTTTTCTTAGTGCAACGAGAAGCTAAAGAACAGGAAGAACGTGCTATGGAACAGAAACACATAAATGAAAGTCTTAAAGAACTTAACTGTGAAGAGAAGGAGAATTTTGCAAGGTATGATTTTGTTTTCTGTATCATCATTTGCTACCTAAAAAATGGATTTTTGGCTAGCCATGGTGGCTCACACCTGTAATCCCAGTACTTTGGGAGGCTGAGGAAAGAGGATTGCTTGAAGCCAGGAGTTTGAGATTAGCCTGGGCAGTATAGCAAGATCTCATCTCTACAAAAAAATAAAAATAAAAACTAGCCAGATATGGTGACATAGACCTGTAGTCCTAGCTACTTGGGAGCTGAAGTGGAAGATCACTTGAGTACAGGAGTTAAACACTGCAGCTATGATTGTGCCACTACACTCCAACCTGGGCAACAGGCAAGAACTGTCTCAAAAAAACAAAAACTAAAACAGATTTTCAACATAAAGACCATGTGCCATAATTCATGCATTATTGACATTATTTTACATTAGTATTACACTTGTCCTTCTAGACGCTCAAAGCAGTTTACAAAATTTCATGTAAAAGTAGGCACCAACTGTCTTGGTAAAATTAAATTCCATTGCCATTATGTATATTATGATTATACACATAAGTTATTAGGCTGGATGAATATCTTTAAAAATAAAATAAATTTGAAACACTTAAAAAAATTGGCACCAACCTTAAATCCTAATAAAATAGCAAGAAGATTTTTTTTCCTCCATGAAACAAATCCTGAAAAGCAGGCTGGCCTAATCAGCTAGATTAGCAGAATGGCTTATAGGGACAGGATTCCATACAAATGTCCCTAGGAGGACGTGTTTAGCCTTACTGCACTAGAACACTCTGGATGCTTTGGGAAATACCACTGCTTTCCTCTGACAGGCCTTAGGCTGGGGATTGGTTAGTGTCCTTCTGATCACCACAACCAGGCTCAGGTGGGGGAAACAGGCAGCTACCTCCCTGCAGTTTTTCTTATACCATCTCAGTCTCTTCCCACTGGTGGCCATGATACCTAAATCAGGCAGCCAGTGTAGTGGAGGAAGAGGACCCGGCTTCTCTGATTACTGGTCACCCTCCCTGTTCCTGGGGCCTGTCCTTTGACTTACTCACACTTGGTGCATAGAAATTAGCTCTTCTCTTTCTAGAAAGAGTATGGTTAATGTGCCTGATCTTATTCTCACTTTGGGGTCACAAACAACAACATCTGGCCTACCGTTCTGAGTTCCTGCTACTGCCTCTGCTGTGGAAATCTTTCCTTCTCATATATATATATATGTGTGTGTGTGTGTGTGTATGTGTGTGTGTGTGTGTATATATATGTGTGCGTATATATATATATATATATATATTTTTTTTTTTTTTTTTTTTTTTTTTGAGATGGAGTCTTGCTCTGTCACCTAGGCTGGAGTGCGGTGGTGTAATCTTGGCTTACTGCAATCTCCGACTCCCGGGTTCAAGCAATTCTCTGCCTCAGCCACTCAAATACCTAGGATTACAGGCATGCACCACCATGCCTGGCTAATTTTTATTATTTTTAGTAGAGACAGGGTTTCACCACCTTAGCCAGGCTGGTCTTGAACTCCTGACCTCGTGATCCACCCACCTCGGACTCCCAAAGTGCTGGGATTACAGGCGTGAGCCACTGCGCCTGGCCTCTTTCTCATTTTTAAAAAGTCTTCTGTTGGAGATTTGTGAGGACTCAATAAATATCACATCTCTTCCCTGCTAAACTTCTGAATTGGTGGAGAGATAAGGAAGAAATTATGGGCAGAGGTATTACAGTTACCTATTGCTACATAACAAAACACCCTGAAATGTGTGGTTTAAAGCAATTTATGATTATCTCTTATGATTCTGTGGGTCAACACGGCTCACCTAGGTAGTTCTTGCTCGGAACATCTCATGTCATTGAAGTCAGATCCACATGACTGAGGCTATATATTCATCTGAAGGCTCAACCTAGGACACCTACTCATATAGCTGGCAGTGTATGCTGACTGTAGTCAGGGATCTCAGTTATCAACTAGGAGTTTTAGTTGTCACCTGGAACCCCTATGTGTGGGCTCTCCATGTGATTTGGATTTCTCACAGTATGGTGGCTTGTTTTGAGAGGGAGAGTTCCAATAGCAAGTATTCCAAGAGCTAGGAAGAAGCAGCTGCCAGGCCAGTTAAGAGCTACACCTGGGACTGGCATAGCATTACTTCTACCATATTCCAAAAGTAGTTACAAGGCCCATCCTGATTCAAGGAGATGGAGATAGAAGCTCCACCTCTTGACAGGGTAGTAGAGGTTTGCATTGCTGAAGCGCATAACTAGGCTGGTGGCATGGGGGTAAAAGAATTTACCAAGACAGTTGTAGGTACAGGCAGATTAACTAGAGAAAGTAGGAAAACTCAGTGCAAGAAAGCAATGGGCAGCCAGCAAGAGAGGAGCTGACTGCCAGGAAACAAAGGCTTGCCAGAGATTTTATAGGATGGTTCTTGGGCTACTTGATAACACCAAGGTAGCAGGGAGCTGACTTGCATTCTTCTGTCAGCCGAGGTGTTTGATGATAAATCGAAACATTTGATGTTAAGCAGAAGTTTGTGAGTTTTGTATGTTATCTGCACAGGAGGGCTGTATGTCCTGGGCCATGAACAAAGGCAGACCTATAGCTTACTGCTTTATCTCTGCTTTATCCTGGTTCCACCAGCCTGACTCCTTTTACCTAAATAGGATTCTACATTTCCCCCAACAGAGCAACAATGACAAATCTTTGGCATGTGGATGAAGGTCTCATCTTCCAACTGCTTCTTGCCCACCAGGGGTGTATAGTTTGCCCGACCTAGGATTGTTAGTTGGTCAGGAGGTTACATGGACCTAAATCCTTGGGTTGGGAATTAAATTGGGCAGGGTGGCTGTGGGACCATGGGGGAACAGCATTTGCAGCCTAAAATATTGTCCTGTTGCATCCAAAGGAGAGTCATGGAGTTCTCTAAGTGGCTGATACCCTCACTGCAGTAACATTTTGGTTTGAAATTGTTGTATTCTAGAAATCACAAAACAAGATACTGCATTAACAATACATGGCACAGATAAAGTAATATGAATCTTACTGTTATTATTATTTTTTGAGACAGAATTTCGCTCTTGTCAAGGCTGGAATGCAGTGGCGTGATCCCAGCTCACTGCAACCTCTGCCTCCCCAGGTTCAAGTGATTCTCCTGCCTCAGCCTCCCAAGTAGCTGGGGTTACAGGCGCATGCCACCACGCCCAGCTAATTTTTGTAATTTTTAGTAGAGACAGGGTTTCACCATATTGGCCAGGCTGGTCTCAAACTCCTGACCTTAGGTGATCCACCTGCCTCAGCCTCCCAAAGTGCTGGGATTACAGGTGTGAGCCACCGCACCCAGCCAATATGAGCTTTATTATAGATGGGAGAAGTAGGGCAACCCATAGCCAAACCCAGCTGGAGAAGCTTTGAAATAGCTGTGCCAGAAAGGAATCTTCAGGAACTCCTTTTTGAGGGCCCTCTAATACTTTGATGTCTTCTTTTATCTTTTCTAAAGTTTTTTGCTACCTGACCTGAGGTATTGATGTAAGAGCAACAAGTTTCATTTAACAGCATGCAGGTGCCTCCTGCCTCAGCGTTAAGCACATCCACAGCACATCAGTTTTGCAAGACAACCCCTGCCAATGAATTTAGGACCTGTTATTGGGCCTTGATGGCCATGACTTTAGCTTCTCAAGATTGCTGGACTAAGATGGTGATATTACAAATGCTGCACTCAAGCATGGGTATACCTGCAAACCAAAAGACTGCATGGGCAACAGAATGTCCTAGACCATTCCTCTCTATAATGAGATCATCAGTGGTGAGGATGCCAAATGATGGAAGGTTGATTAAATCCCGTTTCTGTTTCCTTTCTTCTGATGGCCTTTGAAGGGCCCAACTTAGGAAGGATCACAAATTTGGAACTTGGCCAGAGGTTATAAAGTCTAAGGAGTTATATATATGTACTCCAGGTATTGCTGCAACTATAGTGCACGTCCTCTCCATTTAATAGGCAAGGCTGGAAAAATGTTGGATCCACACAAAAAGAAGAGCCCAGTTCCTTTTAAAGAAACTCCTGAGGAGGGACCTTGTAACCAGGCATAGGTGTGGTTAGTTTGGATTCCAGTATAATTTGCATAAATAGAGGGATCCCATGGTCCCCAGGGATCAAATGTGGCTGGGTGGTGACCTAGAAAGTAGTCATTCATGCATAAGGGAGGAAAGTTTTACTTGTGTTATATGAATGTGGGGCCTGGCAGATAAGAGTTTTAAACATTAATGAGATAACGGAAAATCAAGAGAAAGTTGTAGATGTATTAGTGAGGTTGAGAAGTTGTCCAATCTCAACCCCTATTCCTATATATTCTATCCCAGTAGCTGAACTGTTTATAGGCATAAAAGGATCACTATAAATTTTGCTGGCATTAACTTTGTTGTTTCCCCACCATAGAGAAAACCTGCAGAGGTACACAGTGAACTTGTCATTGTTGTCATATAGCTTCCATTCCTGGTGTGTTTGATTATAGTTGAGGGTGTAATTACAATGGGCTTATGTTAAACACCCTAGGAAAGGGCCAGACCCTTTGGAGTTTCTGATGCAGAGGTGAGCCTTACAAGTGCCTATAAAAGGGCCAGATCCCTCGGATTTTCTGATGCAGAGGTGAACCTTACAGGCCATCTCTGGTGCCTTCCCAATCTGCTCCGTCACAGTGGATGATTGCCATGAGGAATCAATTGGCCTAGGCTCCCCTCCTAAACCTGTGTTTTTGGTGTGTGTGTAAATGGTGTAGTTGAATCCAGAGTATCAGGCTTGTTAGTAATTTCTTCTATGGATAGCGGGACTGCTAGGATATAATGTTATCTTTGAGTGCCTGTCCGCATGGGCATATCCAGAAGTTAGTGCTGTGTGTTATGTTAGCAACCTGAAATATTACTGGGAGGAGTAAGTGCCTGGCTCCAGCCATGGAGGCAATAGCCGTGATAGAATAAAAACAAAGCCATTTTTAAGGAAAATGACAATATGTAGTAAACTCAGGGAGACAGGCGAGAAGAAGGGCTGTAAAGAATATGAGAAAAACAGTTAACCAAACACCTAGTACCTTAGCACACTGATGTGGTGTGGGGGTAAATGACATTACTAGGACAAATATACAAAAAAATTCATCTGGGTGGTAATCTTGGAAGTCCGCTTGCAAATAGCAGTCGTAAACTACCTCCCTTATAAAAGCATCAATATTAAGAGGGTGACGCTGCTTAAGTGAGGCAGTTGGATAATTACTGAAAGCCTGTAGTAGAATTGGATAAAAAGAGTCAGCCTTAAGAGTAAGGTCTAAAGGAGGTGTTGGATTTATTTATTTATTTTTTATTTTTAAGGGAGGTTTAAAAATTCTGGGTTGTTTGAACAAAACCTCTTTTACCTTTTTTTCTTTAACTTTAAATGAGTTTTCGATGTTTGCATTCTAATTAGACCACAAAGAATGAGTTTTATCTCAGCACCAGGACCTTAGTAACAGCAGATTTAAAGCAGGCAGAAAAAAAGGAAGATAGAGAGCTATAGAAGACTTCACTTAACTTTATAGTGCAGGTTAACCATTTGAGCTCTGACTTTTTCTTGTTGTAGTTTGCCCGTTAGTTTAAAATGTACCATAATATGTAACCAGCTGGAGTTTTAAAGAGAATGACAAAATCAGGGGTTAGGATGTTAGAAACTGTCTTTCCCTTTTAAGGCTGGACCCCTGGATTGAACAGAAAAAGAGAAAAAGAAAAGGAAGGAATGGAGAGGAAAAGGTCAGGCTTTACAGGAGGGCTTGTGAGCCTTCCAGCCACTGCACAGTGCAAGGTCAGTACCCCTGCCACTTTTGTTTATCTCCCGCCAGGGAGAGCATTAGCACCCCAGACCTACAAGGTGTGGGATAAATTCTTCCCAACTTTGCAAGTTATCAGTTAAGGTGAGCTGTTTCCAGACAGAGCAGAGAGCCTATTTAGCATAAGGCCATTAGGGGTTGAGATTCTGTCCTGGGGGCCCTTTGATCATCAGGGCAGTCTTTTTTCCAGTGGCTGAGCTTGTGGCAGAGAGAGTAAGCCAGGCAGGGCTTTTAAAATTTATTCCACTGGGGCACTCTGCCTTTCAGTAACCTGGCGTTTTGCACTGATGGCAGTTATCTGAAGGAATGTATTTTTAGGGAAACCTGGAGGGGCTGGGGCTTGTAAAGCAGCCAACAGTTGAGCCTGTCTCTTGCCTCTGCATTTTTCTTTCTTCTTAGCCCTGTCCTCCTTATTCTGCTGTCAGTTGTAAAGGACTCAGGAGGCTAATTTGATGGTTTTCTACATAGGGGCCATGCTGTGTTACACAATAAATTAGACATTTCTTTTTGAGGGTTTGAGAGTTAAATTTGTCTTAATGTTTTAGGATACAACCCAGAAGTGAGTCTGAAGGAATAGATGGGGTTTGTCCCATGGTGGGACTAGAAAACATGCTGCTTGGGGATGGTGCAACTCAGGGGCACAAACTGCACTTTCTCTCAGGATGTCCAGCCGAGATGAAAAGCAGTTCCACTTAGGTCTACTGAGGAACTTGGGGTGCACTTTCTAAAGGGGTGTCCCACCTATTAAGAAAGTCCCCTCGGCCACTCAGGGGCCTTATGCTGGATGGCCAGTCCAGGTACAAGGAAAATGGGTGAAGGGAGGACTCTGCCTGTGTTGGCCCAGGAGAGGGGGTGGGTAAGGGAAAACTCATGGTTCTGAGGCTGTCTGAGATCACCTGATTTAGCAACATCTGGGACAGAATGGCTGGCTGACTCCACAGGAGGATTCAGAGTGAGAAAGAGTGTCTGAGTCACCCAAAATGTGTGAATTTGCTCTGAATGAGCTTCTGCTGCCAGTCGCATCACACGTAGGGATTAGGGACTTCTGACCAGAGAGTATAGGAGGAAGCCTTCCTCTCTTCCAGGCCAGGTGGCTATTTGGCCTTCAGGCAACACCGGATAGTAGCCACAGCTGGTTACTGTCAGTTGCCAAAGAGATACTAAAAGCCAGCTGCTGAAAGGCTGAAAAGAGAAAGTAAACTCAGGTCCCTCACCTGAACAGGTGGTAGTTAGATGCTTCCACACGGATACCTTTCAGTCCCACAGGAGTGTAGGTAGCTCCAGCTAGAGACCTACAATTGTCTCTCTGGGTAGATACTGTCCACTGAGGTTCCTAAGTTGGGAAAGGGAAAGAGAGAGGCCAGAGGCTTCCTCATAAGGAGAGAGTTTCCCATACAGGCTACCAAAATGTGGGTGAGCAGTGACTATCTGGGTCAGTGGTGCAGGGGTAAAAGAATTTACCAAGACAGTTGTAGGTAAAGAAAGGCAGATTTATTAGAGAAAGTAGGAAAACTCAGTGCAAGAAAGCAATGGGCAGCCAGCAAGAGAGGAGCTGACTGCCAGGAAACAAAGGCTTGCCAGAGATTTTATAGGATGGTTCTTGGGCTACTTGATAACACCAAGGTAGCAGGGAGCTAACTTGCATTCTTCTGTCAGCCGAGGTGTTTGATGATAAATCGAAGCATTTGATGTTAAGCAGAAGTTTGTGAGTTTTGTATGTTATCTGCACAGGAGGGCTGTATGTCCTGGGCCATGAACAAAGGCAGACCTATAGCTTACTGCTTTATCTCTTTGCTTTATCCTGGTTCCGCCAGCCTGATTCCTTTTCCCTAAATAGGATACACATATGGGGAGGGAGACAGTACTGTGGCCATCTTTGGAAAATAGAATCTGCCATAGAGGGGTATCCACATTATCTTTATTTCTGATAAAATTCTATTATCTTTATTTCTGATAAAAGTTGATGGAGTGTTTTCTGACCCCAACAACAAATTCTCTGATTCTCCAGACCCCAACTGGGTGTCCAAGAATTCAATTCAGTTCTGATAGTAACTACCCAGAGTTAGTATAGACCCCTCAGGGTAAGGGCTTAGTCCCACAGAACTGCTGCCACTTCAGACACCAGATGCTAGTCCCAGACCACCTTCTGATCAACCAGCTATAAATTGGGGGTTCCCACGACCTCCTCCTCAGGTTCAACAGTTTGCTAGAATTGCTCAGAGAAATCAGGAACACATTTGACTTGTGTTTACCAGTTTATCACAATGGACACAACTCAGGAACAGCCAACTGGAAGAGATGCATAGGGGCTTCCGTGCTCTCTGCGGGTGCACCATCCTTTCAGCACCTCCCTGTGTCACCATCACAGATGCCCTCAGAACATCCTTGTTCAAGAGTTTTTAGAGCTTCATCTCCAGCCCCCACCTTCCCCTCCCAAGAGGTCAGTGGGTGGGGCTGAAAGTCCTAACCCCCTCATCACTTGGTCTTTCTAGTGACCAACCCCATCCTGAGGCCACCCAGGGGCCCTACCCTAAGTCAGCTTATTAGCATAAAATTGGGTGTTCCTATGAATTACAAAAGATACTTTTATCACTCAGGAAATTACAAGAGTTGTAGGAGCTCTGTGCCAAGAACTAGGAACAAAGATCAAATATAATTCTTATTATACCACAGCTGATATTAAAAATGTGGCTTATATTTCTAGCCATTGAAACTACAAAGAGGCCAGGCATGGTGGGTCATGCCTGTAATCCCACCACTTTGGGAGGCCAAGGTGAGTGGATCTCTTGAACCCAGGAGTTTGAGACCGGCCTGTGCAACATGGTGTAACTCTGTCTCTAAAAAAATACAACAACAACAAAAAAATTAGCTGGGTGTGGTTGTGTGCACCTATAGTCCCAAATACCTGGGATGCTGAGGTGGGAGGATCACCTGAACCTGGGAGGTTGAAGCTGCAGTGAGCCATGATTGTGTGATTGTGCCAGTAGTGTACTCCAGCCTGGGTGACAAGAGTGAGACCCTGTCTGAAAAAAAAAAAAAGAAAAAGAAAAAAAGAAAGAGACTACAAAGAAAAAAATGTGGCTTATAAATTGTAAAATTATATAACCATTATGGAAAACAGTATGGAGTTTCCTCCAAAAAATAAATATTAAAACTACTACATAATCTGGCAACCCACTTCTGGGTATATGTCCAAAAAATTAAAAGCAGGGTCTTGAAGAGATATTTGCACAGAAATATTCATAGCACTATTCACAGTATTCAAGAGGTAGAAGCAACCCAAGGGTCTATTAATGAAATGAATAGATAAACAAAACATGGTATATATTTATGATGGAATATTTTTCAGCCTTAAAAAGCAAGGAAATCCTGTCACATGCCACAGTATGGATGAACCTGGAGGACATTATGCTAAGTGAAATAAGCCAATCACAAAAAGACAAATACTGTATGATTCTACTTTTATGAGACATATAAAGTAGTCAGATTTATAGAAACATAAAGTAGAATGGTGGTTACCAGGGGTTGTGGGGAGAAAAGAGGGGAGGGAGTTTCAGATTTGCAAGATGAAGAAGTCCTGGAGATCTCTTTTACAGCAATATGGAGACTTAACTACTGAACTGTACACTTAAAAATGGTTAAGATGTAAATTTGTTATGTGGGTTTTGTTTGTTTGTTTTTGTTTTTGTTTTTTGACAAGGTCTTGCTCTGTTGCCCAGGCTGGGGTGCAGTAGTGTGATCATGGCTCACTGAAACCTCAACCTTCTGGGCTCAGAAAATCCACCCACTTCAGCTGGGACCACAGGCACATGCCACCATGCCTGGCTAGTTTTTTATTTTTTTGTACAGATCAGGTCTCCCTATGTTGCCCAGGCTGGTCTCAAACTCCTGTGATCCTCCTGTCTTGGGCTCCTAAGGTGCTGGGATTATTAGGTGTATGACCTATGTAAATTTTTTTGTTTTGTTTTTTGTTTGTTTGTTTGTTTTTGAGATGGAGTTTGACTCTTGTTACCCAGGCTGGAGTGCAATGGCGCAGTCTTGGCTCACTGCAACCTCCGCCTCCTGGGTTCAAGTGATTCTCCTGCCTCAGCCTCCTGAGTAGCTGGGATTACAGGCATGTACCACCATGCCCAGCTAAATTTTGTATTTTTAGTAGAGACGGAGTTTCTCCATGTTGGTCAGGCTGGTCTCGAACTCCTGACCTCAGGTGATCCACCCAACCTCAGCCTCCCAAGTGCTGGGATTACATGCATGAGCCACCATGCCCATCATAATGTGTTTTTTATTACAATAAAAATTATACTATAAATAAAAAAACTGTCATATATTTAAAATGTGGCTTATTTATGCAAGAAATTATCTAGTTAATACTGAACAGAATGATAAGATAAGGCTAACTTACCCACCCAGTCCCCAGCAGCATGAGATCACTGCAGGCCTCTTGTGCGGGGATGTGGCCCTTTGATCTACAGCAGAGCAGAAAACAGGCGGAGCAGCCTCCGAGATGAAAGGGGAAAAGCTGGCCAGGTGTGGTGGCTCACGCCTGTAATCCCAGCACTTTGGGAGGCTGAGGCGGGCAGATCACTTGAGGTCAGGAGTTTGAGACCAGCCTGGCCAAAATGATGAAACCTCATCTCTACTAAAAATACAAAAATTAGCCAGGTGTGGTGGCGGACGCCTGCAATCCCAGCTGCTTGGGTGGCTGAGGCAGAGAATTGCTTGAACCCAGGAGGCGAAGGTTGCAGTGAGCTGAGATCACGCAACTGCACTCCAGCCTGGGTGACAGAGCGAGACTCCGTCTCAAAAAAAAAAAAAAAAAAAAAAGGAGAAAAGTTGAATTGAGCAGTTTGCTTATCCTCTCCAATTTTACCCATAGAGAAGAGTAAGGGAAGGGATGGAGGCAAACCAAGGACCATTACCACATAGCAGTGAACATTACGAGCAGGGAAGAAGCATTTCCTCTCTAAAATCAATATTTGTCCTAGGATTATATTAATGATTATTATGTAAGAAACCCATTATTGAGTTTTTCATCTATTTCTTCTCCACTCACCCTGATTTTAATGGGAATTTAATTTGACTTTACAAATTATATTTTAATTGTAATGCTCTGAATAAATCTAAATGCTTACTTTTATAATTTTATGCTTTGACATTTCTAATACTTTAGACGCCAACGTTTAGCCCAGGAGTACAGGAAGCAACTTCAGATGCAAATCGCCTACCAGCAGCAGTCCCAAGAAGCAGAGAAGGAAGAGAAACGCCGAGAGTTTGAAGCAGGTGTAGCAGCAAACAAGATGTGTTTGGACAAGGTCCAGGAGGTCCTGTCCACCCATCAAGTGCTGCCTCAAAACATTCATCCCATGCGCAAGGCATGCCCCAGTAAGCTTCCACCGTAGTTCCGTGAGCATCAATATATCTTTTCTTGGTCTTTTAATATTTTTAACTACAGTATGCTTGTATGCTTCTTTTAACTCCTGGATAAACTTTTCTTTTTTCCCTGAGTTTGTGTAATTAATTGAACATAATTTTCTTCCTTTGAATAAACCTGTGCCTATTTTGGAGTTCACAGACTTACAAATCCAAATGATCTACTTAATCTCATGTTATTTTCCTGCCCCCTTTGCCTCCTTTTTTAACTCACTTATGACTAGCTCCATTTGCTGACAACTATCTACCCGTATGCCCGTTTCTTCTTCCTTCCTTTCTCTTCTCTCTCATATACATAATTCAGTGTGAAGAGAGCGCTTTTGTAGGCAGAACTGGAATTAACAGCCACTTTCATTAACCCACCTATTTAGTCATTAAAGAAATGTTTTCAGTGTCTCCCATGGGTCAGGCACTATTCTAGATCCTAAGACTTCAGCAAAAACAAAACATACCCCTTGCTCTTGTTGAGCTTATATACTAGTGGAGGAAACAGGAAATAAGCGTTAAGTGCCATAAACTGGAAATGGCAGGTGTGCTGTTTCATTTTATATGTGATGGTCAGAAAAGGCCTCTCTGAGCAGCTGATACTTGAAGAGAGGTCTGAATGAACTAGCCATGGATTATCTTCAGGGTAATTATCTAAGGCAGAGGAAAAAGCCAGCGCAAGGTCCCTTGGGCAGAAGCCTGCTGAGTGCATTTGAGGCATAATATTTGTGCTGGAGTAGAGTGAGTGAAAAGAGATTAATCAGAAAGGTAGTTGGGGCCAGATGATGTAAGGCCTTGGAACCACGGTAAAGGCTGGCTTTTCCTTCACTAAAGGAAGCTATTACAGGGTTTTCAAGAGAGGAGCAACACAATATGATATAAGAGGGTTGCTGGCTGCTATGTCTAGGATAGACATCAGGGAGACAGAAACAAGCATGTTGAGTGATTACAGCCAGGCATGGTGGCTCACACCTGTAATCCCACCAGTCTGGGAGGCCAAGGCAGGTGGATCACTTGAGGTCAGGAGATCGAGACCAGCCTGGCCAACATGATGAAACCCTGCCTTTACTAAAAATACAAAAATTAGCCAGGCGTGGTGGTGTGCGCCTATAATCCCAGCTACTTGGGAGGCTGAGGCAAGAAAATCGCTTGAGTCCAGGAGACGGAGGTTGCAGTGAGCCGAGATTGTGCCACTGCACTGCAGCATGGGTGACAGAGTGAGACTCTGTCTCAAAAAAGAAAAAAAGAATGTTAAGTGATTGCAATAATCCAGGTAAGAGGTGGTGGTAGTGTGGTAGCCAGCCTCCAAGATGACTCCCCATGATTTTCTTCTGTATTTATGTCCAACCTCCCTGAATCATGGCTGATCTGTGGGACCAACAGAACAGGGTATAACTTCCAAGACTAGGTCATAAAAGACACTGCAGCTCAGTCAGTCACTTATGCTGGTAAGGATAGGATGCTCAAGAAGGCCTTCAAAGAGGCCCATATGGGGAGACATTGAAGCCTCCCACCAAAAGGCAGCACAGCATGCCAGCCATGTGCACGAGCAACCTCGGAAGATACTCCAGCACCAGTTAGGCATTCAGATGACTACAGCCCTGGCTGACAACTTGACTGCAATTTCATTAGAGATTCTGAGCCAGACTGCTCAGCCAAGGTGTTCCTGATTTCCAACCCACAGAAACTGACAACAGACGTTTATTGTGGTTTAAGCAACTAAGTTTTGGGGTATACCATTAGGCAGCAATAGAAAACTAATACAGGGTTGTATCTTGGGCACTGTGAGAGAGGTCAGATTCTATTTTAAAGGTAGAGCCAACTAGATGTGCTGATGGATGTACATGTTGAGTGTAGGGTTTGAAAGAAAGTCATAAAATAGAACTCCAAACTTTTGGTTTGAGCAACAAACCAGTAAACTGCCTCTGTGGTGGGAAACACTTGACATCTCTCTCAAGCTGTGAACCTGGAGATGTTAGCCAAATGAAGTCAAAGAAATTAACAAGTTACTGGGTAATTCTCGTCAGTATTCTATTTGGCATTCTACCTCTGCACTGCACTGTGTTTTTCATATATCAAAATATGTCTTGTGTTATACCACTTTTTGTGAAAAACAAATCAGGAAAGGTCTGAAATTTACATATTTTCCTGGAGTCATTAGACACAATGAAATATTTTAAAACTCTAGGAAACCCTAAAGTAATGAAACCTAGTTACCTTTGTTTATTCCTCTGTTACTCATACTTACTTGATCTTGAAACTCTTTTTTAAAAAATCAAACCTATTAACTCCTTTTGGTAAACGCTCATCTTTCTTCTGCATATTCACATGATTCATTACATCATCTCCATGGGATATTCAGAGAAGCTTTCTGCAGGATATTACTTTCTAAATAAAACAGTGCTTTATTTCTAGTAGCTCGGCCAATGTTTTATGTAAAAATTCTAGAGAAATTTATTCTTTTAGACAGTATTTTAAAAGCTATATTGAGGTATAATTTCCATACCATGAAGTCTGCCCATTGTGAGTGATTTATAAAGTGATTCTTGGTAAATTTAGAGCTTTGCAATCATCAGCACAATCTAGTTTTAGAATGCTTCCATCACCCCGAAAACTTTTCTTGTGCATGTTTGCACAAAACCCGACTTCTTTACCCAGTGCCAAACAAACACTGACCAACTTGTGTCTCCATAGTTGTCTTTTCTTCAAATTTCATATTAACGGAATCATTCAATATGTACTCTTTCATGTTTGCCTTTCACTTAACATGTTTTCGAGGTTCATCATGATACTGGATGCATCTGTAGTTTATTCCTTTTGATTTCTGTAGTATTCTATTGTATGGATATACCACAGTTTACACATCCATTCACTAGTTCAGGGACATTTGCATTATTTCTAAGTTTTGGCTGCTATGAACATTCACATGCAAATCTTTGTGTGAACATACACTTTCATTTCTCTTGGTTAGATACGTAGACATGGAATTGCTAGGTCTTATGGTGTTTTTCACTTAAGTTGCCAGGCTGTTTCAAGTGACTGCATCATATTACATTCCCACTGCAATATATGAAGGTTCCAGTTTCTCCACATCCTTGTCAGCACTTGTAATGGCAATTCTAGTGACTGTGGAAAGTATCTCATTGTGGTTTTAATTTGCATTTTCCTAATGACTAATGATGTTGAGCATTTTTTTCATGAGCTCCTTAGCCCATCATATGTCTTATTTTGTGAAGTATTTATTCAGATCTTTTCCCCTATTTTCTAATTGGGTTGTCTTCTTATTACTGAGTTGGAGGAGTTGTTTATATAGTCTGGAAACAAGTCTCAGCTACTTGGGAGGCTAAGATGGGAGGATCACTTGAGCCCAGGAGGATAAGGCTGTAGTGAGATCTGATGGTGCCATTGCACTCCGGTTTGGGTGACAGAGCAAGACCCTGCCTCTGAAAAAAATTTTTTTTGGTCTTTGTCTTTGACTTTGCAAGAAACAGAAGCCCAAAGAAATCTCCTGTGTCTTGGTCTGGTACTTTTTGTTACGGGAAGTCAGGGACCCCGAACAGAGGTACTGGCTGGAGCAGCAGCAGAGGAACATAAATTGTGAAGATTTCATCTTAATATGGACATTTATCAGTTCTCAAATAATACTTTTATAATTTCTTATGCCTGTCTTTACTTTAATCTTTTAATCCTGTTATCTTCGTAAGCTGAGAATGTACATCACCTCAGGACCACTGTGATAATTGTGTTAACTGTACAAATTGATTGTAAAACGTGTGTTTGAACAATATGAAATCAGTGCACCTTGAAAAAGAACAGAATAATAGTGATTTTTATGGAACAAGGGAAGACAACCATAAGGTCTGACTGCCTGCAGGGTCAGGCAAAAAGAGCTATATTTTTCTTCTTGCAGAGAGCCTATAAAATGGACATGCAAGTAGGAAACATATTGCTAAATTCTTTTCCTAGCAAGGAATATTAATATTAATACTCTGGGAAAAGAATGCATTCCTGGGGGAAGGCCTATAAATGGCCACTCTGGGAATATCTGTCTTGTGCAGTTGTGATAAGGACTGAGATAAGCCCTGGTCTTCTGCAGAACCCTCAGGCTTACTAGGGTTGGGGAAACTCAGCCCTGGTAAATTATTATTCTTATTGGGCTTATGTGCCTTTTCCTCCACTTATTCGACCTCTCACCTAGATGGATGCTCCTGCAGAGATCTATACTAATGATAGTGTGTGGATGCCTGGAGCTACAGATGACCATTGCCCTGCTCAACCAGGAGAAGAAGGCACTGCAATTAATGTTACTATGGGTTATAAATACCTTCTTCTGTGCCTCGGACATGCACCTGGTTGTATCCATCTAGAAACTCAAGTCTGGGCTGCTTACCTTCTGAAGAGATCAGCCACAGGGGAATGGAGACATTTGGTCTCTGGCCTCTCCCTTTCTCCTTTAAGACAAATGAAAGGGGGAGTAATAGGAGATACCCCATACTTTCGATATAAACCTGTGGGAAAACCATGTCCTAAAAATTTTGAGGGCCTTATCTAAAAGTTTAATTTGGGAAGATTGTGTTAACTCACATGCAGTAGGATTAAAAAATGACTCATATGGTTTAATAATAGACTGGGCACCAAAGGACTATTTAAAAAGCAATTGCTCCTCTGGCAGAAGGGAATGCCTGGAGGCTACTTATTTTATTTCTTATTGGGAGGACGAGGATCACCATCCTACTTTGCATAGGAGGTTCAGCTTGTTCTTTCCCTTAAAATGGGAAGAGAAGGGCATTACCCTACCCCTGCCAAGGCCTCGTATGATATTCCCCATTCTGAGCCCAGAACACCCAGAACTTTGGAAATTGGCTATTGCCATGTCTGGACTATGATTATGAGAAGGGGAAACTTTCCTGTCTGTTGTCCCCACTACTGCCCCTCGCATCCGTGATTCTGAACCCCATGATAAATCCCCTTTGAACCCTCTTCCTCTTTTTGATGCCCATCCTCCTTTATGGGACTCCGATTGGCATTATGATAATAATTCTCGACCCAGGTATGCCCCTCTACCTCTTCAGCATCCTGGGCACCTTGGATTGCTTCTTTATGGTGGAGAACATCCAGTGTTGCCACTGCTGCTCGTCTCCCTCTGTATCAACATAGATTCAGACATTCTGCTTTGTTTACCTCCAGCCTGACTATTCCTATACAGAGTTGTGTTAAGCCTCCTTACATGCTGTTAGTGGGAAATATCAAAATTTTGATGAAAAATCAAACTGTCCAATGCATTAATTGTCATTTATACACTTGTGTTAACTCCTATTTTGACTTCAGGAAAAGTGTAATGTTGGTTCGAGCTTGAGAAGGAATCTGGATACTGGTAACTTTACCCAGACCTTGGGAATCTTCCCCCTCAGTACATTTAATTAATGAAGGGTTACAACAAATTCTCAAAAGATCTAAGAGATTTGTTTTCACTTTAATCACTGTGATCATGAGCCTAATTACAGTCACTGCACTGGCCACCACTGCCAGAGTGGCATTACACCAATCTATTCAAATGGCTCATTTTGTTAATGATTGGCAAGCCAGTTCCACCCAAATGTGGAATTCTCACAGGGCATTGATCAAAAATTAGCTAATCAAATTAATGATTTAAGACAGTCTGTTATTTGGCTTGGAGATCGGCTAATGAGTCTCGAACGTCGCATGCAAATGCAGTGTGATTGGAATACTTCTGATTTCTGTATCACACCATATTCCTACAATGAGACTGATCGACTGATCGACTGATCATTCATGGGAAATGGTCAAAGGGCACCTGCTGGGTAGGGAAGATAATTTATCCTTGGACATAACTAAATTAAAGAAACAAATATTTGAAGGCTCTCAAGCTCATTTATCCATTGTGCCTGGAGCTGAGGCGTTAGAGCAGGTGGCACAAAGTCTTTCTGGACTAAACCCCACGACTTGGATTAAGTCTATTGGGGGCCCACTGTAGTAAATTTTGGAATCATGTTTCTCTGTTTAATCGGCTTGTTTTTAGTATTCTGGACCAGTCAAAGAATCTTGTGTCAAAACCGAGAGAACGAACAAGGCTTCATTGCCATGGCACATTTATATAAAAAGAAAGGGAGAGATGTTACGGGAAGCCAGGGACCCCAAACGGAGGGACCGTCTGGAGCTGTGGCAGAGGAACATAAATTGTGAAGATTTCATCTTAATAGGGACATTTATCGGTTCTCAAATAATACTTTCATAATTTCTTATGCCTGTCTTTAATCTCTTAATCCTGTTATCTTCGTAAGCTGAGGATGCACGTCACCTCAGGACCACTGTGATAATTGTGTTAACTGTACAAATTGATTGTAAAACATGCGTGTTTGAACAATATGAAATCAGTGCACCTTGAAAAAGAACAGAATAATAGAGATTTTTATGGAACAAGGGAAGACAACCATAAGGTCTGACTGCCTGCGGGGTCAGGCAAAAAGAGTCATATTTTTCTTCTTGCAGAGAGCCTATAAATGGACATGCAAGTGGGAAACATAGCTAAATTATTTTCCTAGCAAGAATATTAATATTAATACCCTGGGAAAAGAATGCATTCGTGGGGGGAGGTCTATAAATGGCCGCTCTAGGAATGTTTGTCTTATGCAGTTGCGATAAGGACTGAGATAAGCCCTGGTCTTCTGCAGAACCCTCAGGCTTACTAGGGTTGGGAAAACTCAATCCTGGTAAATTTGTGGTCAGACCGGTTCTCTGCTCTCAAACCCTGTTTTCTGTTGTTTAAGATGTTTATCAAGACAATACATGCACCACTGAACATAGACCCTTGTCAGTGGTTCTGCTTTTGCCCTTTGCCTTGTGATCTTTGTCGGACCTTTGTCAGTGGTTCTGCTTTTGCCCTTTGCCCTGTTCCCTCAGAAGCATGTGATCTTTGTTGGACCCTTATCAGTGGTTCTGCTTTTTGCCCTTTGAAGCATGTGATCTTTGTACGTACTCTTTGTTCTTACGCCCCCTCTTTTTTTGAAACCTTTAATAAAAACTTGCTGGTCTGAGACTCAGGCAGGCATCATGGTCCTACTGATATGTGATGCCACCCCTGGCAGCCCAGCTGTAAAATTCCTCTCTTTATATTGTCTCTCTTTATTTCTTAGCTGGCTGATACTTAGGAAAATAGAAAGAACCTACATTGAAATACTGGGGGCGGGTTCCCCCAATAACTTTTTGCATCACATACTATCATGATTTCTTACCAAAATCTAATTTGGTATCAAAGTACTCTTAATCAATCAATATGCCCTTTAAGGCTTGCTGTTTAGCAATGCTCTTGGCATTTTCACTCCCTTGCCATCATTTTGTGGTCTCTGTCCAAACCTTTATGCTTGCTAACATAGCATTTGGTGCAGATCCATCAAATACACCAATGCATGCACATTTCATAAATTACACACAGGGATGAATATTTTTCCTTCTATAAACCATCCTTCTGATATTTTGATTGCCTTACATATATGAGGCAAACAGCCTCTCAGAATATAGATGAGAATTTCATCTAATAAAAAGAATACCTTCCTCTCTAGAAAGGCCCCTGAGATAACTGGAATTTTATCGCAGTTAGCGCAGGGAACAGTAAAAAGATATGATTCCATTTATGCCTCTTGTGAAGCTGTCAGCTGGACAAGGGCTCTGAGAGCCTAAGCTTCCTCCAAATTTCATTTTTTTTTTTGTAAAGTGCTAAGACATGTGTTTTGGGTAGAGGCTGAGGGTTATTAGCTTAGTGCTTCCAAGCACTGCTATGTGAGACTTCTATTTGAAATGACTTTGTAGATATAGTTCTGGGAAAATGGACATAGCGAGACAGTTTCAGGCTAGGTTCTTGCCCTATATGTGTGACTTCAGGTTGGGCTTTCTGGGATTCATTTTTCTTCCCTAAAATCTGAGCTGAAAGGGACCTGAGAGGGTGTCTAGTTCAAATCCTTCCCTTTATAGATGAGAACTCATCTTGGGTTTGGTTCTCCCGAAAGCAGAGCCCGAGATGAGGACTTGGGTGCAGTTAGATTATGTGGTCAGTGATCCAGGAAGCAGAGGTAGGGAGGCTGCAGGGAAGGAACCATGACAAGAATGTGCTACAGAGAGGTTGTCACTGCAGATAACTGGGTCTCATTGCACCTGGGGACCTGCTGAGGAACTGTCTAGAAAGCCTCTCAAGTTTGAAGTGCACAAGTGCACAATGCTGGGGCATTGATCTCCCCACTCTTGCCCGCTTTGGTCAAGGGTTGTCTCTAGGGGCACTGACCCCCCACACCAGGTGGGGAGGCGTACAGAGGCTGTGAGGGACTCCCTCCTAAGCCACCCTGTCCAAAGCTCTATTAAGCACCTGTGTTTGCTGCTGCCACCTTGTGGTCCTATCTTTCTCCTTGATCAGCCTCAAATCCCTCTAAGCCTGGCAGAGAGGCAGAGGGAAACCTACCGTCAAAGGTGTGATCTTTAACTTAATGACCAGAAGACAGGAAGGGGCAAAATGTCTCGCTCTTCAACCCCACATAAGCCCTGGAGGTTTATGGAGATGAGGGGGCCACCATCCAGAAGGGGAGGAGGACAGGCGAGCTCCTGGAGACAGGAGGATGTATCACCAGGCAGCCTAGTGTGGTGTCTTTGGGTTCAGAGATCCCAGGGCCACACTGTTTGGGACCTCACTACTGCCAGGCCTATCTTATCAACAGGGGACAGCTGTGGGATGAAGTTGCACCGGGTATGCAAAGCAGGCAGGCTCTAGATGGCTAAACATTTGCTTGTTTGGGCTATATTTAAAATTGAATATATCAACATTTGCATATGGTGTCAGCGGGCTGATCTAATGAGTCTCAGCCAACAGTAAATAAATAAACAACCTTGGTGCCAATGCACAGAGGCCACTGTTAGCTCACTTTTGTGATAATCTGAGCAACCCATATCCAGCTGTGCTGAACTGACAGTCACTGGTCTCCAAACGGACAGCCCCACCATTTCCCCGCATCTAAGCCTTCACTGAGAGTGCTGTCTCCCTCCTGCAGCCACCCGGTGGATTCTAGCCTTTCCTCTCCTGAGAGCCCAACTCAACACCATCTACTCAGGCTACCCAGACATCCTAAAGGCTGCCTGCCACCCTACTCTCTCCAGCTCTTTCTCTTTTTTATCAGGTCAGCTGGGATCCGACCTACATCCGCTACTAGACCATGAGCTGTCGGAGGGAAAGGGTACTAGGGACTAAGCTGTATCCTCCCAAAATTCATCTGCTGAAGCCCTGCCCTCCATGTGACTATATTTGCAAATGGAGCCTTCAGGGAGGTTATGAAGGTTTAATGGGCTCCAAATGGCTGGTGTCCTTATAAAAGGAGGAGACACCAGAGCTCTCTCTTGCACACACAGTGAGAAGACTGCAGACAGGACTCCCCAGAAACCAGCTCTGCGGGCACCTTGATCTTCCAGCTTCCAGAACTATGAGAAAATAAATGTCTGTTGTTTAAGCCACCTAGACTGTGGAACTTTGTTATGGCAATTCAAGCTGACTAATACAGAGACCTATTTCATTCTCCTTTAAATCTCTTGCAGCATCTAGAACAGCGCCAGGCACACAGAAACCCCTCAACAAATGTTGACTACATTGAATTGTAATCCCCAGGTGAATGAAAGATGTGATGCTGCTGGGGCCCTGGATCTGAAATCTCTGACAAATCCCGAAGCCAATCCTGGTCCATGTACACCGGAGAAGATAGCCAGGGTCTGCCAGCCCTCACTCAAAACTGCAAAACCCAAAACGCTCTGAAACCAGAAGGTGTGATGCCAACCCTCATTTAGCAGCAAAGTTTGACCTGAACAGGAGTAAAGCTACTTAAAATTATCTCACTAGATTTTACTATAGCACTATTAATGATTTTGATTACCGGCCACCACCCCAGCTCTGGCAGGAAGTGTTATAAAATCTATAGTTTAGGCATCATACCACCTTTCTAGAATCAAAAAAATGCAAAATTCCAAAAACCCATCTGGCCCCGAGGGATTTGGATAAAGAACAGTGAACCTGTGCTATAGACAGGGTTAATACTAACCTCACAGCTGTCCACTCAAGGAAGAATATGAAAAACACTAATTACCCAGTGTGTAAATAAATTGCAATTGCAATTTGGACAGAAGGGGAAATAACTTTATTCTAAACTGGGGAGGTGTGTGATTGGAAATGAAACATGTTTTTTAACGTGAATGCTACAGATGCCAGTGGGGTTTTTCTTTCCTTTTTTTCTTTTTATTTTTTTGAGCAGTTTATTTCATCAGCCTACAAAATGTGCTGAGTACAGTTTTTAAACATGTAATGAAAAAGTACAAAACTACCTTGGAAAATAGCATCAGTGCAGTTTAAAGTCCAGTTGGCTTTTTATAAATTGCACTTAACAACTGGAGAAATCAATAACAAATACAATTATAAGGACACTAAAAAGTATTCATTATCATTATCAGCATTGCTACCACAAATAATATGAATAAAATTCATTTGCTGAATGTATATAGTATATTTTTAGCAGAGCATCTCAAAACTTTTTGGTAACTAGTGCAATCTCAGCTGTGTGAACCCTCTGCTAAGCCCTATGGGGCATACAGAGTAAAAACGACATAATTTCTGCCCTGGTGGAATTTGTAGTCTCACTGAAGATCAAAACCTAGGACAAGAAATAATTAAGAATAATGCAAGTCAGTATCTAATGAGTGTGAAATACAGTAAGTGCATGCAACAGACTTACTTGTGCTAAGAAGGCTTCAGAATTTGTATGTAGCCTGCGTTTAAAAGGGCATCTGGCTGGAAGACAGTGTTACGGAATGTTTCTTGAGGCTGCGTTTGAATAGCAGTATGCTGTTTTGTTTAGATTTTGTGTTTATTTTGAGTGGCTTGGAGGAGGAGCTTTTGGTAACTTGACAGAGGGTGGTACTATGCAAGTCACACTTTAGAGTCACGCCACTGCTGCTTGGGTTTTTTTGGAAAAGGGAGAGGTTTATCATGGCTGGGACCATCAGTTCTGGAAGTCTTCCAGGAAAAAGGTGCACTGGAGCTGGACTTACAGGTTGGGTGGACTGTCGATGGCCTAGAGAAGGAAGAAGGCATTTGGAGTTGAGTGTTGGGGCAGGTCACAGTGAGAAATGGACTTGACTCAGTTGGAGAAATCTATCTTGGGGGCAGGAGATCAGAGCATTCATTCTCAGACAGACCAGAAAGACCCATTCACAAATGAGAAAAAGGGAGTCTCCTATATCTCACCAGACTTCAAGAGAAATTAATTGCCTGCAGAATTTCAGTAACTGCAGACCCCACGTTGGGCATGATTCATAACCAACCTATTGCACCTCCTTTCTCACTAAGGGCACGGTCTTGACTGTATTGTTTACACTATTAGAGGTAATCATTTGGACTCGTAGCTTAAGGAAGAGGATGCCACACCATTAGTAACAGGCAGCAGGGTGCCTGCAGAGCCTTAGCAGCGTCGAAGTCCAGTCGAGAGGCCATATTATCCAGAGCAGCAGAGTCAACCCCGCCTTGACTGTTGCAAAATTAAATGAGATGATACAGCAGAGGGCTGGCACTCTACAAATGCTAAGTGCTGCATCTCAACAACTGAAGCATTGCAGCCCATAATACGTATCATATTCTTCCAGTGAAATTGTGTAATTTCCCAGAAGTGCTCAGTTTCTATTCCTAGTTAAGTTCATTCTGGTCTGGAAGAACAATTTTTTTTTCCCTCAAGGATCTAACATCTTTTTGATGCCATCATTATTCCTTAACAATAGCAATGCACATTTGTTTGGTGTTTTGCAAGCCTGTCTAGTTTTACTTGGTCCTCACCATAGCCCATAGGCACTAGACAGGGATGCTTTTCCTTTTTTAAATTGAGGTATAACATGCATGCAGTAAAACGTGTCAAGTGTACAGCTTGGTGAAGTTTTACCTATGTTTGCTCCTGTATAGCCCCACCAGCTGAAGATACAGAGCATTTCCAGCATCTCACAAGGTTCTCTCACGCCCCTTTCCAGTCATTGTACCCTCAGAAATAACCACTCTTCTGACTTCTAACACCATCCATTCATCTTACTGGCTCTTGGACTTCATGTAAACAGAATCATACAGAATGCAGTCCTCTGTGCCTGGTTTCTTTCACTCAACATAATGTCTATGCGATTCATCATGTTGCTGCATATTTTAGCAGCTCATTCTTTGTGAGTACTGGGTAATGTTTCATTGTGTTTCAGTATGCCACAGTGTATCCATTCTTTTGTAGGAAAAGATTATTAAACAAATTTACAAAGGAAGAAACCCAGGACCAGAGTGACTAAGTCCCTGGCTCCAGATGGCACAGGTAGGAAGGTCAAGATTTGAACTCAGCATATTTGGCTCCAAATTCCATGCCCTTTCTAAGGTGCCACGCTGAAGCGGTGCTTCTAGAAACTTTTTTGGGGGCTTGCAGAATTTTGAACTACATGATTTATAGTCTCTTAAATCACTGGCAGGGAATAAGTAGTTCAGTCAATAAGCAAAAGCAAAAACTAAAAATCCCATTTTGGTGGGAATCTTCATGTGAAAATGTGGCCATGTATTTAAAATGAACACCGAGCACATGGTTGGCTTTGAATAAATGCTTAATGGTCCTGAGCCATATGGAAGAAGAGGAGGTGGAGAAGAAAAAGTCTGGGAGTGGTGAATGAATTCAATTCTCAACTCTACATTTACAGCTACAGTGTAAGCAAGACTGGGAGAGAGGTACCATTTTTTTCTCGCAGAGTGGTCAGTCTGCAGTGGACTAGCCTGGGGTGTGTGTGTCTGTGTGTATGTGTGTGAACTTAGCATGCCACTAATCATGCCCTAATATGCATGTGGGCATATGCCTCTCCCTGCATTGGAAACTGAGCTACTTTGCTCTGCCCCTGCAGGACCTGGCTTTCAAGGCCTCTCTCTCAGGAGCCAGCTGTGGCCACCCCAGCTGTTTTCTTAAAGGACCAACTGCAGAGTCAGATGAGAGGTGCTGGAGGCAGCTCAAGAGTGATTTGTGGAAAACCCTGGAGGGAAAAATGGATCCAGGCAAGGATTTAGGGCAATTAAAAAAAATAACAAATCATTTCATGGTAAATGCTACTAGTCAAATTCCAAGTCTGGGGCCAAGAACTAGAGAAATTCACGTGCAGCAAAAATGCAAGGGACGAAATCACTCAGATTGAATGCGCTTTCCCAACAATGTGTGCTAAATACAGACATTTCCAATTGCTTCTTGGCCTTTTGGCCAAAATCAAGGGTAAATACAGGTATCTCCGCTGTCAGGAAGAGGTGGCCTCTTCTATCACTTAGCAGTGAAATTCTCTTTCCTGCAAGAGGAGTCTCCCAGCCACCCAAGTTACAATGGGGAAATAAAAATCAAGTTTTCTCTCTGTCAGTTCCTGTGTCCGCCTTCAGACACCCTCCCCTCTTATGCCATTTGTCTCTCTTCCCAGCCCAGTATGTAAAGCTGCTCCTGGCTGCCCAGTGGGCAGGGTCCCACTCCTGGACGCATGCCTTTCATGCCCTTTTTCTCCCACAGAGACTCTTAGTTACCACCTCCCTCCAACTCCAGCTAGTTCTCCTTTCTTTTCTGTCCTCAAGCTAGCCTGTCTCTGTCCTGTGTGCAAATGCCCTACCCTCACCAGAAATGTTCTGGCAAACTAATCTCTGATGCGGCCATGACCCAGATGTGGGCCAGTACCTCCATAGACAAACCTCCTTAGGTTTTTGTGCCACCAGGGCACTCCTGGAGATGGACATGTGGGTGGTTTCCAGGCTTTTGTTATTTCCAGTTATGTTGCTGGGAATAAATCCACACAGTTGACTCATTTGTGTGTATATCAGGAAAGTGAATACATATACATGAAAGTCCATATATATACATTTATGAGTATATCAGGAAAGTGAATTCCTAAAGTGGAATTTCTGGTCAAGGGAACATGCATTTCAATATCTGATAGTGGTTTCCATGTACCCAGCACTATCCCAGTCCATGCTACTGATTAACTTCAGAGAGAAGGGGCTGATTGATGGCTCCAGGGCTCAGTTACGGGAGGACAAACCTGACCCTGTTATGTTTCTTGAACTCTTTGGTCTAGGTTTCAAGTCACACTTTAATTTAATGTAATTTTTTTGAGACAGGGTCTGACTCTGTCACCCAGGCTGGAGTGCAGTGGCACGATCACAGCTCACTGCAGCCTTGACTTCCTGGGCTCAGTCGATTCTCCTACCTCAGCCTTCTGAGTAGCTGGGACTATAGGTGTGTGCCACCATGCCCAGCTAATTTTTTCATTTTCTATAGATATGGGATCTCACTACATTTGCCCAGTCTGATCTTGAACTCCTAGGCTCAAGTGATCCTCCTGCCTTGACCTCACAAAGTGCCGGGATTACAGGAGTAAACCACCATATCCAGTCTCAAGTCACACTTTAAATATCAGAATATTTGTTGACACATATGCAGGGATTAAAAGGCACAAAACATCGCTAGACAAGTCAGCGGGGATTACAATTCGGCCATTACTATGTGGCCTCACAATGCTTCCAAGTGTCTATAAAAGCATCCAGGCTAGCATGAGGCTCACTTGATCACCAGGATGTGCGTAGAGTGCTTGAGTGCACTGTCCACACTCCCAGCCTGGAATGTTCTAGCAAACATTTTATCCCATTTCTTACCTCC
Organism: Homo sapiens; assembly: GCF_000001405.40. Lineage (NCBI taxonomy): Eukaryota > Metazoa > Chordata > Mammalia > Primates > Hominidae > Homo > Homo sapiens. The sequence continues at coordinate 50,212,632 of NC_000018.10, read as the reverse complement.
CGGATGAAGCAAGTGGCATCATGTTCATAAAACTGTATCTTCAGTGGTAACAAAAATAAGTGTTCCATTTGAGGCATGTGATTTACATAATCACATTTGGTGGCGCAACAGGGACAGTTCACAGTGCTGCCTCTAGTGTGCCTTGGGACATTGATTAAGAACCCCTGATGCTAAATCCAGGCAGATGCCCCCTGGGGAAAGCAAGAAGTCTGGGAAGGTCCCAACAATGCTTAACGGGAATCCTGACAGGTGAGCAAATCACAGCAGCAGGAATCTGGAAGCAAGATATGAGCAGGTCCAGGCATCAAGGAGAATCTGCTGCAAACATTGGGACCAAGTCATGAAACCTGGGTGTGCAGATAAGATCAGAGATGGAGGGAAGACTGTGATGAGTACGGTGAATCTGGTCTCCAGGAAACCTGGACATAACAGGGAATTGGATAAAGATGAGGGCACTAGAGACAAGAGAAGGATTGAGTTATATGACCAGACTGACAGAGGCTTGTTGTAAGGAATAGCACAGGATCCCAACTACTGGAAGTAGAGTAAAGTTCAAGGGGAGAGGAGCATCAAGACTGGGTGGGACCACTTACTGACTTTGCCTTTAAAACTGTGCAGCTCCTGGGGCCTGGCTTGCTGTGAGCGGTTCCTGGGGTTTGAGGAGTGGCGAGCCAGGAGCTGGACAGTTACTTCTGCAACCACTTGCGGAATAAGCTTTAAGATCAGCTTGAGCAGGAGTGGCAAAATGCTTGAGTCCGATGACAACTTAGATGTGTGAGGATTTTTCAGCCTAATTTATGGAGTAACACATGTTAAAATAGAAGGAGACCATAAACTTTTAGCTAGAGCATAAAAATGTAATCCTAAATGATATGCCTCCCCACACTCCCAGGCTGGCAAGGGTGGGCATGCAAAGATTACTGGAGGCACCAGCAGGTGGGTGCTTATAGATGGCTCTGGAGCGGGGGCACCACCTCCGTCTGTGTGGGCTCTCTTGGGACTAATCACGTAGTGATGTTATTTGCTTTTCTTCACTAGCCTGGGAGCACCCTGGGGTAGAGGTCCTGCCTATCATTTTTTTTTTTTTTTTTTTGTTCTGCAGTGCTTAACAAATGCCTGGCTCTAGGAGTGTTTGTTGAATAAATGGGTGAAGAAAGGAAGGAAGACTTTGTGTCTTATATAACTATGGCAGCTGGCCAGGCATCGTGACTCACACCTATAATCCCAGAACTTTGGGAGGCTGAGGTGGGAGGATCATTTGAGGCCAGGAGTTCAGGACCAGCTTAAGCAACATAGGAAACCCTATCTCTATTTAAAAAAACAAACAAACAAACAAACAGAAACAACATCTCCAGCCCCGTATCTTTGTCTTGGTGGAACGGAACTGCCATTGGACAAAACCACCCTCAGACGTCACCTGTTATGGGCTGAATTGTATCTCTCCATAAAGATATGTTGAAGTCCTAACTGCTAGTACTTTGGAATGTGACCTTATTTGAAAATAGGGTCATTACAGATATAAATGCTAAGATGAAATCATTCTGGGGCCGGGCGAGGTGGCTCCCAGCACTTTGGGAGGATGAGGCGTGCAGATCACCTGAGGTCAGGAGTTTGAGACGAGCCTGACCAACATGAAGAAACCCCATCTCTACTAAAAATACAAAAAAAATACAGCATGGTGGCGCATGCCTGTAATCCTAGCTAGTCGGGAGGCTGGGGCAGGAGAATCGCTTGAACCTGGGAGGCAGAGGTTGCGGTGAGCTGATGTCATGCCATTGCACTTTAGCCTGGGCAACAAGAGCAAGACTCTGTCTCCAAAGGAAAAAAAAAAAAAAAGAAATCATTCTGGATTAGAGTGAGCCCTTACTCCAATATGAGTGGTGTCCTTATACAAAGCGGGGTACAGACAGAGAGACACAGATGCACGAGGTGAACGCCATCTGTGACAGAGGAAGAGACTGAAGTGCTGCATCTAGACAGGATGCCGTAAGGACAAGGGTGGGGGTCACACCCCAGAAGCCCAGGAAGCCCAACATAGTGGGCAGACCCCCAGAAGCTGGAAGAGGCAAAGACAGATTCTTCCCTGCGTGTTTCAAGAGGCTGGCCCAGCTGACACCTTGATTTTGGACTTCCAGCTTCCAGAACTGTGAGAGAATGAATTTCTGTGATTTTAAGCCACCCAGTTTGTGGTTCTTTGCTATGGCAGTTCTGGCAAACCAAGACATCATCCAAACTATCCTGCATGCTGGAAAGAATCAGGCTGGAGTTGAAGAAGTCCCTACAAGTTAGAGAATAAAACGGCTTATATTTTAGCAAGGGGATTGGGAAAAAAATAACCAAATAAATACATAATATGCTAGATGGTGATAATGACATAGAGGAAAATAAAGGGGCCAGGGGATGTGGAGTGCCAAGGGGCCATGCAATGTAAGTGAGGCAAGCAGGGAAGCCCTCACTGAGAAGACCCCTGAGAAGGTGAGAGGGTGAAAACCTTGAAGCCAGGAAAGGCAGAGGCACTGAAGCTGGCCAGACCATGAGGCATTCAAGGAACAGCAAGGGGACTGGAGAGGAGGGGATAAGGGGGCTGTTGGAGCCAAGCCATTGTAAAAAGACTTTGCTGTGTACCCTGAGTGAGATGCTGTCTGTTTCCAGATCCATGAGTTGAATCTCACTCAGAGTAGAAGGCAAAGTCCTTACGAAGTGAGATGGAAACCCTTAGAGGGTGTGTGCATGGGGAGGTCTAGAAAACAGGAAGGAGAATTCCTGGCCAATGGCATGTCTGGAGTTAGGAAGTGTTCGGAGCCCTGGGATAGGAGGCCATAAGGACAACGGTGGGGGTCACACCCCAGGAACAACACTCAGCCTGGGAATAATGGAGAGTTATGACCAGCCAAGTACAAGAAAGTGAAATAACACTCAGACGCACAGGCATGAAAATGAAAATGTTAATGTTGGATAACTTTGTTCACGCACTTTCCCTTTAGTAATGTTCATATTTTAATAATGGATACCTAGAAATACAAATCACCATAGAAAAAGAATAAATCATTTCCCCAGGACAGACCAGAACCAGGGCCAATGTATCTCTTCATAAGCTCCGAAGCTAAGTTGATTTATGCAAAGTTTGAATATGCAAACCAGTAGTTTCTGCACTTTGACATGAGTGCAACTTGACGGCACACTCTGTAAATAGCTCTTGTTAAATCAGTAACATTGGAAAGAGCTGGAGGTATCCTTCATCTTAAATATTCCATCTAGACTTATCTCTGTGGGTCCTTTTAGCCTTTGGATCCCCCAGCCATGGAGGCCGCTTGGCAATAAACGACACCAGGAGAAACCTCAGCTGTGTGGCTGCCCTTTGTGTCTGTAACCATGCAGGGTTTCAGCCTCCATGCAGAGTCAGTGCAACTGACATTTTACCATCAACCATGTGAGGGACACTCTTCTATCATCTGAGAGTTTAGCAGTGAGCAAGACAGACAAGCTCTCTGCTTCAGGGAGCCTGTATTTGAGTTGAGTGGAAGGGGTAGACGGGAAATTATGAGATAGAAATGAGATCATTCTAGAATGTGAAGTGATACAATGAAAGAGAAATGGAGAGAATGCAATAACAGATACGGTTATCAGAGGCATTCCTGATTATGTACTATTCTGATTAGGCTGGAAAGATGAGAAATCACAGGCTTGAGGGTTATAGGGCCACTGCGCCCAGTCTATGGATCAATAATATTTTTAAAAATCAAAATTAATGCAAAAAGTCCACAAAGCATGAAATATCAAAATTTTAAATAAAGACAGGATCTGGCAGTGCTATGCTCAACCATGTTGGAATCAGAGGCCAAAAGAAAAATGTGTGTCTGTATAGACATGCCTTAATGTATTTCTTCAGTGGTTAACTTTTTCCAGAAGTAGATATTATTGATTGATCCAGAAAATATTATTGATGAGCTTGCTTCATTAAAGCCAGTGAAGTTATACTAACTTCTGGTTTTGTTATTATGCAGTTAAAGATTAATTCAGCAGGCTTGAGGTGTCCAACCCTGCACATTCCAAAGAAAGGATGGACCCTTGAGGCTCCCGGGAGATATAACCTGTGAGTTCTTGGAATTCTGCCTGATATGAGTGTCTTTGTCTTCCTAGAGACTTGGACTACCCTAGATAGCTTCTTATTTTTTATTTTAGAGATGGAGTCTCACTCCGTTGCCCAGGCTGGAGTGCAGTGACACGATCATAGTTCACTGCAGCCTCGAATTCCTGGGCTGAAGCCATCCTCTTGCCTCAGATTCCTGAGTAGTTAAGACTATGGGAACATGCCACTACACCCAGCTAATTTAAAAAATTTTTTGTATAGGCAGGATCTTGTTCTGTGCCCAGGCTGGTCTCGAACTCCCAGCCTCAAGCAGTCCTCCTGCCTCAGCCCCTCAGAGCACTGGGATTACAGGCATGAGCTACTGCACCTGGCCTATCCCGGATTTATACTAACGATGTAATTTTTGTTGAAACCTGTTGTTGTTCACCTGGGAACCTGGGCCATGCTGTATTCATTTCACCTCTGGAGGTGGGAGAAATGAAGACTGGCCCCCAGTGAAAACCTTGCAAGTTTGGGTGAGCTTCCCTGCTTGGCAATACTTCCTCCATGTTGTCACACATCATTGCTGGGTGCTCTCCCTACAATTCTCCTTGTTAAGGACAATGGAAGCTTATGTCTCGTCTCTTCTGGACTCTGCCCTGTGCACTTTTTTTCCTTTGCTGATTGTAATCTGCATCCTTTCATTGTAATAAGCCAAAACCATGACTATAACAGCTTTTTTGAATTCTGTGAGTCCTTCTAGCAAATCCTCAAACCTGGAGTCCTGGAGATCCCTTAACACAAGTATAATAAAATATTTAAGCTTAACATAATGTGCATTTTAACAACCCACTTTAAAATTTTTCAATATTTTTTAACTCCTTTAAGATCCTGGGAAAAGTTAACCTTTAAAAATATACAGCTGGGGCTGGGCGTGGTGGCTCACGCCTGTAATCCCAGCACATTGGGAGGCCGAGGCAGGCGGATCACCTGAGGTCGGGAGTTTGAGACTAGCCTGACCAACATGGAGAAACCCTGTCTCTACTAAAAATACAAAAATTAGCCAGGCGTGGTGGCGCATGCCTGCAATCCCAGCTACTCGGGAGACTGAGGCAGGAGAATTGCTTGAACCCGGGATGCGGAGGTTGCAGTGAGCCGAGATCGCGCCATTGCACTGCAGCCTGGGCAACAAGAGCGAAACTCCATCTCTCTCTCTCTCTCTCTATACACACACACACACACACACACACACACACACACACACACACACACATATATATATACAGTTGGGCATGGTGGCACATGTTTATAGTCCCAGCTACTCCAGAGGCTAAAGCAAGAGGATTGCTTGGGTTCAGGAGTTCTGGGCTGTAGTGTGTTATGCTGACCGGGTGTCTGCACTAAGTTTGGCATCAACATAGTGAACTCCCAGGAGCTGGGATCACCAGGTTGCCTAAGGAGGGGTGAACCAGCCCAGGTCAGAAACTGAGCAGGTCAAAATTCCTGATCGAGGCTGTGAACAGCCACCGTACTCCAGGCTGGGCAACATAGTGAGACCCTGCCTCTTAAAAAGAAATACAAGGCTGAGTGCGGTGGCTCATGCCTGTAAACCCAGCAGTTTGGGAGGCTGAGGTGGGTGGATCACCTGAGGTCAGGAGTTTGAGACCAATCTGACCAATGTGGCGAAACCCTGTCTCTACTAAAAATACAAAAATTAGCTGGGCGCGGTGGTGGGCGCCTGTAATTCCAGCTACTTGGGCGGCTGAGACATGAGAATAGCTTGAACCTGGGAGGCGGTTGCAGTGAGCCGAGATTGCGCCATTGCACTCCAGCCTGGGCAACGGAGTGAGACTCCAGCTCAAAAAAAAATGTATATAGGGGCACACATTTTTACCTCTGGCCTTTGGATTCTATATGGCTTAGCATGGCACTCCTGAATCCTGTCTTTATTTAAATTTGTGTTTTTTTTCGTCATGGACCTTTTTTTTTTTTTTTTTTTTTTGCTATTGCATTAAATTATTGTCCTAATGTCTTGAGTACTAAGTTTTCTTGGTGCTTATTTAAATTTTGGGCCTGAGGTGAATGTCAGGGGTAGAGCCTTCCAGGGAAGGAGCCAGTAGCTTCAAATAGCCTGAGGTGAGAATAAGCACAGCATGTTTGAGGAACAGAAAGAAGGGATTGAGGTCGGGAGCTCAAAGTAAGAAAGGAGAAGGGCAGGAAGAGATGAGGTCAAATAAATGGAAGTGGAGAGACCAAGCAGGTGGTTTTTGCAGTAGCCCAGCAGGAAATGGCTGGGGCTGGTGGAGGGTGGCACCACTGGAGATGGAAAAGGTGCCTGATTTGGGATGTGCCTTGGAGATTGAACTATTAGGCTTTGCTGATGGATTAGAATTGAGAATTGAGGAAAATGGGCTGGGCGCGGTGGCTCACACCTGTAATCCCAGCAGTCTGGGAGGCCGAGATGGCGGATCGCTTGAGTCCAGGAGTTTGAGACCAGCCTGGGCAACATGGTAAAACCCCATCTCTATTTCTTAAAAAAATTTAAAAAAAAAAATAGGCCAGGCTCGGTGGCTCGTACCTGTAATCACAGCACTTTGGGAGGCCGAGGCGGGCAGATCACCTGAGGTCAGGAGTTCGAGACCAGCCTGGCCAATATGGTGACACCCCGTCTCTACTAAAAATACAAAAATTAGCTGGGCGTGGTGGCGCGTGCCTGTAGTCCCGGCTACTCAGGAGGCTGAGGCAGGAGAATGGCTTGAACCTTGGAGGCGGAGGTTGCAGTGAGCCGAGATCACACCATTGCACTCCAGGCTGGGTGACAGAGTGAGACTCCATCTCAAAAGAAAAAAAAAAAAAAGAAAAACAGAATTGAGGGAAATAGAGGAATCAAGGATGATGCCTAGCCTAGGATTTCGGCTTGATGGTAAGTGGTGATGCTATGTATCAATATGGTTAAGATTTGGGGAAGAACATGCATGTGGGGTGAAAATTAAGATTTTCATTTTGGTAATATAAGTCAGAGATACCCTTAGACACATATGTGGAAAAGGCAAGTAGGCAGCTGTATGTTTGGGCTGGGCCCCCAAAAGACATTTTATTCTTCTGTAAATCTCTGTAATCTCAGGGAGTGTCTGAAACATAGTGGGTGTTTAACAAATGATGTTTAGATGAATTTTTGTTTAAAGGAATCAGAAATATATAAGACTCAGAGTTAGAAAATGACTTAGGATTCTATGCCACATTTAGATTCTTTTTGGTAGATAACAATTAGTTGCCCAAGAAGGTTGTGGTGGCTACAGGTGATAGAGAAAGCAGTTCATTCAGCCCACGTGCTGCCACTTATTAGACAAGCTTTCAGCGGCAAGCTGGTCCAGAACTGGCTTGGTAAGCTTGATGAGGTTTCAGCACTCTTGCCTTTTAGGGGTTCTGATCACACCTGTAAGGCAGGGTTACTTGAGGCTGCCTGTATACAAGGTTCATTCATTGCAGCATTCAGAGGCAGGAGTTCGTGCTTCTAGTCAGCTTTTTACAACCAGATGTCCTCTTCCACCATCGGCTGGACACCAGGCCAAATTAGGATCCAGCCTTGGGCACCCTCCCTCACGGTGCAGGTTATAGGGCACTCCAGATTCTTGCTCTGGCGTGTTCTGGCAAGAGTGAGGAGTGTCTCTAGCCTACCCCTAAATCTTGAATACCCATCATTTAACCAAAGAGATCCAACTTCTAACATGCATCCTGCAATTTCACAAGTCACCAATAAAAACTCATTTGACATTCAGTCTGTTAGTTAGCCTAGACATGGTGATTGATTGAAATGTGATAGCAGAAGGATGTGTGGTGGCTACATCTAGAGTGTGGCCTTTTGGGATGTGCCCGCTGACTGCCCTGGAATGGAGATTCTTCACAGCCTGTCACCTGGCCACCCCTAGAATTTAAGCTCAAATTAACTGAGTGGGACTGTAGTATTTCAGAGTATATAACAGAAAATCTTCCCTAGTTCCCTGATCTTTGAAAGTGGTAGATGGAAGAGCCAATCCTCTCATTTTACTAATGAGAAATCAGAGGCTCAGAGAGGAAGCGGGACCGCCCAAAGTCACCCCCGTGGTTGGCGGTGCGGCAGCTCTTGGCCTGGGCATTTCTGGGAATAGGAAGATGATAGGGGCTCCCGAGACCCGCTTGAGTAGCAGAGAATTTCACAATCTCTCCCCACCTGCCTGGCTCAGAAAGTTTACCCTTCACCCCACATCACCTGGTAATAAATCAAAATGGAACCATTAAACCAAAGCCTTGCTGTGGGGACCATGTTTCAACCTGATTCTAGGGGAGACTTCCTCTCAGGTGAAGTGAGAGGGATTGAAAAATGAGAAAACGCAGAAACAGAACTAGCTGTTGGGAAAAGTGTCCAGAAGAGGGCGTGAGACGCTGGGGATAAAACATTCCCGCGGCCTCTGCGATCTTCCGGAAAGGGACCGGCAGCTGCTTAGGTGAGAGCCGATTGTGGTGAGGGGCAAGTGTCTGTTGGAGGACTGGAGGCTCAGAACACTTCAGTGGGGTGTGGAGGAGACTGTGCGTTCGCCGACGGTGGTATCACATTTCCTCTGATCCATGTCACCTCATTTTTCTCCTCCCTCCTCTCCATCCAAGCTCCAATAGACTCGTCATTTCATTCTGGGGTTGGCGGGGAGGTGTCATTACAGTTATTTATATACAGCCCGTGAGCCCTGGGAACAGCCTCTAGGGGCAGGAATTTTGGAGGTTCTGCGAAAGCATAAACCACACTGTTATGCCTCCCTCTTCTTCAAAGAGAAGAAGCTAGCCCCACCACCCCTTTTCAGCAGTCAGGATGCCTCCTAGGAAGCAAAGCCGCTCATTCCATTTCGGATTAAAGGCGAGGTTTATGTGAAACACCCCCCAAAGGAAGCACATGACTTACAGTCGTACTGAGTTGTAAGAAACTGATATCAAACCTTCCTAGGGAGCAAGCTTTAAGATGCGGGTTTCCTCCCTCAAGGCTATCAATCCAGCATTTGTGACAACAGCTCTAAGCTTTCTTGGGCACCATAAGCCAGGTGTAAGGAGGGCAGCCACCAGGGAACCACCAGTGATTCCAAGCAGGGGTACAGCCCACCCTCCACCCGGTGGCAAAATAGCATCCTTGACAGTGATAATCCAGCCTCTGCTTGCATTCTTCCAGGGACAGCACGCTCAATTCTTCATGAGATGCCTGGTCCTCTCTTGATGGTTTTTCTTATTTGAATGTTGTACTTATGCTTCATGGTTGTCCAGGATTTATTACCCTGAAACTTCCTCCCTGTGGGCCTGGCCTCTATTAATCAGCTTAATCTCTCTTTCACAAAACTGATTTTTAAGTATTTAAGAACACGATGTCCCTATCTCTCTTGTTGGGGGTCCCCAGTCCTCACCATTCCTCAGACCTCAGAGTCTTTTTTTCCTAAACTAAACAACTCCAATAACCTCCACTCATCCTCACATGTTAGAGCTCCACCATGGAAGAATGTTGGAGCGGAAGTCTGGGTCAGGGGGTCGGGGACTGTGCCAGGGCCTCCCCGTACAAAGAGTAACAGAAGTTACTGCTGAAGCTGCAGAGGCTGGGTGCTAACTTGAAACAGGTGAAAAAATAAGTCTGTATTGTCTCAAGAGAGACTTGGAGATGAGCATAGACTAAACTGGCAGGCTGAAAGCGTTTCACAGCATCAAGATGGTTAACACCAATTTAAATCCTGAATTCCTAAGAAAGTCCTAATGTGAGGAGCTGTGGAAGTGGCTGTCCTCCACCCCAGGGGCTTTAGACTTTCTTGCTTTTTTTTTTTTTTTTTTTTCTGCCAGGGTCTTGCTCTGGTTGCCCAGGTTGGAGTGCAGCGGCATGACCACAGCTCACTGCAGCCTTGACCTTCTGGGTTCAAGCAATCCTCCCATCTCTGCCTCCTAAGTATCCGGGACTACAGATGCATGACACCACACCTGGCTAATATATTTGTGTAGAGATGGGGTTTCCCTATGTTGCTCAGGATGATCTGAAACTCTTGGGCTCAAGTGATCCTCCATCTTGGCCTCCCAAAGCGTTAGGGTTATAGGTGTGAGCCATCATGCCCAGCTGACTTTCTTGCTCTTATATTCTCAAAATGAATTTTTTAAAAGCTGTATGTCTCCATACATTTTGGATATTTTCTAAGTTTCCATAGTTGAAAAGGATGTAATTTTGCTGTATCTAGTCACTTAAAATACTATATTACTGTTTTAAATGAACCCAATGGACTCTAACTGTCCTAGCAATTTGATAACTTCCATTGCCCATTTTTAAAATACACAAACAAGTTATTTAAATCAATTATTTTTTGTTCCTTAAGCCTGAAACTCCATTCCACTTTTTCCACGGAATTTTATCCTACATTTTTTTGTGGTAGAAGTCCTTTTAATAACCACCCTATAATAATTAACCACAACAAAAATAGCTATATAAATTAATATATTTTAAAAATTTCCAGTGGTCTAAGTATTAAAATTATTTTGAATTATCACAAATAGTATTACTGCACAGCTTCAAAAATCTATTCCTATTTTTGTTATAAGTGCTGAGAGGAATCTTGTTTGCATAAATAAATAGATAGGAAGGCAAGTTTTGTTGGAACAGCGTCCTTCAATTCTTTGAATTCCTTCTGAGTTGCCAAAAATTACATAGTGATCCATCAAAAGATTGTTTTTAATAATCTGTCAGCTGACCACTGGCTTAAGTCCTGCTTCAATTTTGTTGATAGCACAGAAGTGGAAACTACTTGAGCTGCAAAAGAATTTGTGGCCCCTTCTTTAGTTACTTGCTTTCTCAACACCAAATTTCTAAGTGTCCTTGTGTGTGGCATCATGCTTTGGCTACCTGGGCAAACCACCATCCTACTACTCAGGAGGTCTGAGAATGTGTCTTTTGCAAAGGGAGAGAAAGGGACCTGGGAACTGAGACCTGAGAATGACCCTTGCCTAATTGCAGGCCTGATTTTTTTCAAATCAGTGTTTAGGAAGAAATACATATGGAGGTATAGGATCTGGACACCAATTCCTTTAAAACAAAATATGGGAATAACAACATGAATAGTCTTGGTGTACAGGGCCCCACAAACCCCAATTTGAAGATGGCCACTTTAGTAGGTATTTGGGGAATGAACCTGCCATCATGAGGAGAGAATTTGCTAGAATGAAATTCTTATCAGTAAGCCAAGGATCACAGAACACTTTTGTATATAATTATATTAGTCATCTATCACTACATAGCAAATTATCCTCAAACGTAGTGGTTTTAAACAACACATTTATTATCACACAGTTTACATGGGTCACAGAATTATATCACAGTTTCTTTAAGGTAGATGCAGCTTTATGGGATCCTTGCTTCAGGGTGGATCACATGGTTGCAATCAAAGTGTCAGCTGGGGATGAGGTCTCATCTGAAAGCTCATTGTATTACTCAGGGTTATCTAGAGGGACAGAACTAATGGAATATATATATGAGTTTATTCAGTATTAACTCACACAATTACCAGCTCCCACAGTAGGCCGTCTGCAGGCTGAGGAGCAAAGAGAGCCAGTTGGAGTTCCAAAGCTGAAGAACTTGGAGTCCGATGTTTGAGGGCAGGAAGCATCCAGTAGGGGAGAAAGATGTAGGCTGGGAGGCTAGGCCAGTCTCTCTTTTCCCATTTTTCTGCCTGCTTTTTATTCTAGCCATGCTGGCAGCTAATTAGATTGTGCTCACCCGGATTGAGGGTGGATCTGCCTTTCCCAACCCCACTGACTCAAATGTTAATCTCCTTTGGCAATACCCTCACAGACACACCCAGGATAAATACTTCATATCCTTCAATCAAGTTGACACCCAGTATTAACAATCACACTCATTTGGACAAGAATCTCCTTCCAAGCTTACTCACATAGTTGTTGGGAGAATTTGGTCCCTCAAGGGCCATTGGACTGAAGCCTCCCTTATTTCCTTGCCATATGGGCCTTTCCACAGCAACTCTTCCTCAGGGCAAGCATATGACAAGAGCCAGAGAGAGTTCCAGTAAGACAAAACTCACAGTCCTTTATAATTTAATGAATCTGGCATGCCATCATTTTTGCTGTATTTTATTGTTAGAACCAAATCTCTAGGTCTAGCCCACACATAAATGGAAGAGATTACACAAAAGGACACCATTAGGAGGTGAGAAATATTGGGAGCCATTTCAGAAGCAGCCCATAATCAGGCTTTAATGACCACCTGTTGGGGAAAACAACTTCAACCTTATTCCCATGTCTCAGGGACTACTATTTCAACCATATTTCCATTTCTTGGATACAATGTGGAAAACTCAATTCAGTACTCAAATCTGTATGAGAGAAGCAGTGGATTGCCAGCTGGCTGAGGGTGATGAGGACATTATGGACCTCTGGAAATGAGAGAGGACCTGCAGAAGTTCAATGACTGTGCTGGCTGCCTCACAGGATAATGAGTTCTCCATCCGCAGCAGTGTCTAATCAGAGACTGGGTGGTCCCACATTTGGGAAGGTGAGCATTCTTGCACTGGGCATTAGGCTAGATGACCTCCACCCCAAAAACTGTGATTCAGGGTCAGTGAGTCCATGCCCAGTTTTTAGTTCAGGGATAAGTTTGTTTTCTCCCACCCTTTCTTCCATGCAGGTAAAGTTGTCCCCTTTTCATGTTTAGGGAGTTTATATTCCAACTGTGAATATACTTTATGGCTCCTCATCCAGATCCAGAATTCACTTTATTCATTCCCTTGCCCTGGTTTGGGGGGGCCAGACCTCAGGAGAAATCCTGACATAATTTAAGACAAGTTTTCTGGAAGAGACAGAATTTGGAGAGAAAGGAGTCTAACGGATTATGTTATTATTGAAAACATTTGCTGTCCTGTTCTGGTTGCTCCTCCAGTCAGTGCCCTGCCCTGATAATTTCAGAAGCAGCCCTGCATCTTGTTTTGGCCAATGAGATGTGAGTGTATCCCTCTCAGTATTGAAATGTGAGTCAGTCCTCAAGCAGAAGCTTTAGAAGCTGGAACGGGGTTTGCTGCATCTCTTTTCCTTCCACCACAACACAGGGAAGCTTCCAGATGGGAGCCCAAAGGAAAGTCTCTAGAGCAGAGCCGCATCCAACCCACGGTAGGTACGTAATATGAGCAAGAAAGACAGCCTTTGTTTAAGGAACTGAGGTTTTCAGGATAGAGCAGGAAAGGGGGAAGATATGAATCTGTTTGGTAAAGGAGAGGATATAAGAAAATTATTATTATTTTTGGAAACAGAGTCTCACTCTGTTGCCCAGGCTGGAGTACACTGGCACAATCTCAGCTCACTGCCCCCTCCGCCCCCTGGGTTCAAGAGATTCTCCTGCCTCAGCCTCCCAAGTAGCTGGGTCTGCAGGCATGCTAATTTTTGTATTTTTAGTAGAGATGGGGTTTCACCATGTGGGCCAGGCTGGTTGTGAACTCCTGACCTCAAGTGATCCGCCTCAGCCTCCCAAAGTGCTGGGATTACAGGTATGAGCCACTGTGTCCAGCCCATAAGAAAATAATTTTAACTGTCACTGTATAGTTTATAAACCGCTTTCACAGAAGGGCCAGTGAATAAGAAGCCTTCTTCTTAGTGGAATCCCTCCTCTCTTTCTTTGCTTATGCAAATTTTTCTGTTTAGTAATCCCTTTATTTTCTCTTTTCCACTAATTAATGAGCAGTACTTCCTTTAAGACTTGGCTCAAAACATATCTCTATTTACCTACTATTTACTGTGATCAACTTTGTGCAAGTCATGTTCTAGGAAGTGCAGAGGACACAAATATGGATCAGGTGTGGTCCCTGCCCTCAAGACTCTTAGAACCTAGTGGTGAGGAGGAGAAAGGGATATTAGTTCACATATCATACAGGGTGCAAATGAATGCCTTGGAAGTTCACTTTTTATTATTTGTGTGAGGGAAATCCTCACCTGTCAGGAAGGAGACTAAGGCATTTCCAACAGGTATCTTCTTTTTACTTTGAGAAGCCGTGGAGCACAGAGCAATGTTTCTCAAAGTGTGGGCCCTACACCACCTGGGATATGTATTAAATTTGCAGACTCATAGGCCGGGCATGGTGGCTCACGTCTGTCATCCCAGCACTTTGGGGGCCAAGGTGGGCAGATCACCTGAGGTTGATCCATCTCTGCTAAACCCCGTCTCTACTAAAAATACAAAATCAGCCAGGCATGGTGGCGCATGCCTATAATCCCAGTTACTCGGGAGGCTGAGGCAGGAGAATCGCTTGAACCCGGGAGGCGGAGGTTGCGGTGAGCTGAGATGGCACCACTGCACTCCAGCCTGAGCAGCAAGAGCAAAACTCCATCTCAAAAAAAAAAAAAAAAAAAAATTCAGACTCATTGATCATGTCTCTGACCAACTGAATTAACATCCCCTGATAGCCCCTTAATCCTGGTACACACTGAAGTTCAACATCCATTGACATAAAAAGCAAGGGTTAGACGCTCGAGTGAGACTTTAATTGAACAGTAGCTGTCTGACCTAGAGTGTTTTTCACACCCTTCTTCCCTAAGCCTCACTTTGCCCATCTGTGAAACAGCCTTAATATTCTGAACCTCCTTTATAAGGTTGCTCTGAGGCTTCAACAGGATCACAGAAGTAAAGCGCTTGGTATGTTTCCTGGATCAAGTAAGTTTTAAAATGTCTTTATTGTTCAAAGGAGGGAAACACCATATCTGATTGTGGAATTAGAAATTCACAAAGCTCTGGCCAAGTGTAGGACTCAGGAATGCGATTCAGTTCAGTTAACATGAATTGAGCTTTTCATTTGTGCCAGGTGTGATGGAAGCCAGACAGTTGGAACCAGTTACGGGTGGGGAGAAAGGATGGAAACAAATGAATGTCAGGTTGGTCCGAGGTCCAAGTGGCATTGTTACCATTGCCTATCTGCAGGTGGAAAGGTGGATCTTGAGTAAGGTTAGAATTAGATTTGAGAATTAGCATTGTGAGCAAGAGACAAAATGGGGGCGTGGCTGAGAAGAAAGATGAGATCTCTGAAATGGAGCATAGTTTTATTCAGAAACCAGGAAGAGGACGCAGGCCTAGAAAATAATGTTGAGAAGGTTTGGTTAGAGAGGCTGAGAAAACAAGAGAAAAATAGTACTCAGGGAAGAGATGGTTTAACGTAATGGGTTGAATCAATTCCCACCCCATGCTTCACAGTGATGAGGCAATTTCAATAGGATAGGTCTGAGTGGAAGCCAAATAAGAAGAAATTAGAACAGCAACATTTATTTATTTATTTATTTATTTATTTATTATTTTTTAAAGATGGAGTCTTGTTCTGTCACCCAGGCTGGAGTGCAGTGGTGTGGTCTCGGCTCACTGCAACCTCCACCTCCCAGGTTCAAGCGATTCTCCTGCCTCAGCCTTCCAAGTAGCTAGGATTACAGGCATGCGCCACCACGCCCAGCTAATTTTTGTACTTTTAGTAGAGACGGGGTTTCACCATGTTAGCCAGGCTGGTCTTGAACTCCTGACTTCAAGTGATCGGCCCACATTGGCCTCCCGAAGTGCTGGGATTATAGGCATGAGCCACCACACCCGGCCAGAACAGCAGCTCTTAAACTTGGCTGCCATTAGAACCATCTGGGAGCTCTTCAGAATCCTTTCACCCAGGGCAACACCCCCCAGACAAGTTAAATCAGAATTTCTGGGAGTGGGAACCAGACATCCACTTGTTTCAAAAGTGATTCTGATGTGCATAAAGTGTTGAGAATCAGAGAATTAAGGAGGTACTGGGCGTAAGTGGAGATAGCTAAATAAGTGAAGCTACTGCTTTAAGAAGTTTAGCAGGAGAGGAAAACACAAAAAGCCAGGGGCCAGTGGAGAGAGGAAGAGTTGCTGGTAGAGAGATGGGACCACTAATGGTGGTGGAGGAAGAGGCCAGGATCTAGGCAGGACTGATGACTTTCTTATTCAAAAAGGGGAGAATCACCTGGAGGCAGAAAGAACAATGAGTACTGGCCCCACACCAGAGTTTATGGTTCAGTAGGTCTGCAGTGGAGCCCAATAACTTGTATTTCTAACAGTTACCAGGTGATGCTGATGGTGGGCGTGGGGGGTGGGGACACACTTTAAGAGCTACAGGAATCCGGGGAAGGGAAATATGCAGAAAAACTTTTGAGGAAGAGAAAAAAATCCCTTTCTGCTCTTGCCACTGATGTGAAGAGTTCCATTTTTAGGTCCAATGAGAGCCGCCCAAGCTTTGGTCAATGCATTTGTCACCCTGGAAGTACCATCCTTTAGACTTTCAGAGGAGCTTTAAAAATTGGGATACCCAGGTCCCATCCTTCATTATATCAGAATTCCTTGGGTTGGGGCCTCTTCCTTGGAACGCTTAAAGCTCCCCATGTGACTCTCATTGTGGAGGTGCCCATGGGAAGGCCTGCACAGGTGAATTACAACGGGATCTTGAGTTCCAGGTGGGATGCCTCTGAGAATCACCTTCTGGGGCTCTTGAACAACTGCCCCGGCTGGTACAGATATATCTTCCGGTTGAGAACCACTTTTCAGGGGCCACCCCTGGGTCAGGGACAGATGTCAGCTTCAGAAGGGAGTGTCTCCTCTGACAGCCCCTCGTCTCCCTCCACAGACTTCTGGCAGTTTTTTTTTTTTTTTCTTGGTTGAAATTTCTACTTTTCACTGGAAGTAGGAGAGGAGCTGAAGTTGCTGCAGGCAGCCAAGTGCCATGGTCAGAGAGGGAACACAAATAAACGAGGTAGTGAGTGGCAAAAGGACCCGGAGTCTGCATGTAGACGAGACGGGGGTTGGGAGAACGTGAGACTTCCCGGAAAAGCAGAAGCCCTCTGAGATGAGTGGCCTGGAGTCTCCTTGGAGGCTGTGGGCGAAAGTGGACAATATTTGTACAGAAGGAGTTACGACTCCCACTTTACTGACAAGGATTTCCGCGCAGAGAGTTCAGTTTGAAGGAGAAGATCCCTGGTGTATGTATATCCAGGTCGCCTTAATAACGATCTACGAGTAACTGAATTTTAATCATGAAAGCGCTGAATACAGCCAGGTAAAATCGAGGGCAATGTCTGGGGCCTTCCAGCCATAGACGCTTCTCTTTTTTCCCCCCTCTCTGGTTAGTTCCTCTTCCCTTTTCTTGTCTGCACCGCGTTCATGCCGGACTCCGCGGGGCCCGGTGCGGGTGGAAGCGGAGCGCGGCAGGGCAGGTGCGGGCGCCGGGGCGCACCTGTGCCTGCGCGCGCGCGGCGTCCAGCAGGGGGCGGCCCGCGCCGGTCCCGGAGCTCCTCTCTGAGCGCCCCGCCCCCGGCCCGGAGGCCCAGGTGGCAGCGGGGGCGCGGGAGGGCGCGTCGGGCCGGGCACCGGCAGGGCTCAGAGGCGCGGCGGCGCACGGGCCGTCCGCTCTGACGCGAGCGGGTCCTCCCTCCTCGCCGGCCCTCGCCTCCTCCCCACACCTGGGAGGGGAGTGGTGCGGCGCGGCCTCCTCCCCCGGCGCTCGCAACTCCTGTCCGGCCGTAGCTGCGCCGCCGCGGCGGGAGTAAAGGTCGCGCCGCCGGGAGCGAGCCGGCCGCGGCGCCTGCGGGAAGCCGGCGGGGCAGGTCGGAGAAGAGCGAGAAGATCGAGAAACTCCAGGCCAGCCCGGGAACATGGCGCCAGGCGGGCCAGCCGCGGACTGAGAGCCGCGGGGCAGCCAGGAGCCGGGGCCCGAGCCCCGCCCGGCCCGGGCCATGTCGGTGGGCGAGCTCTACAGCCAGGTGAGCGCGGCCGCGAGGGAGGCGCCCCGGGGCCGGGGTGGCGCGCTCGGGGCCACCTAGTACTCAGGGTCGCCTTCTCCCTCGGCTACTGGAGGCGGGAGGTGACGGGAGACCCCCCTCCGCGGTGTCCTCCTCGTCACTGTCCTCGGAGTCCCTAACTTCGGTTGGCGGAGAAAGTTTGGCGGTTCCGGGAACGCCCGCACTGACCGGCCACCCGGCTCCTAGAGGTTCCGCAGCGCCACGGCTCAGCACCAAGCCAGGGCTGTCGCCCCCTCCCCGCCGCGCCCCTCACTTTCGTTGCCTGGGCTCGGCTCCAACCGAGTTCCCCGAACGGCAGGGCGACCCTGCCAGCTCTGAGCGCCGTGCGCGGGACGGGCCCCCGCGGTGCTCCCGCTGCTGTCCCCTGTCCCCGCCGTGGACCCCACCCCAGGGGCTCTGCGGCGCCGGCTCTCGAGGGCGCGCCTCCGAGGCGTCCTTTCCTCCCGCATACCCACAACAGGGAACCCTGGACTTGGGAGAGGTGGGGGTTCTGGACTTGGTGGAGAGGGAGGAGACAACCTGGCGTGAGGGCGCGGCGGCTGGATGGAGTGAGGGTAAGCAATGGGTAGAGGGGTGCGCCGTTATCTCCGGAGACCCCAGGGAAGAGCATTGTGAATTTGCTGGGGATGGATGTTTTGACGCGGCCTCTTTGGTACAAAGAGGGCTTCAGTGACTGCGGGGAGGGGGTTGGAGTAAAGTCGAACCGGGAGCAGGGTGTGAGTTTCAGGATGCCTTCAAGGTCAGAAGGGATGTGTGAGGCTGGGTGCTCCGAATCGGGAACAGGTGCAGCCCGGGCGGAGACGCCCGCGTTCCGCAGCAGTTGCTGTGGTTAAAGTTAGGGACAAGCCACCGCTTCCAGGGGAGCTCGCGGCAGCGCTGCAGCCGCCCGGGACCCCTCGAGTTTCAACCTGGAGTCAGTAGTGAGAGGGGCAAAGGCCTTTTCTTCACATGTGCCCTATGCACCTTTAAGAAAACAAGTTTTGGATAGTCCAATGCCTGGTTTTCCTGTTCGTCTTCTTGGGTGGCCAAAACACGTTTAACAGTGCCTATGCACACGCCTCCATGCAGAGTTGTGTGTGCGTGTGGTGTCCACGCGCGTTGCGTGGGTATGCGATTCCCGGGACACCCGCCCGGGCCAACAGGTCTGGGCTGGGTAGGAACAGTCACTTCCGCGTCCTTACCTGGCGATCACACGCGGCTGTCTAGCCCATGTGGGAGCCCTTCGGCTCCGTGGGCTGGCCACCCTTCTAAGTTTGAGGAATTATTCAACTCTCCCATTCCTCCTGGAGGGGAGCAGGGCCGGGATGAGTTCATGCTCAGGAAGGTGGCCGCGGAGGCTGTCACCTGGCTGGGGGTGGGGCCGCAGCAGCCTCAAATACAGCTTCCGAGCCCACCAGGGGCCACCTGTGCAGCGATCAGGGATGGGCGACGGCCTCTGGGGGAGGAGGGGAGGAGGTGGGAGCCAGGGCGTGAACTCTGTGACAGTCCTGGCCCTGGAACGGCACCCCACCCCTCTTAGCTGTGGAGGTATTGGGAGGATCCCTAAAAGCTCAGCTTTCAGTTCTTTCACTGAAGCCGGTTAGGTTTTCAGGAGCTGGGACTGGAGGCTGGAAGCCAGTGAGGCAGGGGAAAAATCTGAACTGGAGTGCTCAAAGAGCCGAAGCTTTGTTACATTAAAGTGCATGGAGATACAACTTGTGCTCCTAAGTAAAAGGAGTGACTCAACTGAATATACCTACAATGTGTCAAAGTCCTTTGTCAGGCAATATTGAATTGCTGTATTATATGAGGGGGAAAGTTTGTGGGGGAAAAATGGAGTTAAAAGATTAAAAATATAAACTTTATTTCTCAACACAGTTTCCATCAAGTTCAAGACACTTTTTTAAGTTATACCAGCCACTTAGTTCGTCCCTAAAGAACTGAGGGTCCTGGGAATTTAACCATGTCAATGCAGTCTCTTTTACATTATTAACTGGAAAAGATGCAGGTCATTTAGTTCAAGATTAGGACACAAAGTCAGAAGGAGCCAAATCAGGACTGTGAGGTGGACGCCTAATAGTTTTCCACAGAAACTCTTGCAAAATTGCTCTTCTTTGAGAGGAATGAGAAGGAGCATTGTTGTGGCAGAAAAGGACTTTCTGGTGAAGTTTCCTGGGTGTTTTTCTGCTAAAGCTTTGGCTTCCTAAAGACACTCATAATAAGCAGATGTCTTCATCATTTGGCCTTCTAGAAAGACAACAAGCAAAATGGCTTGAGCATTCCCCCAAAATGTTGCTGTGATCTCTGCTCTGAACCAGTCCATCTTTGCTGTGACTGGACCTCTTCCACCTCTTGGCAGTCTTTGCTTTGATTGGGCTTTGTCTTCAGGATTGTACTGGGAGAGCCACATTTCATCCCGTTACAATTCAAAGAAATGCTTCAGGGTCTTGATCTCACTTGTTTAGAATTTCCATCGAAAGCTCTGCTGTTGTCTGCAGTTGATCTGGGTGCAGCAGTTTTGGTATCCATCAAGTGCGAACTTTGCTCAACTTTGTTTTCGGTCAGAATCATGTAAGCTGAACCAATTGAGATGTCTGTGGTGTTGGCTATTGTTTCTACCATTGTCAGCCCTCTTCAATTAGGGCACAAACAAGCTACATTTTTTTTTTTTTTCTCTCAAATGGGTGTGGATGGTCTGCTGGTACAGGCTTCATCTTTGACATCGCTTCGTCCCTTCTTCAAATGAATTATCCACTTAAAAACTGATTGTCCCCATAAACTTTTCATAAAGTCATGATTTCACAATTCTTCTCTCCACACTTCGTCATAAATTTGATGTTTGGTCTTGCTTCAATTTTAGTAGAATTCATGTTGCCCTGATAGGGGCTTCTTTTCAAACTGATGACTTAACTTTCTTAGTGCCTCAAACTAGACCCTGTTCTAGATCCCATTCATACTTGTTATAACAAGTATAAAACTATGGGTTTGTTTTGGTGCAGAAAACTCTGAAATCCATGTGAATTTTTTTCCATGATATGCATTTTCCATGACCTTGAAATAGTGCTCATATGAGGCTAATGGACAATTGAATAAACCCTTAATCTTCGGAGCCCTAGTTTTGAAGAACAAGAATTAATATCGGATTGCTTTTAAAGACAATACTTGTAGGAGAAAACACTCAATTTGATTTTTAGTTAGAAATGAATACATTGCATGTTAATTCTTAGGAATGATGAAGTAGTGGGAGTCTGAACTTGGGTTTCAGTGTACTTTTTCTCAGGTTATGGAGATGTACAAAACTGGTGTCACCAGAGAAAGGTCTTGGATATAAGACACTTAAAAAGTAGCTTCATTGGTGTGAGGGGTTGGCATAATTAATCCCAAACAAATATTAGAGTTCTTCCCTAAGGGCTGCTGGGCTGCACCTTGCTCTGTTAATGGGTTTCCAGTTCTTAATCATTTAGGGTCTTGATTATGAAATTAAGGAGATTTTCTGGGACCCAAGACAGTATCTTCTAGATTTATGTTTTGAGCAGTTGTTATTCTTCCTGGCAATTAACACACTTGTGCTTTACTATGAGAAGCAGTTGTGTAGTTGCCTAACCATGGTCTCCCCACTTGCCAAGCTGGCTTCTCAGTATGCATGTGAATCATAAGTTACACAGGGAAGTCGTGCCTGCTACTCAGATTCACTTTGTTTCTTAGAGATTATTCATTTTAGTGTATTATCAAAATAGCCAATGTTCCCTTTTATTTTTAACTTGCTAGTGGGCTTTCCTAATGTGATGAACACTGGAGCCAGACACACACATCAATGTATTATGTATGATGGAAATAATTACCCATTATGCTAACAGCATTTATACATTTTTGGGAATGGAAAATTTAAAGCCCTTTGATTATACCTGTTGCTTTTGTGATAGTTAGAAGATGTTATTATTGGAATATGAAACATTTAAATATATATTAGCTTGTATTAAATACTGTTCAGTAAGAAATTAGTGTATTTCTAGTTATCTAAGAAAATAGTTTCTTTTTCCCTCC
This sequence comes from Homo sapiens, assembly GCF_000001405.40. Classification (NCBI taxonomy): domain Eukaryota; kingdom Metazoa; phylum Chordata; class Mammalia; order Primates; family Hominidae; genus Homo; species Homo sapiens. The sequence continues at coordinate 50,190,704 of NC_000018.10, read as the reverse complement.
ATCCAATTAAATGTGTTCTTGCTCTTCTTGATCTGTTCCCTTCAAGTGGCAGTTTATATGTTATGTGATTTTTTTTTGGTAGGTCGGGGGCCAAAGGGCACTTCTCTTTGAACAGAGACACTCCTGTTCTCAGAAGACCCAACACCTCACCTTTGAGAAATTGTTTTCTTTGTAGTGAGGTTTTTCTGGATGGAGAAAGAGCACCAGTCAGTGCCAGACACTTTCAGGGTGATGTCAAAGTGAGTCAGTCTCATTCACTCTCACATCAGCTCCAAAGGTGGAGCTGATGATGGTCTCTGTTGTCACAGTGGCATGCATGTGGTCAGTGTGAGTGCTTGGCTTCCAACCCATTGGAAAAGACAATGTGGGCTTTGCTTTGCATAGATCCAGAAAGAAGCCCACACATGTGCAAGCATGGTGAATACCATTTCATCATGATGATTGCAGATAGTAGTCTGATTTTAAAGCATAAAATGTAACCTCTCCTTCTCAGGCTGAATAATACAACTCTTATCTATAGAAGAGTTACTTGGAACAAAAAATTTAAATACTGCTATTTCAAATACCTGGATTTTCAATATGCTACTTTGATTCTAGCCAGCAGAGTGAATGAGAAATCATCAAATTGAAACTGGTGCCTTGAAACCAGTGCCTTCAAATAACCTTTTTTCCTGCTTGGCTTCTAATTGATAGGTAGTGTCTGAGCAGTGGGTTTTTGAGTGCTGCTGGGAGGTTACTTTACTGGCAGACACACCATATGTATGGCAGCTTTGCACCCAGGAGCCTTTACTAAGGGCGCGATTTGGGACCAATCATTTGAAAAATAGATCTTCTGTGCTTTTGGGCAGGTGTCCTTTAACAGTCCCTTACCTATACCTCAGGTAATGTAAGTTTCTCCCAAGTGTCAGTCTGAAGGCAGCAAGAGCCACCTGTTTCCTCTGTACCCAGTCACCCCTGCTGGAGGGGCTGATGATTCCTTCTTTTGCTGGTGGCTCTGAGTGATGTTCTTTTTTCCAAAAAGTGGTGACAGTGTTAAAGACATGAGGACTTGAAAAGTGTCAGCAGATGCTGTTAGTGCTCCTATTGTTTCCCCCTTACTCCCTTCCCTGCATACTGCCTTGGTGTTAGCTCACTCCCAATAGCCAGCACCCATCTCTTTGTCAAAGCTCCTGAAGCTGTTTTGCCTGTGTGCATAGGGAGCCTGGGAATTGACACTCTGCAAAAGGGAACAGTCCTTAACCAATGGCACTGTAATGACATTAGTTTCCTATCTTGTCACCTTGAGAATGGAACAGCTCTAAAGTATGACCCATACTGTTTTCAGTTTCTTTGTACAGTTGAACTAAAGTTACCATGCTTGGGACTTTCCTTAGTATCACATGTTAGCTTGACTTCCTTCCCTCTCTTGTCCACCTTCTCTACTCCCCTACCAGTCTTTTCCGGAAAACACTGCCTTACAAGTCTCTTGAGCAGGAATCCTTGTCTCAGGATCAGATTCTAGGAGCCCAAGTTAACCATAACTCATGGTGGCTTAGCTTAGTGGATGTTGAGAATCTCAAGGGCTTTGGCCCCTCTATGGTCCCAGGAAAGGCTGAAAAGAAGCATGGAGGTTGTGTGTCATGCTGTCACTTTCCTTCTGAGGCTCATTCTCTGTCTTGCATGTGGTTTTTTTCTTCTCTCATCCCTAGTTCCAATTCCGTTGATCCTCTGCTCCCCGTTTTCAGATGGGCCTATAAGCCCAGTGGATCCTGCTTCACCATGTTGGCGATCATCAGAATTTTGAAGTTTGTACTTGTGACTTGTGGATGTGGCATATTCCAATGGCCTGTAACCTGTAATCATTGAGCAGGCTCTTGCCCTGCCCTCCTTTGTTGATAGGTGTGTGTGTTTTTTTTTTTTTTTTTTTTTTTTTTTTTTTTATGACAGAGTCTCACTGTGTCACCAGTCTAGAGTGCAGTGGAACGATCTCAGCTCACTGCAACCTCTGCCTCCTGGGTTCGAGTGATTCTGCGGCCTCAGCCTCCTGAGTATCTGGGACTACAGGTGTGTGCCACCACTCCCGGCTACTTTTTGTATTTTTAGTAGAGACGGGGTTTTACCATGTTGGCCAGGATGGTCTCAATCTCTTGACCTCATGATCTACCCACCTCAGCCTTGTTGATAGTTTTTATGTGATGCTTTATCTAAGTAGGCTGAGATTCTGGAGAACAGAGGCCATACCAGATGTTTTTAGGAGCCTTCAGTGTGTTTGGTGATAAAAGCTAAATACACAAAGTACACTAACAATACAGGATTATCTGTGTGTCATTAGAGGAGTGCACATACTCCTCTACAAGTTACAGGCATTTTGTAGAAGTGTTGGTCTGGTGGGCTACAGTATTGCGGGAAAGGCTTCCTTTAAGGTGTAGTGGGACATGACTGGGGCCTAAAGAATGAATAGGATTTGAAATGCATGAGGAGGCTGTAAAGAAGGATGTTCTCTCAGGAGGAGACAGGGGAGAGTGAGTTTAAGCATAGGGACAGGTATGAGCTAGATGTATATGGGGATAATTATAGCACTATTTTTAACTATTTTGAAATATACACTTACAGAAACATTGCAAAAATAGTGCAGTTTCTATATTTTTCCAGATTGCTCCAGTGTTAACATGTCATATAACCATAGTGCAATTATTGAAACCAGGAGGTTAACATTTCTGTAATACTACTAACTGGTCTATAAAGCTCACCGGAATTTTACCACCTTTTTCACTAATGTTCTTTTTCTGGGCCAGGATCCTGTTTAGGGTTCCACATTGCCTTTAGGGTTGTAGCTCCCTGCCCCCCTCTAGTGACAGTTGCTCAGTTTTTTGTCTTTCATGACCTTGACACTTGAAGAACATTGGTCAAGCCAGGCACAGTCACTCACACCTGTAATCCTAGCACTTTGGGAGGCCAAGATGGGAGGATCCCTTAAACCCAGGAGTTCGAGACTAGCCTGGACAACATAGCGAGACCTCATCTCTACAAAAAATAGAAAAAATTAGCTGGGTGTGATGGCATGCACCTGTGGTCCTAGCTACTCTGGAGGCCGAGGTGGGAGGATTGCTTGAGCCTGGGAGTTGAGGTAGCAGTGAGCTGTGATTGTGCCACTGCACTCCAGGCTGGGTGACAGAGTGAGACCCTGTCTGCCCACCGCCCACCCCCCCAAAAAAAGCATTTCTCAATAATTTTGTAGAATGATTTTGGGTTTGTCAGACTGTCTTATGCTTACATGGAGGTTGTGACTTTTGGGCAAGAACACATCATAAATGCTGTGCCTTTCTCACTGCATCACCTCAGGAGACAGTGATATCAATGTGTCCTGTTACTGACGGATCACTTTGATCCCTTGGTTAAGCTGATGCCTGTCAGTTTCCTTTTATTGAAGAATGGAATTTAGAAATGAAGATCTGGTTGCTAGGTGTACTCATTACTACTTTTTGTAGTTATGTAGAAATTACAGAGACTAGAACTCAATAAATGTTTTATTAAGGGCAAGGGAAGTAGAAGAGTCAACTATGAACTTGAAATATCCACCTTGAGTGTGGACAGAAGTCAGGTTGGAGCAGGGATAATTCTTGATTTTTGACATGTTGGGTTTGGGATGAAAATGGTTTGTCTAAGTGAAAGCATTTATTTACATTTGGAGATTTACGAAAGAGCTTAGAGGAGAAATGTCAGGATCTGGGGTTCTTGCAAATGATGCCTGGGATTTGCTTTTCTTTAATGAAGAAATGCAGTTGTCTGATAGCATGGTGTTAATAAGGGTAAGATCAGGAGCTTGGTATGGGCATTTCCAAGGCCTTTGTGACTATGATCTTGAGGTGGACACCCTGGATATTGTGGCGCTCTCAGCTCCGACACATTGGAACAGATACTTTCTAAGCCTTGATTTCTTTATCTGAAGAATTGGGGTGGTACCTGCACCATGGGAAGGTTACTGGAGGCTTATAATCCTAATCCATGTGAAGTGCTTGTCTAACATAGTGTTGGCAACTGTTCATTAGTTTGCTTCTCCCTCCAGTCACCATGCTGGGTGGCAGTCAGCATTATGTGGCTAGCATGTTTTTTCCCCTAACCCTTCCCTGCTGTCCTGAAGGGGTCTTGATCACAAGGAGACTTGGTGAAAGAGGAAGTAGGATTGCTACAAACATGAACTATGAGAGCGGTAGACAAGATATGGTACTCCCCACCACCCCTGGGGAAGGAGCAAGAGCAGTCTGAAAGAAGTTTTAAGTTTAACCTGTGCTTTCTGGTCTCTTATTATAGCTTTAAAGGAAAATTAAAAAGCATTTTTCACAATGCTTCTGTTTTCCCTCTGTGAATACAAATGATTATTGAAACAATCCATACAATGCAGGAAAGACAAAAGCTCTGTAGTCTCATTCCCAGAAACAGCTGCTCTTGACCACTTAGGCATGTTCTCTGGACCTCCGTTGTCCAACAGGGTAACTGCATGTGGCTGCTGAGCACTTGCGATGAGGCTGGCCCAGCTTGGGATGAGCTGGAAGCGTGCAGTACTGTACACACTGGGTTTCCAAGACTTAGAAAAATGTATGCGAAATATCCTTCATACTTCTTATATTGGTTATGTGTTGAAGTGATTGTTATTTATATATTGGCTAAAATATTCTGTTCAATTCACCTTTTAAATGTGGTTATTAGAAAATTTAAAGTACCACAGGTGGCTCACAGTTGTAGTTTGCATTCTGTTTCTCTTGGGCAGTGCTGCTTTAGACTTATGCACAATATGTACTCAAAACAAATGGGATCATGCCATGTCTATTACTCTAAATCTTAATCTATGGCTATCTTTTCCTGTAGCCTACAAAGGCAATTTTGCCATTTTTAATGGCTGCACAAGGCAGCATATGGATGTACTGTAATTTTTTCTTAAAAATATACATTTTTTAAATTGCCAAGATCTGATGCCATATACTGTAATGTGTTTAACCATTCCCATGCTGATGAGCATTTAGGTTGGTTCCAATTATTTTCCTTTTGTTTTTTGTTGACAGTAATAATTGCACAAATTTATGGGGTTCAAGTGATTTTTTTAATACACGTATACAATGTATAATGATTAAATCGGGCAATTAGGTTATCCACCACCTCAAACATTTATCATTTCTTTGCATTAGAAACATTCAAGATCCTATCTTCTAGCTTTTTTGAACATACTAATAAATTGTTAATCTTTTGATACTGTGAAAGATTGTTCTTGTAACCTCATTTATTTTCTCAGAATAAATTCCTAAAGCTGGAATTGCTGGCATGCACATTTATAGTCTTCATTGATATGGCCAATAGCCACCACAAGAGAACCAGTCTGTTTCTTCGCCACTCTAAGTTCGGGTCATTGTTCTTTCTCTCTCTCTCTCTTTTTTTTTTTTTAAATTCTTATTCATACTAAATGTTTTACACATGTTTTAAAGTTGACTTTCATTGGAGGGTTGAGCCTCTGTTCACATGCTTGGTAGGCTCTACATTATTGATCACTGGGAACAATGTGTTGTTTTCCTTATATTTCTTGTTTGTATTAACTGGCATTATTTATAACTGTTTTTGCTCATTTAAATGACTACTCTATATTTTTTATTTTTTTGAGACAGGGTCTCATTCTGTCACCCAGGCTGGAGTGTGTGTGGTGGTGCAATCATGGCTCACTACAGCCTCAATCTCCTAGGCTCAAGCAATCCTCCCACCTCAGCCTCCCAAGTAGCTGGGAACAGGCATGCGACACCATGCCCAGCTAACTTAAAAATAATATATATATATATATTTTTTTCTGTGTGTGTGTGTGTGTGTGTAGAGATAGGGTCTCACCATGTTGCTCATGCTGGTCTTGAACTCCTGGCCTCAAGTGATCCTCCCACCTCAGCCTCCCAAAGTGCTGGGATTATAGGCATGAGTCACAGCACCCAGTCCACTCTATATTTTGAGATAGGAAAACATGGAAACCAGAATATTCAGGATACAATATATACATTTAAAGAATAAAGCACCTTGGCATGTATTTTCCCCTTCATTTGTTCTGAGCTTATGTATTTTGAACCCTCTAGTTGGACAACTACTGGTTATGGAGTGCTTTTGTGCCAAATCACTTCTCAGCACTACATGTTAGCTCATTTAACAATAACACAGGCTTATGTGACTTTCCCAAAGCTGCCTGGCTTCAGGGCCCAGCTTCTGACCACTGTGTTCTACTGCCTTCCATGAGGTTATCTGTCCCATTTATGGTGAGTCAGAACATCATTTGGATATAAGGGGCCCTAATATAGAGGGTCCTTTCTGCCTAGCACTGCCCTGCAACTCTCCCTGCCCCAGCAACAGAAAACCCACCAAGATCAGAGAAGGATCGAGTCCATGTGCAGAAAGAACGGCAGGTGGTCTGATCCTGCTTGTGTTCTTTTGCCACTGCCACCACTACCACACCCAGCCCCACGTGCATCCTGGTGCTTCTTAAAATTCTGTCCCAAATGTAGGCAGAACCCCTGCTTTTGGTTTTCCTTAGGCCATGTAGTCCCAAACGAGATCCACATCTTCAAAAAGGCAAAGTGTAACAAAGTACACTGTCTTAGTCCATTTTGTGTTGCTGCAACAGAATACCCGAGACTAGGTAATTTATTTTAAAAAGGTTTATTTAGCTCACAGTTCTGTAGGCTGGGAAGTTCAAGGGCATTGCCCTGGCTTCTGGCAAGGCTGTCCTGATGTCATAACATGGTGGAGAATGTCAAAGCAGAAGCAGACATGTGCAAAAAGACAAAATCTGAGGGACATCCTGTCATAACAACTCACTGTCGTGGGAATGAATCCATTCCCAGGAGAACGAATCCAGTCTCACTATAGTGAGAACTCACTACCATGAGAACAGCACCATACCATTCATGAGGGATCCGCCCCTATAACCCAAACACATCCCACTAGGCCCCGCCTCCCACCCCCGCCACATTGGGGATCAAATTTCAACATGAGCTTTGAGGACAAATGATTCATATCTAAACCACAGCATACCTGAAATTCAAGGAGCTTAAAATTGGGTATTTCTGATCTAAAACTAACCATCCTTTCATTCTCAGGGCCTTGGTCCACTTTTCCTGGCTCCATCTCTCACTTAACATCCTCCAGTGAAAAGCTGCCTCCTTCCTACCATGCTTGACACTTTAATAGGCATTTTGCTTTCTTTCTGGGCCATGACCTGAGACTCCTGGAAGCCTTTCCTCATCTTCTTGTTTAGTCAAAGGCCCAGCTTAGGTATCATCATTTAATGTGCTTTAGAGAGGAATACATACAGAATAATACCATTCTTAGAATTTCTGAAACAAAATGAATAGTATTGAAGGAGATATATATATATATATATATATATATATATATGATAAAATTGAGGAAACACCAGGGAATGAAGGAAAAGAAAACAGTCTAGAATAATTACTGGGAGGTGGGAGTGGCAGGGGAGCAGCATGGGAAACTGTACTATTAACAGTCTAATTTGGGTAGTGAGTTCACAGGTATTCATTTTATTACCGTGCATCATCAATTATCCAAAAAAGGTGGTTCTGCTGAAAATAGGATGAGTTATAATGCCAAATTAAAAGATGCAATGCCAAATCAAAAGCTTTGAGGTCATAGGTAGTTTTTAGATTCACTGTTTCATTACTCTTTGTTTTGGGTACGCAATTGGTGGTTGAGTGTGTATATTTGCAAAATTGCTGTCATTGAAGTTGTAGGTAGAATCTTAGCCTCACATCCCTCACAGTTCCCAGGGTGGGGTTTTGCATGCTGTAGGAACTCAACAAATATCATTGAATTGGTTTAAAGTTTACCTACAACCCCCCAACCCCCCACAGCCTGGTTCTAGGCATGGCTCTTTGAGGAAAGTCCTCTCCTCACCAAGGAGCCACCTTCCTTGACTGTAACATTACCTTCTGTGATTTTGGAAAGGCTTTTGGCTTGGCATAACCAGTAGAAAGCCCATCTGTTTCCTCTGGCACTTGCCAAAGTCTATGGAATGTGGAGCCCCTGTCAGGAGATAATTAAATGTTTTTCTTTTTTATGACAGTGCTCAAAGGCTTAGCACAAGGTGTGAATGTAGAATATCAGCAAAGTAACATTCATGGATGTGAGAGTTAATTTAACTGCCTTGTGTTTGAATATCCTAATTTTACACGTTATTTTGGGCACATATTTTTGCCCTTACCTTCTCAAGGTTATCATTTGTTAAGAGCACAGTCTCCTATTTTTCCCCCAATTAACTCAAAAGGTTTTATTAACAATCTTTCTCCACCAAGCTGGCCAAAGGAAGAAAACAAACACCCCCAAAACCAGTCTTATGAAGACCCATGGGTATTTGCATGATGAGGTGGGGGCATGTATGGATATCCACCTGTCCTGTTAGATGTAGCAAAGCCAGTGGCTTTCAGAACAGAAAACAGTGAATCCAGGAAGAAAAACTAGATCGAGTTGTTTTCTTCTCTCACCTAGAAAAGATAACAGTACTCATAGTTTTTGCCTGAAGGTTCAGACCATCTTTCGTATTCATCACGCAGGCAACAAAGGTTTGGAGCACTGTCTCACCACTGGGATGTGTTACAGCCAGCACATGAGGCTGGGAGAAAGAGCCCACCCTGGCAAAAGTAGGCTTTTGACCTTGAGTTCTTCTAATCCAACGGTTCATTTGTCGTATGAATAAGCATTAAGGAGGTATTAGTATGTTAAAGGGAGATAAATTGCCTTATCTTATCCCATCATCAGATTTAATCACATTTTCAATTTGCCTGAATTCCGTAATGAGGGATAATATTTATTTGTAAAGTAAGGAAAATGAATGTCTCCTCAGCCAGAAACTAATGTTTCTTTGCTCTCAAGCTGCTTGCCCTTTTAATTGCCATTTTACTGTGTGTATGTGTGTGACTATGAAACAAGCTGCAGGCACCAAAATGATGGCAATGCCCATAAAATGTGATGGATTTTTATGACCAGCATGCTACATCCTGCACCGTCTGAAGGTGTTCTGTTTCCTTTGGGGTGGTCACTTGGGCAGAGGGCTGCAGATGCTGTAGCTCATCAATACATCTTATGAAACTGGCTTCAAACCTGATGGTGTGTGCTTTTGAGTCCTCCCTATGGTGACAATATCTTTGTCTGGAAGATAGGCTTTCTGTTCTAGAAATAGTTAAGTTATTCACACAACTAAGCTGGTTGAGTAAGGTGAGGACTCACTGACTATCTTGCTATTGTGGACTGTGTGTTGCTTCCAGGTATGGATGCCAATTTTGTGAGGCCTCTTACTAGCCATCATCATCTGGAGTTACAGTTAGGCTTTGAATGTTCCCAGTGATCAATAAATGTAGAGCTTTCCAAATTGTCAGGAAAATACTCATTTGGATGTAGCAGTTCTGGTCTGTTTGGTTAACAATTTAAAGACAGAATTTTATAGTTATGCTGATTTATAGTTCCACTTAAATTATATGTATGTTAGTACAATTAACTTAGTGTATGAACATATAATTACTTCAATTTTATGACAAGTATAATAGCATTAATAAATATCTATTGATTTAAAAATCACATGGAAAGCCCATTGCACCTAATTTCCTAAAATGCACTTTTGAAAGTGGATGGTGAATACTCTTTTTACTCTCTTCCCCCTGCTGTGTCAGGCAGGATGACAGGTGCTGAATGTAAGTGAATGAAAGATAAGGAGGTGGAGCAGCATTATCCATGATTGTCAAAAGCAGGGAGCACCCTTTTGACTATTCCAAGGAATGATGAATGGATGAATGAGATGTGGTCTGCCCACACAGTGGGATATATTCAGCCTTAAAAAACAACGAAATTCTGACATCTGCTACAGCAAGGATGAACCTTGAGGGCATTTTGCTAAGTGAAATAAGACAGTTACCCAAAGATAAGTGTATGTTTCCACTTATATGAGGTATCTAGAATGGTCAAATTCATAGAGACAGAAAGTAGAGTGATAGCAGGGTTTTTAATGGACACAGAATTTCAGTCTTTCAAGATTAAAACAAAGCTTTGGAGACGGGTGGTTGCGAGGGTTGTACAACAATGTGAATGTACTTGATGCCACTGAACTGTACATTTAAAAAGATGACAATGCTAAATTTTGTGTATCTTACCACAATGTAAAAACTAAACTCGGGGAGCGGGTAGGTGGGAAGGAGGACTGGAAAACAGAGGTTAGGTGTTTAGATGGGGGATTGGCCTGGGTTTTGAGTCCTGGTTCCTCAGCTTTCTAGCTGTGTAATCTTAGGCATAACCTCTAGACTTCAGTTATCTGTAAACCAGGAGCAAGAGTCTAGGACACCCCTCAGGCTTGTTGATGAAATGAGGTAATGTGTGAACTGTATTAGTTGCTGATAGCCACATCACTAGGAGAAGGTCATGTCCTTGGGAAGCCACAGCCCAGTGCGGGGCAGTGTGGTGGGCGCCAGAGTGGCTGGGAAGGGAGCTCTGTCTGCTGAATCACTGGCTCCAGCTCCTCAGGTTCTGAGTGGGCAGCCTTGGATCTGGTCCTCTCACCTAACAAAGCACCAGCATTGATGGGGAACCTCGAGGTTACAACATGCTTTTCCTTTTCAGGTGTGGAGAAGGCCCTTAGGAATCTTAAGATCCTGGTTTTGAGGACCACCTGTCAGATCTTCAGCCCTAGAGGTCCGGACCTAAGTGTTCCATAGCTTATGGTTATGGACCTTCCTGCACTTTGTGTTGAGAAGAGCATCCCGCATTGATACCACCAACAGGATGCTTGTGTCTATCTTTGTCCCTCCTAGCACTTGGTATTCTTGGCTATTTTGGGTCCAAGGGCACTGCAAGGCATAGGCTTCATTCTAAGGATGCTTTAGGCATTAAGGGAGATGAGGCTCTTTCGGGAACCAGGCTTAGCTGGTCTGAGAACTGTGGCCTAATAGGCCAGCACAGTACTAGGGGACCAGAATAATGCTGAAGCCTTCCATGGCTTTAGAGAGCAGGCTGTCCCATCAGCAGCAGGGGTGCATTGCCTTCTGTGCTAGTGCTGGCAAGGAGACTCAGTTACTCTTGTCCTTGGCTCTTTTCCTTGTCTTCTCACCTCTGCTGTGTGGTTTTAATGCCCTTTCTGAGTCTCTGGTTCCAGTTTAGATTGGCTCCACTATGCACCGTTGTCCCTGTCATTATGACCCAAGCTCTGAAGCTTTTGTAGAAGGCAGCCTCTTAATTGCTGACTCCTGGGCAGCTTCCTATACCCGGTTCAGGTAGCTTTGCCCACTTCAGATGAAGGAACTTCCCAAGATGGCTTAGTCACTGGGAACCATGTTTCCATCAAAACTGGAGGTTGCTGGTACCAGAGACCTGGTTTTTCTACTTTGGGTGCATCAGATACAGTTGCTGTGTCTCTTGTAGAACTGGATTTGGGAGACTTGTTCTAGGCCTGGTTTCCACTTCTTGCTGGATTGTGGTTATTTATGGAACTTGCATCCTTCTGCCTGAGTCTAAACTATCATCAATCTCTGCCTACATTCTGGTGGTGGCTGGTGGTTTTCATGTCTGGAAGAGCTTTAACCTGCTGTCACCCCCTAAAAATAATGCTGGGCTATCGGCCCTAAGATTTGCCATTTATTTATTAGTATAATAATAAACATTTTTTCCTTGGATTTTATCTCCTCTTCTAAAAGTGTTCTAGGTCCTCACCTTTTTTTTCCCCTCCAGTTGCTTCCTCCACTCCCTTAGTTGCCTCACACTTTAACCTTCTGTAATCCATCTTTAATAAAGGCTCTAGGGATGGCCCACTGTGTTAACATCCCTGAAATCTGACTGGCAGTGTGAAACCAAACCCCTTTCAGCAGGCCACTGGAGTCACACAACACTAGCCGTGGAGAGAGTTCTTAGTTAATGGGACAGATGCGAAGATGTCCATCTGAATTGCACTCACATTGCAATGTGAACCATCTCAGAAATCAGAAACTGCCTAAATGCTGGCCAAAGAATGATGATGTGTCTGGAGCTGTAAATAATACCCGAAGCCCTGGAATGGTAGCCTGTATCTAAAGTGAGGCAGCTGAGTGCCAGCCAAATTATTTAGGTTATAACTGTTTTCTGCTGAATCTCACTCAATAAGTAAACTCTTGGCTTAACACTGGAATTTAAAATCTTGCCTTATGCTTTTTGTGTTTTGCTAGGGGGTCAGTTGTTGCACTTCCCTGCTGGGCTATGTTTATGCATCTCAAGTGTTTTCTGTTGCTGAGTACTGTGGATACTAAGAAATGAGAATTTTTTTACGTAGTTATTCACTGTGGCAAACAGTGGTTAATATCTGAGCTAGTTCATGGCACCAGACAGGGAAGTTGATATTTTTCAGTCATACACACTTTCTGATTTAGCAGGGGGTTATATCAGTGGGAAGTGGCATTGATTCTACTTTGTGCCAGTTTGGGCTGGGAGCATTGGTGGTGATCTGAGTCTGAAGCTTTTAACGCTCTGATTTGTGAAAATGGTCACTTTCAGCTGATTGTGTGCGCCACAACTACCCTCTCCCCACAGCAGAGATGTCTTCCACTCAGCCTCGGTGGGTTGGGTAGTATTACATAACAGACACAAGTATTCGAGAGTCTTTTTGATGCTTAGCATGGTGCCGGGTGTAAAAGGTGAATAAGACATAGTCCTTGCTATTAAGGATTACAGTGCAATAAGTGCTATTCAGGAGTAGTGTATCAAGGAGGTATTTAACAATATTCTTGCCTTTGGAGATGACAAGAAGGATGGGCTGTGGCACCCCTCTACTGCAGGCAGTTAGAGGTTGCCTGGCTGTCATGGCAGCTGTGAAGACAGTGCTCCAGGAGGCTTCACCTCTTGCTATTCCCTGTGGCTGGGTGTGCCTGCCTTGCATGTCAGTCTCTCAACATGCCTTCCTATCCCTGCCTCAGATCAGTTTAGGAGGACTGAATGCTCTGTCTAGAACCACAGTTCAGTGGGTGGTGATGAAGACCCACATCATTTGGGGGCTTTCAGCCTTCAGAGCAGTTCTCTCTGAGCAGTTAAAAAGAACTCTTGGAATCCCTACTTTGTTCACCTGGAAAACTGCTCCCTCCCACCAACTCCAGGGAGGGGCTCAAGGCAGTTAAGGAGAGCAGGACTTACAGGAGACAGCCTGATTGGATGGGTGGGGGATAGGGCTGAAGTTTTGTTTGCTTGCTGAGTGAACATTATTGACATCAAAGAGAATGATTCCCATAAATTACAATGCTGTTTGAGGAAGAAGGCAAAGACGGGAGTATATAAAAACCAAAACATAAACGTTTACAAGCTGTTAAAAGCATTTGATTATTGTAGCTGCCACCTTAAAATGAGTTCCTCTAGAACTCATCCCACCCCTTAGTGTATAATAACACGGTAATATTCAAAGTATGGAGGCGTCTATTTTCCTGAATCTTCAGGGCTGCCTCTGCATGGAGCTGTACCTTTTTTTGTCATGTAGTCCTTTGCTGAAGCTTATTTTTGGATAAAATTCACTTGGCACCAACTTTTTTAAAAAAATAAGATGGCCTGTGTTTCCATGAAATTAGGGTTATCCTGATTTATATAATTGTGTTTTAGTTTTACTGTTTTGGAATTTTTTAACCAATGGTGTCATGTGAAATTTTTTCAAAGCTCAATGCTCATTATCTCCCTTACAGTGCAACATGTTTCATCTTAAATGAATAGGTGTTAGCTACAATTTCTATGGTCCTGGCAGGCTAACATAGTTTAAGACGACTTCAGATGTAACCATAAATACACAGGCAAGAAACTTGTGCTGGAAACTTTTTCACTTGGGATGATAAACGACATTCATGAGTGCACACTTGTCTTATGGGAGCAAAAAAAGCAGTTGCTTAAATAGTTGCAGCCTTTAGAAAAGGATAGTGCTGTTGATTTTATGTACTACAGTAAGATTGCTATCACATTAACCTCTTTATGATTTCTTTTAATTATCACGACAACAATTTGCAAAAAGAAAGACTTTTGAATGGAAGTTTTACAAAGTTCCTTGGGTGAACTCTGAGTGGTGGCTCTTTGACCATCAAGAAGTTTTGGTCAGGGACCAAACTTTGATCAGGGACCAGGTATGCAAGGGAGGATGAACTTTTGAAGACTCTAGGAAAACACCTCCTTTGAAGAGGACTAAGTAACAGTGGCAACTATTTTTACAGCTTGGGTACATCTGGCTCATGGATGCATTTAAATTTCAGAAATGCAGTTATATGTGCTAGGCATAAGTGAACAAAAATCCCCAAGGAACCAACCAACAAAATGAGAAAAAATAACTTCAGTTGTGTGAACCATTGACAAGCTCATTGAGGATACCCCAGGGACAAGAGTGAGAAGGAAGGAGGGAGTCTGTTTAGGCAGTTCAGAGCCTCTTGAAGTTAGAACATCTCACCACGGTCATGGGCAGTGCAAGGGATTTCCAAGGGTAATTTGGGTGCTGCATGATTTTTGCTTTAATATTGACTTTAGCATTAAGCCAACTCCCTCCCAATAAGATGTGATTCCGTGATAATATATTCTGATTTCAATGACATATTTTAAGGGGACCTTAGTAAATGGAGCTCATTCAGAGGTAGATGCCCAGGACAGCAAAATGCCTGGAAACCATAGCATGTGAGGAATGGCTTGGGGATCCAGGACTTATAGTCTAGGGAAAAGGAGATATAATCCTAAAATACTGCAGGGCTGTCATGTGGAATTCATGTATTTCCTCTCTGAGTTCTTCCAAAAAGCAGTATGACCAGCAATGGGTATGTGTTGTGGGAAGGTGGACTTAGCTTGGTGCAGGGGCACGTGGTCAGTTGAACACCCCTCAACCCCTCCGTGGTGGAATGGGCTGCCTGTGCAGAAGTGAGGTCTTCATCTCTGCAGGTATCTGAGCTGGCTGTGCTTTCCAGCAAGGATGCCATAAGGGAGTGCCTTTGAGTAAGAATTTCACCTTTGAGTAAGAATTTGACCTTTATGACCTTAAAACTTCTTGCCCACCTGAAAGGTGTCTAGAAATGACTGCTTATTGTGGAGGATATAAAATTACAGTGACAAAGAATAACTTCACATAGACAGTAAAAGGAGGAAGGAGTAAGTCATTTTCTGGAGATTCTACTTACCCATAAAAATAAACCTAAAAAAATTTGATGGTTTTTGTTTTTCTTAAAGAAATAGGTTTCCAACTCACTTGATCTTAAGAACAGAAATCATCAAGCTTTTACTGATTCAGTAGAAAATAGTTTAAAACATGCTTTAGTTCCATGTTGTGGTTATTTAATGGTGGGAGGTAGGAAGGCAATGGAAGATGACCACCTGTTGTCTTTTAGGATAAAGCAGCTTGTGGGTTGCAAGCTTGGATGCAGACAGAAAAGGGATGAGAACAAATGAAGGAGATTAGAAAGAGGAAGGATGATCATGATGGTGGAGGAGAGTGAAAGTAAAGAGGGAGGCAGGCATGGTGTGGCGTCTGCCACCTGGCAGGCTGATACTGCATGAATCCCCTTGCCCAGAATGTTGCTTGGGTCAACCATAGAAGAATGGCTACTGAGGGGACATGGATCAGATTCCCTGAGAGGCTGGGTGGGACCTGTTTTGCCTTTCTTTAGATGTCACTTCCCCATAGTGTCCTGGAAGCTGATGATTTAGCTTTAGATCAAGCATCTCATTAACGACAGATCCAAGATGTGCCAGTGGCCTGGCTGGCTGCCCTCAGACTCCTCCAGCCATCACTCTGCTTGTCACTTGACCAGAGACTTGGCATGGGATATGTTCTTCCAGGAACAGGGCCTGATGTCTGAGGCCAGACACCTTCTGCAGTGGCAGCATGTCTGCACTGGGCAAATCACTAGCACCTATGTAAGGCATTTGTATGATCAATCAAATGAAAGAAACATAAGGCATTTTCCACTTCACACATGTGCATCAGTACCTGTATATTACCACACCACTGCTACCCCCTAATTCTGGCCATGTGGGAAAGGAGAGGTGGCCTTGAAGGAACTCACGATGGCTGGCTTCTGCTTTTCCCCTTCAGAAAACATCAGGAGTCTCTTCTTAACAGCAGTGTCGTCTTATATTGGTGTATACTTTGTTTTCCATGATGTTCTCCCATTTAGTTGTCCTTTTCTTGTCACAAGAGCCCTCTGAGGTAGGGAGGACAAAGAGGGAATGGAGACCCTGAGCTGTTCAGCAACATACTCAAACTCACGATGCAAAATAGGACTGGAATGCAGGGCTTCCATCCCTGATGTCAGGGTTCTAGCACATGACATCCTGGTGTTGGTGCTGTACCTTCTCAGGAGCTAGGGGCTGATGGGGGCTGATGGGAGTGAGAGTGCACCATCCCCTGTGATACTCGCTGTGTGTATTTTCCTGGAGGCTCAGTAGCTTGTTTGTCTCCAAAGGAATTAAGTTCCACATGAGCCAGTTTTCATAATAAACCTCCTTTTATGTATCTTTATCCTATTCTGTTTGTCTGCAGAACACTAATACAGATTTGGTACTGGGAGTGGGGTCACTGATGTAAGTACCAGAGTCTGAGGGCTCCCATGTCCACAGGCAGGAGAAGATCAATGTCCCAACTTGAGAGAATTTGCCCTCCTTCTGTCGTTTTGTTCTATTTGGGCCCTTAATGGATTGGGTGATGGCCTACCCATATAGGTGAGGGCAGACCTTCTGTACTCAGTCTGATTCCAATGCCAATCTCTTCCAGAAACGCCCTCGCAGACACACCCAGAAAGAATGTTTTACCAGGTATCTGGACATCCTTTGGCTCAGTCAGTTTGACACACAACATTTGCCATCATGCTGACCCATTACAGGAAGTGAAATGGTTCAGTCTGAAAGTGTATGCCTTTTCTAAAGTTGCTGCCTCACAGTAAAAGATGCTTAGAAACAAGCTTGTATGTTGCTATTCCTGTTTCTCCCCCCAGCTCTCACCATCCCAGTAAGAGGCATGATCCAGCAGCCTAAGACCCAGATCCAGGCATCATCTGTGATTTCCCCACTCCATCAGCAAGTCCTGTTGGCTCAGCTTCCAAACGTTACTTGAATCCTCGCTCTTCTTGCCCCCTCACTGCTCTGACCTCCAGCCACCACGATCTCTGGCCCGCATAATGGAAACTGTTTTCCAACTGACTCCCTTCATCTTCCCTTGTCTCCTTCCAGTCTGTTCTCTGTGCAGCAGCCAGATCAATGTAACGTCAGTTGGGCTCTGTCACTCCTCTTTTGGAAATCACGTAGATGCTTCCCTTGGCTTTTGGAATAAAATCCAAACCCCTTACCAGGCCCATGAGGCCTCCTGTAATCTGGGCCCTGCTATCCTGCCCCATTAGCATCCCTGTCTTCCTTACCTGCTGCATCCATCCGCACTGGCCTCCTCTTTTTTTTTTTTTTCTTCTGTTTTTTGTTTTTGGAGTCTTGCTCTGTTGCCCAGGCTGGAGTGCAGTGGTGTGATCTTGGCTCACTGCAACCTCCACCTCCCAGGTTCAAGTGATTCTCCTACATCAGCCTCCCAAGTAGCTGGGATTACAGGCTTGTGCCACCATGCCCAGCTAATTTTTTTGTGTTTTTAGTAGCGACGGGGTTCGCCGTGTTGGCCAGGCTGGTCTTGAACTCCTGACCTCAGGTGATTCACCCACCTCAGCCTCCCAAAGTGCTGAGATTACAGGTGTGAGCCACTGCGCCTGGCCCACACTGGCTTCTTTGTTCACTGAACAGTGCAGGTGTCTGGCCACCTCAGTGCCTTTGCACCTACTCCTAGTTCATAGATGTTCTTTCCCAGTCTTTGCACTGGGGGGCTTCCTGTCATTCAGACCTCTGCCAAGTCACCTCCTCTGGGAGGGCTTCTCCACCACCTACTCAGATCATTGCCCTATTTTGTTTTTCTCCTCTCATAGCTGGCTCTCTTGTTTGCTTGTCTTCCTCACCTGGATCCTGAGGTCCTTGAGAGGAGAGCAGCACTTGTCCTGTTCACTGCGGAGTCTCCAGTGCCTAGGATACATGTAGCACATAGAAGGTGCTTGGTAAACATATTTAAAATAAATGAGTGACATCACCATAGTTTCACTTTATAGGGTAATGCTGCATTTGGCAGACTTGTCTGAATCATTTTACAGATCTTTCAGTATCATTGAGGGAGAGTCA
This sequence comes from Homo sapiens, assembly GCF_000001405.40. Taxonomy (NCBI): domain Eukaryota; kingdom Metazoa; phylum Chordata; class Mammalia; order Primates; family Hominidae; genus Homo; species Homo sapiens. Next base: position 50,172,527 of record NC_000018.10, on the reverse strand, counting down.
TCCACCCACTGCATGAGAGTCTTGCTTGAATACTGGGCTTGGCCAATTCCATGTATAACAAAACTCACAGTGGTAGGACCTTGTGGTATCAGGAATACACTGGGAATCCGATTCTCTAGTTCTGGATATCAGTGTACTTTCTTATCTGGGCCATCGTATAAGAGAAAAAACAGTCTGGCCAATCTCTTTGCACTCACTAATGTGCTAGCACAGTTCGGCCTTTTTTTTTTTTTTTTTTTGTCTTTTTTTGTCAGGGTCTCACTCTATCACCTAGGCTGGAGTGCAATGGCGTGATCATGGCTCACGGCAGCCTCGACCTTCTGGGCTCAAGTGATCCTTCCCCTTCAGCCTCCCAAGTAGTTGGGACTACAGTTGTGTGCCACCATGCCTGGCTAATTTTTAAAGTTTTTGTAGAGATGGGGTCTTGCCTTGTTGTGCAGGCTTGTCTCAAACTCATGGAGTTCTGCCCTAATGAACATGAGGCCTCCAGGGGTGGTTAGAATGAGGGTCTTTGCTGATTCCACAGACTCTGAACAGCCATTCTGGTTTAATCCTCTTAAGAATTCATATATGTCTTTTAGTAAATAGGCACAAGGAAGAAGATCCATTGCTGCAGATTTTTCTGAATTGAGTTTTGGATTTGGCTGTTATATGAGGAGCCTCTTCTGGCTTTCTCTCTGTATTCTTTCCTCTGGTTTTAAGGGTGAAATACATGGGGTGGGGATTGACACTCACTAAACAATAACCATTTATGGTTGCCTGTCTGGGATCATCCACAACTCCATTTCAACATCTTGACAAAACCCCTCCTCTATGCAGCCATGTGACTTGGGCTGAAACAACACTGCAGAACCCACCAGAACTCTGGACTTCTTGTCACATGAGATAGAAATGCCCTTCTGTTCAAGCCAGGTTGAAGCCTCCCTTATATCCAGAGCATAGTAACTGATCATCTATCATTTAATTATTGCCTTGTATGATCCACTGTTTCCCCAGCAGAATCAGCCCACTCATAATCGTCTGAATGTACCTTGAGTTTTCCATATCCATGCTGTATCTGCCTGGAATGTTCTGTACCTTTATATTTCTAAGTTTATGGTCTCTCTCGAGACCAAGGTCAAATTGCAGCTTCTCTATAAGCCCTTCCTGACTTCTTCAGCCTAAGGAACTCTATTCTCTGTACAGAGGCAATTACTGTAAATCGTGTCCATCCATTACATGGTCTTGGCATCTCCTCTCATGCCTCTGCTGCTGTCGTTGGCCTGCAGTGTTATTTAATATCTCTTGGATGATTACTTTACTTTTTGCATATTTGCCTTATCTCCTCAACTTATCTGTGAGGGTGAAGATCGTGCCAAGTGCCCAGCACTGTCTTATGGAACAGGCATTCAGGACTTCCAGATTTGAGGAACAGGGCTGCATGAGACTGGCGGCCAAGTATCCCAAGATTCTGGGATTTCTGTAGGATTTTGAGGGCCTGGCAAATACTAGCTGAGGGGATGCTAGCTGCAAGGAGAGAGAGCCTCAGGGAGGCAGGTGTGGGTTCACCACGGGGTAACGGGATTTTGCAGCTCTTCACTTCTGAAACCAATGTGAGCAAGTAGAGAAAGATTGAGTGCTGAATTTCCTGTACGTTCTTTCTTCTAAGTTTGGGTAAAATGTCTCTTTTCCTGTTTACTCTTACTTGATCTCTTGTTCTAGTCATTCATAATATAATCTTCTAATCTCAAAAAGTGAAGCCATGTTGAACTGGCAGTGTTGTTAACGATATACTATGTGGATTAGGAGAACACTGGATTGGGAGTCATGGTTCAGAATTCTTGTTCCATTTATGCCAGTTCCTTGCTGTGAGACCTTGGACCAGTGGCTTAATCTTGCTCAACTTTTTCTTATGTGTTAAATGGAAACAACTGGAGTCACCCCACAGTACTGTTCGGAGTGAGAAGAAAGCAAAATAGTGGTAAAATGAAACTTTAAAGAGGAAAGCATATTGGCCCAACATGAGGTATCATGGTAATAAAAATGTGATTAGAAAATAAAATATAGAATGATTTCTAAAGTCAAATTATACATGAATAGTTATTTATCAAAGTCCCCGTTTATTTGTAGGTAATATTCTAAAGGTTACCTTAAGTCTAGCATCTAGGATCTTTCTCATAGAGGCGGTGTTCTTGTGGTGGTCTAGTCAAAAGTCAAAATGTATTATCGAAATAGTACATTTCTGATGGAAAACTTGAAAACCTGCTTTGACTCATTGCGATGCTGCGGTGCTACAGAGATCCTGGAGGCCCTGCTACTGATGCTTCCGGCCAAGCCTCCTTTCCTCACTGCCCACTGCTGGACAAAATGCATTCTCACAGCTTCTCTGCCCTCTTGTCCATGCAGCAAGTCACAGCTTTTCTGTTAACTTTTTGGTGGGTTTTCCTATTAGCAATAGTGGGGAAATAGTAATGGAATCATAGTCTTCTGTCTTCTACCTATTAAATGTATCAGTTATGACTTCTTTGGCTGTAACAGAAAACCCTACTACCATGACATCGACAATCAAAGAGTTTATTTTATTCCATACTACAGTATTTTTGGAGGTGGGCAGTCTGGGGCCCGTGTGGCAGGTCCACGGCTCCTATCTCATTGTCCTGCTAACCTTGCTCATCATGGGACTTGATCCTCACATCTGTATTCTAGGTGGAAAGCAAGTGGAAAGGTGAAGAGCAAAAATTTCTTTAAAATACTGTGTTTTGAAATCTTTTCAGACTTCAGGAAAATTGCAAGAGTAATTCAAGGCACACTCATATACCTTGAATTGGGTTTAAAGTTTTGTCCATTGACTCAGTAATACCCTTTATGATAACGGTACCAATCCAGGGTTATACATCACACCCACTTGTCATCTCTCTCTAGTCTCTTCCAATCTGGAACGTTTCCTCAGTATTTCCTTGACTTTCATGGCCTGGACAGTTTGTGTAGATTACAGCCAGTCACTGTAGAGAGGCTCTCCACTTGGGCCATGTCTTTTTCTCTGGATACTGTGATGATGATTGCAACCCATGCGGTGGCATGTTATGTCTAATTTGTCCTGTTACTGGTGGTGGTAACTTTGATCACTTGCTTAAGATGGTGTATGCCAGGTTTCTCTACCTGTCATGTTACCTGGTCCTCAGGAGGGACTTGATTAAATGCTGACTCATTACCCTCCCCTGCATTTCCTATGTAGCTTTTCTTTTTTGAGACAAGGTCTTGCTCTTTGCCCAGGCTGGAGTATACTGGCATCATTATCGCTCACTGCAGCCTCTTGGGCTCAAGGGATCCTCCTGCCTCAGCCTCTTGAATAGCAGGGACCACAGGCATGTGCTGCCACATCTAGCTTTTTTTTAGTTTTATTTTTTGTAGGCATGGGGCCTCCCTATGCTGCCCAGGATGGTCTCAATTCTTGGGCTCAAGCAGTCCTCCACCTTGGCCTCCCAAAGTGCTGTGATTACAGGAGTGAGCCACTATGCCAAGCCCCCTATATAGCTTTTTCGCCCTTCTCTCTCTGACTTTATGGGGACAGATCACTCAGAAGTGATAGTTGCTTGGAGGATCGAAATAATACATTTCTGATGGAAAACACATTTCTGGCTAGAAGTGGGCACAGGCATGGGGCTTCTGGGATGCTGATAATGTAACTTCCGATCTGAATGCTGCTTACACAGATATGTGAATTTATGAAAGTTCATTGAGCTGTTCTTTAGGATTTCTATACTTTTCCATATATGTCATCTTTTAAAAAATTACTAAAAAATTAAAGTCTGAGTGTTTTGGACACTTAAGACCAAAACAAGAAAGTGAGGAGGGTGATTGACCAAGACCTGGTTAGGGGTCGTGGTGTCTGAGATTCACACAGGGTTGGAACAGTGGTGGGGGTCTAGTGGGGAGGGTCCTGGAGACCCTCCCCTCTGTCTGGAGCACATCTGTCCTGGATGGTACCAATGTCTCTGAGGAGCAGGGAGTGGGGAAGCCCCAGCTTATCCTGGGGACTGCAGCAAGCAGGAGCCTTGGAAAAGGGCCCCCTGACAGGGGCAGCTGTTCCACTCCTCTTTGACATGAGAGACAAAGAGAATCCAGGCATATTCATGGAAGAGACAGCCTGTTTTCTAGAATGCCAGGTGTCAGAACTATCTTTCCTGAGTCTTCTGGAACTGCAGGCCTCTCAAAGGACTCTCAGTAAATCACCATGTTGCCAGATTTTCCACTTTACTCCCTTAGCTGTGGAACAAGTTGACTTGTGAGGTTGAAGGCCTTGCTGTGCTTTGGCAGTGACGGGAGGGAGGCAAATGAGGAGGTTTGACTCGGATGCTGTTAGAGGGAGTGATGAAGCCAAGAGCACCATTCTTAGCAGGGTTGGTGCCTTAGGGGTTATATTTTAATTAGCAATCTATCAATGCAGTGCTGAATAATTCAGAATTAACAAAAATCAGCCAAGGCCCCATGTGGTACTTCATATAAGTGCAATATAAATATCATAGAACCTGCCCTATGTGAAATTTAACAACTTTGTCTAATGGTTGATTTTATTTCTGAGTTGTTTTTTTAACCTAGACTGTCAGCCCCCAGGGCAGCAGTGGCCTTTATGGTGAATACATAGGTTTCTACAAATGATAGGAAAGTGTTTTTGCCTTACCCGTGGGGCCAGAGGGCAGATGGGCTTGGCTTGATTTATTTTGGGGACTTGAACATTCAGGTTTATATATTGCTTTAAAGAAATGGATGAAAGGAGCCCTAGGCATAGGAGATAATCTCTTGCCTATGGATCATTGCCTTTCTCAGCTGGGGAAGCTATGGAAGCAGGGGGAGAGGGCTTCTTGGAGGGAGATGGGCCTTAAACCAGATCCTAAACAGCCAGCAGGGTTTGGGTTAGAGGACAAATAGCTGGGAGAGAAAGCATGTCCATGACCTTTCATGGAGTCAGCCAGTTCTGATTTTTAGAGCAATTTGTCTTTTATAACTTATTTTTCATCTGTTTATAAATTGAGTTTCTAGAGGTTGGGACAGTTGATCAATCCTATCTACATTGAAGTGGCAGGTTGCATAATATGGATCAGAATGTGGAATGGAGTGGGGATGAATAGAAACAAATGTCGGTCCTTTATACCTGTCACTTATGAAACTTAAGCCTTCTTATTTGGGGTCAGTAATAGAAAGTCTTATGCCTTAAAGTACTTGGAGACATACAGTGAGGCTTGTGAAAGCACCCAGCACATTGCTTCATACATAGGGAGTGCTCAGTAATATCCTTTGAGTTTTCAAGTTGTGAATTTACACTAGTAGGCAGAAGTAGAAGGAGCCTTCTGCAATATACAGCAAGGATTTTCCTAAGGAAAGATGTAAGATTCTTTTGTCTTTGTTCAGACAGTGTACTATAGCCTTTTCCCAGCGGTGGCTTGCTTGCCAGAGGGGCAGTTGCTGAAAAGATGCTTAGGGAATTCAGTTAACTCGTTTAGATCTTTAATATCCTTTCCAGGGGAGTCTCTCTTTAAAGACTTTCCAGGCGTCTTTTATATTCACCTAAAAGATTGAAACCATTGATTCAGTATGTGCATTCAAGATTGGCAGTTCTTTCCAAATGCAGTAAAAATTGATATCCAAGATTGTGATCTTCATAAAGTAAAATGTTATATACTTGGTTACACTAAAGGTGGAAATGCTGTAGGTCTTATAGCTGGGAAAAGTAGTTGTAATTCCCCCTTCTTCTCAATCATGCATTGTGTTCCTCTCAGTGGTATTTTCCATATAAGACCTTTGACTCAACCTAATTTCCTGATGAGGAATCTTATGAAATCAAAACTTCAAACTGATAAATGGTTTCTTTTGGTAGGCGGGGGGTGGGGAGTGGCTAAGGAGGAATATTTTACTTTTTATTTTGTGTACTATGCAGCTTAAATTTTACTTTTTCAATGAGCTTGTGGTTTTTAAAATGAAAAAGTCCCAGTAAATTAAAGATAATGCTTTAAGGTCAACTGTAATAGCTTTAAGGTCTACTATAATAGCCTAGAATTGAGATGTACCAGCTTAGCTGTGTGTTATTGGGATGATGGATGTTTTGTAAACCTGATGTTTAAACAGAAGAGTTAGCAAATTTGCTTGCTTATGTCTATCTTTTCTGAGGTTTAACTAAAAAACTAAGCATGGCCATACCCAAAAATAATTTGGGCTGCTGTTACCAGTATTCAGGGCACAGAATGCTTAAGGTTTCAGATAGAATCTGGGGACAAGGTTAGGATGAGTTTACCTTAGTGCTTGTATAATGGGTGCAATTACCCATCAGTTAGGTGAACTCACCCTGAGGAATTGCTCATAAAATGTGTGGCAGGCAAGTCCTGAGGGCTTGATATGAAGGGCGTACTAACTAATACAGAGAACCCCCGCCTGCTCAATGGTGCTGGAGTGTACCTGGCATAAGGTGATGACTTTTCTGGTTGCTGAAAAAGGAGGACAGGAACAAGGTTTTGTATGAGTTGCCTGTCACTTTGGTGGGAGCATGCTTGACTGTGGGCAAACCATCCAAACCTTGAGGTGGAAGAGAGGCCTCTAACAGCCTTGTAACTAGAACTCTCTAATACCTTTTTTGACACAAATCTTGATACTGAGTGAATGTGATCCTGGGGAAGGAAAATCTAGCCCTGGTTTTCCAGTCAGGTTATCTTATCTTTCTTTCTCTCTTTCTCTCCTTCTTTTCTTCCTTCCTTCCTTCCTTCCTTCCTTTTTTTCTTTCAGACGGAGTCTGGCTCTGTCGCACCCAGGCTGGAGTGCAATGCCACGATCTCAGCTCACTGCAACCTCTGCTTCCTGGGTTCTAGTGATTCTCCTCCTTCAGCCTCCTGAGTAGCTGGGATTACAGGTGCACGTCACCATGCCCTGAGAATTTTTGTATTTTTAGTAGAGATGGGGTTTCATCATATTGGCCAGACTGGTCTTGAACTCGTGACCTTAAGTGATCCGCCTGCCTTGGCCTCCCAAAGTCATGGGATTACACGCGTGAGCCACTGTGCCTGGCCTTTCTTTATTTTTTGAAACACAGTCTTATGCTGTTGCCCAGGCTGGAATGCAGTGGCACAATCATGGCTCACTGAAGTCTCAGCTACCTGGACTCAAGTGATTCTCCCACCTGAGCCCAGATAGCTGGGACCATAGGCATCTGCCACCGTGCCTGGCTAGTTTTCCTATTTTTGGTAAAGATGGGGTTTTGCCATGTTGCCCAGGCTGTTCTCAAACTCCTGGACTCAAGTGATCCTCCTGCCTCAGCCACCCAGAGTCCTGGGATTGATTACAGGCATGAGCCAGCCACTGTGCCTGGCCCAGGTTATTTTAAAAGTGTTAATCAGTGGCATTCTGGTAGATGCATCTCTCCCCTGAGTTGATGACTAGTTAACTTTCCAGACTTGTAAACCTGCAGGTCAACCCTTGATTCTCTGTTGATTTTCCCCCAGCTGCAGTGAGGGGCCTGTGCCCAGCATATATAGATGCTCCAAAGCCCTGCCAGATACCAAATAAGCTGCGAACTCCTCCAGAAAGAAGAGCGTTGGTGGGACCTCCACAAAGTGATCTGTTGAGGGTGATAATGTGTCAACACTGAATACACTCCCAGTCTTGAGATTTCTTAACTCAACTTCAGCTCCAAGAAGGGACATTTTCTATTTTACTCTTATGATAGAAACCCAATTTTTAAGAAGCATCAGAGAACAATGAGAACATACTGACACAGGGAGGGGAACAACACACACTGGGGCCTGTTGGAGGGGTGGCAAGAGGGAGAGCATCAGGACAAATAGCTAATGTATGCAGGGCTTAATACCTACATGATGGATTGATAGGTGCAGCAAACCACCATGACACACATTTACCTATGTAGCAAACCTACACATCTTGCACATGTATCCTGACACTTGATTAAAAAAAAATCACAATTTGAAAATTTCTTTTTAATTAAATGGATTTAATTCCAGGGAGACATTGAGTCACAGATTCCAAATAATGTATGTGAATACCTTATCAAGGGGGCATTTCCCTTAAACAGAAGTTCTGTAAAGTGGGGGGATGGTCACAGATGTCAGTTACGCTGTGTTGGTGTGTGTCTTTCTCAGTAGACTCTATCTCATGGATAACTGGTAGATGGATTAGCAGCTTTGACAAAATAATGTCATTAGACAGGTTGGGATGGCTTGCTCTATTTGAAGAGAAGGCCACCCATAACAAGGCATATACTTAAGGAGGCCTGAAATAGAGTGGAAATGAGACCTGAGTCACTACTACATAAAGATCACTAAAGTACAAACAATAATGCGAAAGGCGCCCAAAGTTGGAGTAGCGAGTCTCCTGATGATGTAAGTTAAGAGGTTCGTGTGGGGAGCTTCTGTAGTCTTTGACTCCTGCATCAGGATAGCTACCTTGTCTAAAACCAGCACTAAAAACCACCTTATGTTATGCAGAAAAGAGACACTTAATTCCCTTGAAATATTCTTTGCCTGTAATGTTGTACCTCTGATAACTTGAACAATTTTTGATATTTTTCTTTTAAATAGAATTACATTCCTACCTAATGGCTAAAACATGAAGTTTATTAGGATTTAGACATGGATGGGATGTTTGAAGTCACCTGAACTGTCATTTGGGATCTCAGAGCAAATTAACATTTGCATAATGATTGTGCTTTCTCCTCTTTTGTTACTGCCAGCAAAATAATCACCTGGAGTCCAGGCAGGCATGGGAGGGGCCAGCTCCATGGGGTCCTGGTGCAGCTTGAACAAGTCTGGTTTGTGAGAAGCAGCTGGTCTCTGCTGAATGAAGCTGTTTCTGCCCAACTTGTTTTTAGGAGACTCTGGCCCAGAGACTACCTTTGTTAGGGAAGTTGCTCATGGACGCTATCAGGAATGCACTGCAGAAAATTTCCCACAGTATCCAGCACCTGGGCTGCTGGTGGGGCCTCATGGTATTGAAATAAGATAGGAGGAGAAACTAAGATTGTGTGCCCCAGGAGATTCATGCTGTTTCTGCCCAGAGCTGCAGCCAGGGGTTTCCCTTCTTCCTTAACGTGACAGGTAGAAAAAGTAAAAAGCCATTGCTTATGAAATCTGCAGGGCTGGGCTGATGTGGTGATGGAGGGGAAAACTGGAACATGAATGGTGCCCTTGTTTGCCCCTCTCCTGGGAGAGTGGAGGGTACCACCCTGACATGAACGAGCCGAGCTCTCTCCCCACTGCAAGTTCTGTATGTCAGGGTGGATTAATTCGTGTGCATGACTTTTTCCCTTTTGGAGAGTGATGAGGTGGCAGTATGGGGAGGAAAAAGGAAAAAATATTAGCAGGCTTGGTTGGGCTTTGCATTCACTGGAGGTCTGTCTACATGAGGTCATGAATCATCTTGTGTCTTGGAAAGCTGGCAACCTTGGTAGCAATTCATTTCAGAAGATCTGCTGATAGTACTATACTTCACGAAGTCATTTTTGTTATTAGCTACAGTTGCATGAACACAAACAAAAATCATTGAAATGTAAAACATGACTGCCTCAACCAGTTTGTAAAAGGAGGTCTCCATCAAGGACACTTTGCTTAGCTGATAGGTGTGGCTCCGAGTAGCTTGGAATGTGGGAGGGAGATGCCGCTGTGACAGGGCTGGAATGGACGGGATGGGGAGGCATCAGCTGTGAGGTGCTGTGTAGCTGAAAGATTTGTTGCCTGATCTTTTTGGGCAGTACTGTGCTGACCTCTGGGTTGCAGATGGTGCTGCCTCAGAAAGGTTGGCACAGTGCAGCACTTAGAGGCAGTGGATTCTGTGTAAACAGTTGATGATCATATCTGATGTGCCTCAGTGCCAGCACTGTGAAGAAATGTGCATTAGTGGATAATGTGATGTGGTCGAGGGCTCAGGGCCGCCCAGTTTGCTTTTGGAATATGCCAAAGATGTCCTGATGAGCCAACATTCTGGTGTTCTCTCCCCTCATCAGTTACAGGAGGCTGTGACCAAGCATCGTTGGCAATCTCATGGAAAATACGCTCTTTGAAGAAAAGAGTTGTCTATCAGGAGGCTGAACTTGCTGGTAGATCAGCACAGTCCTTCCAAATTTTTCAACAAATTAGATGTTTTACTGCTTCCCTTAACTTTTGGTATCAAAAACTGGGCGCCGGGATTCCTATCAGGAGTGGTAATGATGTTTTGAAAATATGCTAGCACTTGGCAGGAATTTGCTTGTGGGTAGGGAGGGAGGGAGGGATGGTTCAGGATTCTGAAGGCTACTTTCCTCACACTATATTGCTGTTGGAGAATGTTGATATGCAGAAATACATTTTAGAACCCCATTTGAAGACTGAGTTTGGGCCATGCAGAACAGTTTGAGAAATAGCTTTTTCTTTAAGATTGGAGCACAGGGGAATTGGAGAATGTAGTGACCTCATCTTGCAAGACAGACCTCTTCCCTGCCTTCTGGGAAATACCACTACTGAGGGAGTGGCTGTTGGCCATCTGCGTTGCACGCAGGTACCTATGTAACCACTTCCATGAACAAAAAAGTGGATGCCAAACCAGTTTAGCAAAAAGCTGGTGGCCCTGCCTTTGGCTAGGTTCCTCAGCCTCCCCAGCTTCCTGAATGGGGCATCTTTGAATTCTCAAAAACTCATGCTGTTTTTCCCCTAGCAGCTTTCTCCCTCTGCCTTTGCTTTGGCTGTCACAGTCCCTGACTTTGCTTCAGGGCAGCAGGGAGGGGCTCCTGCCTTAGAGTTGTGTTTTGCAGTGTTCAGGAACCTGGGACTCTTGTCCATGTTTCCTGGTTGCCCCATAGTGGGGACTCTGTCTAGAACCTGATTGTCTTGGAGGATGCTTTCTAAGGGTCACTGATCCTTCTGCTTCAGGGTCTGAGGGAGACGGAGGTAGTGGCTGTAGCTAGCAGGGTCGGGCTGCATGTTGTCTTCTGATATTTCAGGGGAAGAGAGAATGTGGTAAGAGCAGTGACTCCTGTGCCCCCCCACCCCGCCCCGAAACCCTAGTCCTTTCTGCCCATTTCCTCTAAATTCCTTCAGTGTCTGGGGTCTAGTCACAATTTGGTGTTTAGGTATAGTCCCCCCACTCCCTTAGAGGGGAGCGGTCCTTCATGGTTTTGTGTGTTTTGTTTGTTTTTGAGACAGTCTCGCCCTGTTGTCCAGACTGGAGTGCAGTGGCACTATCTTGGTTCACTGCAACCTCCACCTCCCAAGTTCAAGTGATTCTCATGCCTCAGCCTCCTGAGTAGCTGGGATTACAGGCATGTGCCACCATGCCCGGCTAATTTTGGTATTTTTAGCAGAGGTGGAGATTCACCATGTTGACCAGGCTGGTCTCAAACTCCTGACCTCAGGTGATCTGCCTGCCGTGGGCTCCTGAATTGTCCTTCATTGTTTAATGTGAGTTAATCTCTTTTTCTAAGCCAGGTTGTGAGCTCCACAAGGGACAACTGCAACTTTGAGCTTTGTGTCCAGCCCCCAATACTGAGCCCTGTACTACAAGGAGGACACAAGCTGAGGGTGGCCTTGAGAGCCCAGGACAGGGCGGGAGTTGGGAAATTAACGTGGGAGAATGGCCGCAGTGTTTCAGGGCTTTTCTGAGGAGAGAATGAGCTCAGAATGGGCTGCTGGTGGCTGAGGGGTGGGTGTTGGACAGGAATGCAGTCTCCACACAGTTCTGAACTGTGTAGGGAATCGAGAGTGGAGGGACTAGGGGAGTTGATATGTGCTGAGGATTTCCTTTGGGCTAGGCCCTAGGATTGTGTCTACTCTCACAGCGGTCACAACTAGGATGAGTGGGTGAAAGTTTCAGGGAGATGGATTCTAGCTCAATCTGAAGACACAAGTTTCAGGTGACCCAGAGTGGCCCCCCAAGCCACCCCCCGACCCTCTCATTGCTGGAGGTGTTCACATATGGCTACCTGACCTTTCATGGGGAATGTGTGCCAGCTCTGTGGCTTGTCCCCAGGAACACAGTCGGCTGGAGGACTGTCCTTTTCTGAAGTCCTTACTTTGGGGGGCAGTTAAAATGTCTGTTCTTGTGGAGAATGTTGCTGATAGTCTCTGAAATTAAGTAAATATTAACTGGTCCACAGAACCCCCGAGTCAGGGAACCTCTGCTTTCCATCATCTGATAGAGAACTGGGTTTTACCCAAGATCCATCTGTAAGGCTCCTTTCAATACTGAGATCCTCCAGCTGTGGCCTCTGACCTTAGAGAGTCTGCTCCACAGCCTTGCCCTCTGCAGATGACAGCAGAACATTAAGAAAAGCCACCCACATAGAGTTTTCGAGAGAGCAGCTACCCTCACTGACCCTACGTTAGGGTCATAGGTGCACCCGGGCAGCCCCGTTGTTTCTGCTTCCATGCTTACGGTGGATATTCTTGCTTGGTGTTTTATCATCCGCTGGGAAGTGTTGACTGTGGTACGTTGTGCGTGTTAGCATGTGGTCCCATGGACAGAGGGGAGCCATTTGCACCCCTGGCCATGCCATCACGTCTGCGTGAGTACTGTCCAACTTGTGACTCTCCAGGATCCAGTGTTGCTACGTTGTTCATGTGGAGCGTCTGTGTGCCTGTGCCTGTTCTGCAAGGGAGGGTGAGGGTTGGGCAGCAGGGTTCCTGCCATCTGAAGCTCAGTCTTGGATAGGGCAGCAGCAGCACAGGCAGTGCCACACGGAATGTGCAGCATGATATCAGTGGCGTGGGGGTGCTGGGGAGGATGCAGGAGGAGACTAAACAGTGGAACGTGAAGACCTTGAGTAACAAACACTGGGAGAGAGGGGAGCTGGTTGCTGGCGGCGTGGGGCATCATAGAGGCCTGGAGGTGCGGGATGGCAAAGGGACTTTTTCTTAGAATAGAAGATTCCTTTTGGGACAGTTGGGAGACAAGTCTGTGGGGGAGGATTTGGGATTTGACATGATGTGGGCAGAGAAAGCCACTGTGAGCATGAGAAGCACGGTGGCCTGGGGGCTGCAGAGCACCTGGAGCTGGGAGCTTTAGTTGACTGCTCTCCCGTGGGTGACTGAATGTCACTAACGTCTCTCAGCTTGAGTTTCCTGGGTTGTATATTTAGGCCCAGCCTGGGAAAGATGGGTGTGAGGGTTGAAGAAGGTAATAAACATGTGAAAGCTCCTTGAACATGCCAGGGGATTGGTATCTGAGAGATTTTCTGCAGGGGTTGAAATAATCAAATATCAGAGTTAGAAAGTAGAGGAAAGCATATTTTCTTTGATGGCAGAGGGGTGGCAGTTGGCGGGGGCGTAAATCAGTTGCTTCAACCTTTGCATGATTTCTTAGGAGTCAGGAGATCTTCCCTGGGTTAACTGTGGGTTTGGTTAACCTTTGAGGCTGGCTGTGCACCTTCTCAACTAGGTCTGTTTATTTTCAGAAGTGATTGACAGCTCTGGACAAACCTGTTTGACTTCTCTGGGAGTCTCCCCAGGATAACGAGTTTAAACCTTTGTCTCTCATGGTTGTTAGTCTTCATGCATGAAAGGAGCTGTAGAATTTGCAGGGCTTTGTGCAGCCTGCTCTCATTTGGAAGTGTCCATTAATAATGATAACGGCAAACATCGTGGTGTAGGGTAGCACAGGCGTAGATTCATGTTTAATCTAGAGGACTTCATGGTAATCCATACACATTATCATTCTTACCCCATCATCAGATGCTCAACAGCTTTCCACAATGTGCCAGGAGGTTGATAACTGTAGCTCCTGCCTCAGAGAACACCGGCTCCTTAGGGAGACCATAATGGGGCATGTTCTGGATTGGGAGCCAGGGAACTGGCATTCTCATTTTAGTGTCCTCAACAATGGACTCTGACTTTGGAAAAAATATGTCACCTCCTTGGGCCTTGGGTTTTTCACTTGCAAATAAGGATTTTGGGCCAGGTGATTTTGAAGGGTGTTCTCAGGTCCTTTCCACAGTATGGGATTTTGTGATTGTCCATGTACAAATGCATCACATGATGAAATTTAACTATGTACATGAGCAATACATGTAAGAGCTAGGAATCCACGCAAGGAAAGATATTAATAATTGTGGGTCCTGAGGGTCAGAAATGGCGCTTCCAAGAAGGTAAAAATGTAGATGAAAAGTCCAGATATCTGCATAAAAATAGGGAATGGAGGCTCACCTGCTAAGTCATATTAGGTATATGAAAGAGTGGCGTTGGTTAGGGGTTCTGAGGTCCTTGGCAGCATCCATGTGAGCTCATTGGGAGATCCAGGGATCTTCCATCTATTTCTTCTTTGTGCCATAATTACTTGAGTATCTGTGAAGCCAGACACTATTTCTGCTTTAGACATGTGGCCCCAAGAAGACCTTACTATATAAAAGTAATACAGCTTGCTTATTGATGACTCCAAACTCATTATTTGCTGGATCCCTCTCTCCTGGTCCCTGTAATCATTTAAGGTTTTCAGGGAAATGCCTTCGTGTGCCCACTTCCACCTTAGATGTGCTCCTGCCATCCTCTGCTTCCACCCATAAAAAATCAGTATTTAGTTGTGTGATCACATTTCGTCACATACAGTAAAACCTCCCAAATTTTACTTGTAGAGTTCCAGTGAGTTCTGGTTGAACAAGTATATGGATCTTGGTTTTTAAAATATTCTCAATTGTTTTTGAATTTCACCATTATTTAAGTGCTTATTCTATTCCAGGCATTGGGTAGGCATTTGTAAACACAAGACATGGTTTTGGCCCTCATACATCTTATGATCTAACAGGAGAGACAAACATTAAATCACCACACAGGTAAATGTTAAGAGCATCAGTTTGCTGGGCACTGGTGAAAATGAACAGGATGGTGCAAGACTAACGGGGCCACATTTTGTATTTTAGATTTGAGATCAACTTGACCTCTCTGAGAAAGCAAAGGATGAGAAGCAGCAGCTAGTGAGGAAAAAGGGCTTGGCTGGAGTTGGGGAGAAGAGAAATGTGGCTGGAGCTGAGAGAAAAGCCAATGCAAAGGCCCAGAGGCAGGAAAGGGCTTGACAGGTTGGAGGAACTGGAAGAAAGGTCAAAGGGATCGGACTGTTAGAAATTATAGGGGAGCGTTTGAGAGAGGTTGGAAAGAGACCCGGGTCAGATCACATAGGATATTTTGGTGGTTAGAATTTTAGATTTTATCCCATATTCAAAGGATATCCAGGCCGAGGTAGATGAATCACCTGAGGTCAGGAGTTCGAGACCAGCCTGGCCAACATGGTGAAACCCCATCTCTACTAAAAATACAAAAATTAGCTGGGCATGGTGGCAGGCACCTGTAATCCCAGCTACTTGGGAGGCTGAGGCAGGAGAATCACTTGAACCCAGGAGGTGGAGGTTGCAGTGAGCCGAGATCACGCCACTGCACTCCAGCCTGGGCGACAGAGCGAGACTCCGTCCCCCCACCTCCCCACCCCCAGCCAAAAAAAAAAAACAAAACAAAAAGGATATCCATTGTTGATTTCAAAGAGGGGAGAGACACAATTCACTATAGATTTAATTATTCTGTCAGTGTTTTGAAGGATGACCTGGGGGAGGGTGGGTGTTGAGGTAGAGAGTTACAGGGGATCAGTGTGGCTCAGGTAAGAGATGATGCTGGCATGGACTTCATTGGTGACAGTAGCGTTGGATAAAGTTGAATGGATTTCATGTGTACATTGAAGGTCGAAATGATGGCACTTAGTGTGATGGCTGGGATGGGAGAGGTGTCAAGACTGACTTCTAGCTTTTAGTTCTATCATCAAAATGGAAAAGTTACATGTAAGATACACTGTTAAAATTCTTTCCTAGAATGTATTGGGCTACCTTTATGCTTTTTTGTACCTAAGAAAGTGGAGCTAAAGAAAATAGCTTCCTTTGGATGTGGGTCTGTATTAGTCTGTTCTCACACTGCTAATAAAGACATTCCCGAGACTGGGTAATTTATAAAGGAAAGAGGTTTTTTAATTGACTCACAGTTCAGCATGGCTGGGGAGGCCTCAGGAAATTTACAATCATGGCTGAAGGGGAAGCAAACACGTGCTTTGTCACATAATGGCAGGAAGGAGAAGTGCTGAGCCAAAGGGGGAAAAGCCTCTTATAAAACCATCAGATCTCATGAGAACTCACTATCAGAAAAACAGAATGGGGGAAACTGCTCCCATGATTCAGTTATCTCCACCTGGTCCCTCCCGCAACACGGGGGGATTATGGGAACTATAGTTCAAGATGAGATTTGGGTGGGGACACAGCCAAACCATATCAGGGTCTTAGCATCTTGAAACAGTAATCTTACTGTACTTGTTCTGTAGATGAAAATGGCATAGGAGAGGTGTTGAGTGTGCAAATACTGGATGTTCCCTAGAAGTTGATTTTAAATATGAATGTATTTTCTTTTAATCCATATTGCTTGTGGAAGTCCAGTGGCCTGGTCCTGGTTAGTTGGGTTGTGGTTAATTGAGATTTTACTTTAAATTGGAACAATCCAAAGGATTTATGTGGGTGTGGTCCCAGAAAAAGTGTAGGACCTTGCTAGAATGTCATTGTGCACGACTGTGGCAGGCCACCATTTTTCTCCTTAGGATCCTGGAACAGCAAGAAGTTAAGTCCTCTAGTTCATCTTCTTGACCTATTAGTGTTAAAGGACTTGAAGTTAACTTTTGAAAACCAAACTTATGTTGAAGTCATCTTCGGTGCCACTGTGACATTTCATAAAGCACTTTTGGATCTTGGTTTGTAGTGGTTACTGAGATTCTTTTTAGTGCTCAGAAATTCCTAGTTCTCACTAACCGATCAGAAAGAGAATTGCTTTTCTGATTGGTAAAAAGACAATTGCCAAGTCTTACTTGAACACACTTAGCTTTTTCCTCTTCCTTTTTGCATCTACTCTGGTAGAGGAAATAGCATGAAACAACTCACTTGCCTGTTGGGAGTGCCGGGCAAAACAATTTAATGACTCTTCTCTGACTAAATTGAGAGTCAGGTCTTTTTGATTAGCATGTAGATAAACTGCTGCAAGGTAGTTAGAAGCAGTGATGGTTGTTCAATCCTTAGGAAGATTTTTTTGTTTTTTATCTCAAAATACTGAGGGTGAAATGAATGAAATCTTTTACTCAAGGATTACCAAGATAAGTACCTGGTTAAATACCATTTGTAGTTCTTTTAAATCATATTCTAATATGGGTCATATTTTAAAAGATGATAGTAGAATAAAGAATACATAACTTTAACCACTGTTCTTACCAATTCTTCATTCTACGAATGAGCTATATATTAGTTAAAGGCATAATATAGTGGAGGAGATGACTCCTGGTTCACTATAACTGTGTGAAGTGAGGCCTGGTTGTTTGTGCCACGTAGCTGCCTCGTACCTGGAGTGGTTGCAGCTACTATTTATGGAAGGTCTCCCTGTACTGGAAACCTTACGTATGTGAACCCATATAAATTTGAAAAACAAGTTGTTGTTTTTTAACAGCTATTTTTCAAATTTGTCCGAGTTAAAACCACTAGAAGAAGAGTTGCAACTGAGATGGTTTGTCTGCTCTAAAGCAGGCCTTTTTAGTCTGTGGTGCTACCTTGTGTAACATGAAAAATACCTTGAAGGCAAACAGACTTTTTTGAGTGCTGCTTTGTAAACCTAAGTCTGTAACATAACAGCCAATGTCAGGTAGGACTCCAGCAAAACTGCCTTGCACAGGAGAGTATCTACCTGATTTTAAAGGATTTTTCAGAGAAGGAAGCTTGAACCCCTCTTCTGACCATTCATTCCAGGGCCCTAAAGCCCTTGTGCTAGGAAAGTCTTCCTTATGACTAATTCCAGTCCCTCCCACCTCAGTGTCATCCTGTCCCAATTAGAAGTGCTTGTTGAACAAGCTAATGGACTATTAATCTGCATTTTTGCTTGTCAAGCATATTGCACTAAATGCCCTCATGGTGCTTCCAGATAATAGGTAACAAATGTGAACTCGAATGTGCTTCTGTGGAATAGAAGCAGGATATTACACAATTGAGGACTTTGCCCATGCTCTTTGAATTCCATCTTGACATTACTACTCAACCTGTATCTTCCCTTCCCCAATATGCAGGTAGGCTTAGACAAATCCCGTACCAATCAAAGAAGGCATGGTGGAGCATTAACTGTTCTTAAAATTAGAGGAGCCAGATTTAGTGTGCAAAGAAGAAACTCTTGACTTCAATGTTGTGAGGTCATGGATTGTCTTTTCTTGTCATTGACTTTTTTGGGTGGGGGATAAGCTTTAAAAAAATCACACAATATGATCTTGCAAAAATCAAACAATATAGAAATCTCTAAGATAATGAGTGAAAGTCCCTCCTTGCCTTACCTTTCTCCAATCCTTCTTTCTTTCTCAGAGGTAGCCACTGCTATTCTCTGGGCACATACCACCTACATACAGACCTACACACATACACAAGTGTGAAGATGTATGTTACATAGAGAAGGCTTTGGGAGGTCAATTGTGGAGCCTTGGCCAAGGCAGAGAAGGGTCCTGTGTGTTGAGAGCCCAGGAAGTCTAATGGCCATTGTGGAGATCAGTGTCTTCAGCTTCATTGGCATCTTCCTGATCATGTGCAGCCAGACCATTATAAATTACAGGTGGTGGAGAGGTGCCCAGAGGCTCCAGGGGTGGGGAGCAAGGACACTGCAGTCTTAGACACAGACTATCCCCACTCACTCACTCACTGGTGTCGTCACTCACTCGCATCCCCGCTCGCTCACTCACTCACTCACTTCCCCACTCAAGGGTAGAGTTGATTTTATTTCCATAAAGAAAGTGAGGCCGGGCACAGTGACTCACGCATGTAATCCCAGCACTTTGGGAGGCTGAGGCGGGCAGATCACTAGAGGTCAGGAGTTCAAGACCATCCTGGCCAACATGGCGAAACCCTGTCTCTACTAAAAATACAAAAATTAGCCAGGCGTGGTGGCATGCACCTGTAGTCCCAGCTATTCTGGAGGCTGAGCAGGAGAATCGCTTGAACCCGGGAGGCGGAGGCTGCAGTGAACCGATATCGTGCCACTGCACTCCAGCCTGGTGACAGAGCAAGACTCCATCTCAAAAAAAGAAAATGAAATATTTCTCCCATGTCTCATGCTGCTTGTGCTTATAAATATATAAGAATAGATTCCATCTACTAGGAGCGTCTTACATTCCAAGTCATGCCTCACTGTTAACACTGACATCTCTTGTTGCACAGGGGATCCTTCCTAGCTTGAAAGTCACTATTTTGAAGTTAACACTTGGAGCACTGAAGTCTTATGCCTTTTAGAAGACATCCTTATTTTCAATCTTTGAAACATTGAACATGACCCAAATCTTATTGCAATTAGTGTATATAGTACGAACGTGCCACATCTTACTGGGTAAGCTGGAATTTAACTTGGGTGACTAATTGTGCCACAGGACATTGATTAGTCTTGGGAAAGATCTACCTGGGAATCCAAATTTCCTGCTTTATATAGCTATGTCAATAAGACAGCCACCTGAAATCTGCATGAATATACCAGCAGTAACTTTAGTTTGATTTCCTGCATTTTTCACAAGGAAAATAAATTCTAGTTGTTACTTGCCTGAAGGGTGGAATCTATTATAGAATTCACCAATATATGAACAAGGGACATGTGTTTCTTTTCAGTGTGATTTTTTTTTTTTTTTTTTTTTTAGTTTTGAGAATACATACTATTTCTTTTAATGAACACCAAAAAATATACAATCATAGTTTTTGTTTACTCTTTGTAGGTTTTAAGAACCCCAATATCAGAACTTAGGAAATGGTTATTTTAGCTTTCCTGGGTTTTAAAATCAAAATATAAAAAAAGTCATAATAAAGTACATTAGGCAGGTTTCTTAGGCCAGTTGGGCCTGCATGTTAGTGGCTGTATGAATTGATTACCTGCTCTCATGTTGTAGTTCTTATGTGGCAAAGCTTGTGATGTCAAGACCTGTGGGTTGTCTTTAATATGTGATTGGGATAATGGAGTATGCTTTTCAAACTCTCTTCTGGTACCCATTCTCAGAGGTTTTGGTAAATTCTGAAATAAAAATCACCAAAAAGTTGTCCTTTGGAATCATGCTGAAAGCAGTAGCACATTTACTAGAGTTTGTCATCTCTCACCTGTCTTAATATAGAAAGGACGACTTTAGTTTCTTAACCCAAACTGATCATCCCAGAATATCCTGCTCAGATTTCATTCAGGGAGTGCCCTCGTTGTGGGTTAAGCCCCTAAACACCTAAGGAAACCTATGAAATTCTGTGAAGCAGCTTATGCTTTGTGATTAGGCAGGTGGCTTTAATTATTGCCTGCCACCTCAGCAGAAAACACGGGGTGGGGGAGGCACCATTGGGACTCGGGATCAGTAGGCTGTGCTTTTCACGAAGGCCTGTGAATCAAACTGCTGTATAATGTATTGGTCTTTGGCTGAGGAATTGTGGTCCAGAGAGGATTTAATCTTTGATGACTCAGCACTCTTGTTTACGTAATTCATTTCCGTCATCTCTCTCACTGTGCCCCCAGCCATCTTGGATCAAAGTCAAGGAAGGATCTGAACGGGGCGGATGTTCCCCCAGGATGTAGGCTCTCTGGGCTGCAGGTCTTGTGCATCCCTGGAGCGGGAAGGCAGGCTGAGGAAGCTGGAACCCAGGAGTGGTGTGATTTGGGGTGGACCCTGCCCCCAAAGAAATGGGTAAGATCACCACGATTCCAAGGGACCAGCTCAGAGAACTCATCCTCACTCACATCCTTTGAACATCCGAGTACAGACTCCAGGGAGCCAAAACAGAATTCTCTGATACAATACAATCCTAGCTGTGTTTAGGCTTAAAAAAAAAATTCAGTGTTTTAGAAGAAGGGAAACTAGTGTATATATATACTTTTTCTAGAGCCAAGCATTTTTCTTGCATAGTTTAATGCACATAACAATGTGTTGTAGTTTATCCCAATTTTAT
This sequence comes from Homo sapiens, assembly GCF_000001405.40. NCBI lineage: Eukaryota > Metazoa > Chordata > Mammalia > Primates > Hominidae > Homo > Homo sapiens. The sequence goes on along the minus strand of NC_000018.10, from coordinate 50,151,580 downwards.
AAGTGATGAAACTCTTAGAGCCATACAGTTAGAAAGTGATGGAGTCTTTATTTAAACCTACATTTTTCTGACATAAAAGCCCACCCCTATCCAAGAAGGCTTTGAATAGTAGAAATTTAAGATCATATTTATATCATGATCCTTCAAATTTAGACCCTTCATGAGGGTGCTGAGACCCAGAATGGCTCAAGGACCACCTCAAGTTGACATCTTCTCCTTGGTCACAGAATTGGGGAAGAACTGAGTGACGTGCAGTCAGTCCACTGTTCTCAGGAAGAACTTGTGGTGGGCTATAGTATGATGGAAATTCTTTATCCTTGGAATTTCAGACTAGCTGCTAACTCTGAACTACAAAGCCTTGGTACATGTATTTTTCAGAACTGTTTTTTCCTGTGGGAGTGGGATTAAAAACAATAAGAAGCAAAAGTGACCTTTGGAGTAAAAAGGAAGCCAATGTCTCTCATCACCACATTTAGGGAAGGACCAGAAGCTTGACCCAAGAGACAGCATCCCAGCTAGGCATCCAGGAGGACAGAGGAAGGCTCCTGAGAGCTGGCCTTGAAGAGTTAACCTTTAAAACTGATGGACACACTTGCTAGTGACTATGACCATTTAGGGGCAGAGGCCTTGCCTGTGTGAAGAGAGGTGTGCCAGGGGAGCATTGAGTATGGAGCTGTGACTGTAGCTTTATTTTCAGCTATATGTTGTGGCTTCCACTGCCCTATTTTTCTTTTCTTTTTTTTTATTATTATACTTTAAGTTTTAGGGTACATGTGCACAATGTGCAGGTTAGTTACATATGTATACATGTGACGTGCTGGTGCACTGCACCCACTAACTTGTCATCTAGCATTAGGTATATCTCCCAATGCTATCCCTCCCCACTCCCCCAATCCCACAACAGTCCCCAGAGTGTGATGTTCCCCCTCCTGTGTCCATGTGTTCCCATTGTTCAATTCCCACCTATGAATGAGAATATGCGGTGTTTGGTTTTTTGTTCTTGCGATAGTTTACTGAGAATGATGATTTCCAATTTCATCCATGTCCCTACAAAGGACATGAACTCATCATTTTTTATGGCTGCATAGTATTCCATGGTGTATATGTGCCACATTTTCTTAATCCAGTCTATCATTGTTGGACATTTGGGTTGGTTCCAAGTCTTTGCTATTGTGAATAGTGCCGCAATAAACATACGTGTGCATGTGTCTTTATAGCAGCATGATTTATAGTCCTTTGGGTATATACCCAGTAATGGGATGGCTGGGTCAAAAGGTATTTCTAGTTCTAGATCCCTGAGGAATCGCCACACTGACTTCCACAATGGTTGAACTAGTTTACAGTCCCACCAGCAGTGTAAAAGTGTTCCTATTTCTCCACATCCTCTCCAGCACCTGTTGTTTCCTGACTTTTTAATGATTGCCATTCTAACTGGTGTGAGATGGTATCTCATTGTGGTTTTGATTTGCATTTCTCTGATGGCCAGTGATGGTGAGCATTTTTTCATGTGTTTTTTGGCTGCACAAATGTCTTCTTTTGAGAAGTGTCTGTTCATGTCCTTCGCCCACTTTTTGATGGGGTTGTTTGTTTTTTTCTTGTAAATTTGTTTGAGTTCATTGTAGATTCTGGATATTAGCCCTTTGTCAGATGAGTAGGTTGTGAAAATTTTCTCCCATTTTGTAGGTTGCCTGTTCACTCTGATGGTAGTTTCTTTTGCTGTGCAGAAGCACTTTAGTTGAATTAGATCCCATTTGTCAATTTTGGCTCTTGCCATTGCTTTTGGTGTTTTAGACATGAAGTCCTTGCCCGTGCCTGTGTCCTGAATGGTAATGCCTAGGTTTTCTTCTAGGGTTTTTATGGTTTTAGGTCTAACATGTAAGTCTTTAATCCATCTTGAATTGATTTTTGTATAAGGTGTAAGGAAGGGATCCAGTTTCAGCTTTCTACATATGGCTAGCCAGTTTTCCCAGCACCATTTATTAAATAGGGAATCCTTTCCCCATTGCTTGTTTTTCTCAGGTTTGTCAAAGATCAGATGGTTGTAGATATGTGGCATTATTTCTGAGGGCTCTGTTCTGTTCCATTGATCTATATCTCTCTTTTGGTACCAGTACCATGCTGTTTTGGTTACTGTAGCCTTGTAGTATAGTTTGAAGTCAGGTAGCATGATGCCTCCAGCTTTGTTCTTTTGGCTTAGGATTGACTTGGCGATGTGGGCTCTTTTTTGGTTCCATATGAACTTTAAAGTAGTTTTTTCCAATTCTGTGAAGAAAGTCATTGGTAGCTTGATGGGGATGGCATTGAATCTGTAAATTACCTTGGGCAGTATGGCCATTTTCACGATATTGATTCTTCCTATCCATGAGCATGGAATGTTCTTCCATTTGTTTGTATCCTCTTTGATTACATTGAGCAGTGGTTTGTAGTTCTCCTTGAAGAGGTCCTTCATGTCCCTTGTAAGGTAGATTCCTAGGTATTTTATTCTCTTTGAAGCAATTGTGAATGGGAGTTCACTCATGATTTGGCTCTCTGTTTGTCTGTTATTGGTGTATAAGAATGCTTGTGATTTTTGTACATTGATTTTGTATCCTGAGACTTTGCTGAAGTTGCTTATCAGCTTAAGGAGATTTTGGGCTGAGACAGTGGGGTTTTCTAGATATACAATCATTTCATCTGCAAACAGGGACAATTTGACTTCCTCTTTTCCTAATTGAATACCCTTTATTTCCTTCTCTTGCCTAATTGCCCTGGCTAGAACTTCCAACACTATGTTGAATAGGAGTGGTGAGAGAGGGCATCCCTGTCTTGTGCCAGTTTTCAAAGGGAATGCTTCCAGTTTTTGCCCATTCAGTATGATATTGGCTGTGGGTTTGTCATAGATAGCTCTTATTATTTTGAGATACGTCCCATCAATACCTAATTTATTGAGAGTTTTTAGCATGAAGGTTGTTGAATTTTGTCAAAGACCTTTTCTGCATCTATTGAGATAATCATGTGATTTTTGTCTTTGGTTCTGTTTATATGCTGAATTACATTTATTGATTTGCATATATTGAACCAGCCTTGCATCCCAGGGATGAAGCCCACTTGATCATGGCGGATAAGCTTTTTAATGTACTGCTGGATTCGGTTTGCCAGTATTTTATTGAGGATTTTTGCATCAATGTTCATCAAGGATATTGGTCTAAAATTCTCTTTTTTGCTTGTGTCTCTGCCAGGCTTTGGTATCAGGATGATGCTGGCCTCATAAAATGAGTTAGGGAGGATTCCCTCTTTTTCTATTGATTGGAATAGTTTCAGAAGGAATGGTACCAGTTCCTCCTTGTACCTCTGGTAGAATTCGGCTGTGAATCCATCTGGTCCTGGACTCTTTTTGGTTGGTAAGCTATTGATTATTGCCACAATTTCAGCTTCTGTTATTGGTCTATTCAGAGATTCAACTTCTTCCTGGTTTAGTCTTGGGAGAGTGTATGTGTCGAGGAATGTATCCATTTCTTCTAGATTTTCTAGTTTATTTGCATAGAGGTGTTTGTAGTATTCTCTGATGGTAGTTTGTATTTCTGTGGGATCGGTGGTGATATCCCCTTTATCATTTTTTATTGTGTCTATTTGATTCTTCTCTCTTTTTTTCTTTATTAGTCTTGCTAGTGGTCTATCAATTTCCACTGCCCCATTTTTCACATCCGCTAATGCTGGTAACAGTTTCTGCCTCCTGTTTACCTCACAGGATCCCAGGATTTGGCAAGGTAGTTGCTTATTGAGCTCCTTAGAAAGCAGGTTCCTTAATATTTAGTGTTTAGGGAGTGTGCAGGCACTGGAGAGAGATGAGGGATAGAGTAGGGCCTTTATACAAAAGAGTTTCGGTGAGGTCAGTGAGGTCACTGGGGCCAGGCTCAGGAACGGTCTTGTATGCTACCGAAGATGTTAGGATTTTAGTTAAAGCCATGGAAAGCCATAATGGGATCTTAAATTTGATTTCATCACTAGAATGGGCACAATGTCTGTTTTGCTGACAGCTGTATCCTCAGGGCCTAGAATAGTGTCTGGCACAAAGTAGTTGCTCAGTGAAGACTGAATGAATGAGTGAATTTCTTCAGCTTCATGTGTTAAACAAATCCATGTACCCTGTGGCGGCTGGACTGGAGGCAGAGAGTACTGGAAGAAGGGGTGCTAATCAGGAGGTCACTGCAGTAATTCAGGTGACTGTGGACAGGGCAGTGGCAGGGATTAGAGGAGAAACCTGCTTTGGGAGAGAGGTTCCAGAAAGACCTTCAGACTCACTGGGTGTGGCAGGTGAAGGGAGCGAGCTAAGGGTGACTCCTAGGATCCTGACTTGGGTAGTTGGAAGAAGAGAAGCCACTGTGGGGAAGATGAAGGCTCTGAAAGGCGTGTTGGGCTGAGAAGCTTGTGGAACAGGGTAGGGTTGGCCTGTGAGCTTTTGGACATACTGTTCTAGAGCTCAAGAAGGCAGTCCAGGCTGGAAATAAGGGTTAGGGATTCATGAGGGATCAGGTTGAAATGGAAACTGTCTGTAAGGAGACAAGATGGTGACCACTGGTAGAACCCTGTGAAGTGTGATGCTCCTTATGGGACAGGGAAAGAATTTATGTGGGCGATTGGAGGGCAGTGAAAAATACTCTGAGGGGGACAGGGAGTACAGAATTATACGAAAAGCCTGCCCTTTCTCTACCCCCACTTCCAGAAGTACCTGCAGAAGACATTTTGTCCTATATCCTTCCAGCTATTTTCTGTGTCTACACAACGCTAAATACGTAAGTTTTTTATTTTTACCCAAATGGATTACACTTTGTTCACATCCTCTTTAAGAGTCTGATTCACAGAGAAGAACATCTAAAGAGATCGCAAAATACAGGTTGAGTCTTAGCACTGGGTTAATTCAGATGTAATAACCCTTGATGAAAGTATAGAACTTAAACACGTTCATCCCAGACAGCAAGGACTAGCTTGTTTGGAGGCCTTTGTGCTTTTTCGCTAAAGATATCTAGGTGCAGGGTGGACACAGGGTCAAGAGCACAGCCCTTGCCCTGCTCCCCAGCCTTTCCTACCTGCCATTTATGTTCTGGTGCAGGTTTCCTCACTGGGGTTGCCAGGCAAGCCCAGTCTCCTGACTGCACTGAATTGAAGCTGCTGGCACTCCAGCGGGCAGTCAGGTCATCTTGAGGGAAGGCTCCTGGTTTGCTTGCCTGTAGCCACAATGTCCCATGTAGGAAGAGGGCTTTCCAAAGTTCTTCCTTCCAGTTGGATAAGACTCTGCCATTCACGGGCTGTGTGACCTTGGGCAGGTGACTTCGCCACCCTGGGTTTTGATTTCCCCATCTCTAAAGTGAGGGGCTTGGGCTAACAGCCCCAAGATTGTGTCTGGCATAAATATTTCTTGACCCCTGGCCCATCAACCTGCTAGGGGTTAGACTGAGTGAAGGCAGAACCTGCAAGTGTGCTGCAAAATACTACAGACTATAATTTGCCCTCAATAAATCATAATTAAACTGAGCTACTGTCTTAAGTCATCTTTCCTACCTTCTAGGGAAGTGACATAGTAATTTGTATATTGGGAAGGGCTGCTCCTTTAATTTACAAAACAAAGTTAAAACAAATACTTCGAAATGTATCCGTTTTTGGTAAATGGTTTCTTCCATCAGTGTCACAGGCACCAGTGAAGACCAATGGTGTAAACAAGTTTGCAGGCTTAATGAGAACAACTTTTGAGTTTCTAAAACACCTCATTAATGGAAAACCATCCATTTTTTCTGATATACTTTGGTATCCCTCAAATGACATTTTTTTTCCTTGTTTGCAGAAATCTTTTCTGGGACAGCCAGTGGTAGGTTCAGTTCCAACCTCTTTTGACTTTTGTTAGAGCTGTTTGAATAATCTTTTGAGAGATTTTGTTGTTGGTTGAATACTTTTTAAAAAACTAATGGAAAAATATACTTCTTATGATGAATGAAATACATGTTTAAAGTCTTCCCATCAGCATTTTTAATTTAAATACTTTGCTTTTGGGGATGCTCCTGAGAGAAATTTTTTTTTTTTTTTTTTTTTTTTTTTTTTTTTTTTTTTTTGAGATGGAGTCTTGCTCTGTTGCCCAGGCTGGAGTGCAGTGGTGTGATCTCAGCTCAATCTCGGCTCACTGCAAGCTCTGCCTCCCGGGTTCACGCCATTCTCCTGCCTCAGCCTCCCGAGTAGCTGGGACTATTGGTGCCCACCACCACACCCAGCTAATTTTTTGTGTTTTTAGTAGAGACGGGGTTTCACTGTGTTAGCCAGGATGGTCTTGATCTCCTGACCTCGTGATCTGCCTGCCTTGGCCTCCCAAAGTGCTGAGATTGCAGGCATGAGGAGCTGCACCCGGCTGAGAATTGCTGCTCTTAAAACTTCTATAGACACCCAGAAGTAGGTCACTTTGGATTCCTTCTAATTTTTCCATTTTGGTGGGAGTGGTAGCCTCAACTTCCTCTGTGCTGAAAAAGGCATGAAAATTCCAGGCAGAATGTTTCTCCTGAAGGGAAGCACTGAGTTGTTGCCTCTCCCAGAAGTTACCTGTTTTAGGGTAAATAGGTGATTGATTCAAGGCCTGTATTGAGCCCTGAGTGTCCCCAACACTCTGAGGGATTTGAAGAAGTGTGGGCATGAATCCTGCTGCCATAACTTGTTTTTACCTGGGATTTAGACTCAACCACCTGTGCATGTGAAGTGATCTGGGGGAGGGGTGGTCTTCATCTTTTGAAGGGCCTGGAAGATGTGGATGAACTGTGTATACCTATTAGGTGCTATGTTAGGTGTGGCAAAGGGCCTTTCACATTCATAATCCATACACTTCTTCCTGTAGACTCTTACTGGTATCTGAGTTAATGTTTCACTCAGTTGGAATATCAGCATTTTCCTTCATCCCAAGCAGTGCTTTATATAAACCCTGAAGAATAAATGTCTTTCCCTAAGGTCTTTTGGGGGTTATTTCCAGGTTAATTTGCTACTGTTCTGTGTATATGTAGCTCATGGAGAGCATCTTCCAGAACCTCAGTTATATTTTCCACTGAAGTCCTGTTTTTGGATGGGAGAGTGAAGGGGGACTGTCAAAAAGGACTGATGTTGGGAAAGTTCTCTGCCAGAACCCTGCCTATCCTCTTTTAAGTGAAGGGCAAGCTCAAACCAAAAAAAGGAGGCAGACCAACCCCTCCTGGTTGGGAGGCAATTGAAGACTTTTTTTCAGAGGGATCATCCATACAAGGCAGTCTTGAGTTGGCAGCAAGATGAGGTAGGTCTTTATGCGTCCAAAGCACGCCTGTCTAGTCTTCTATACCATGGGAAGAAAAGAGAAAAAGTTACTGATGCTGTGTCAAGCCATCTGGTTGCTTTCTTAATCTATTCCTTTCTACTTAAAGGGATTGTTTGGGTTTCCTACAATCTGGTTAATATTTCTAAGGGGGGTGGGGCAGAAGTGGTTACCTTGATCCTCTGGTCTCTGTGTTCTGTGACTCACTGTGATGTTACATGCCCAGAAGACATTTTCACAACACCTGAGTGTTCAGTGCAGCTTGCCTCACCAGCTTCCTCACCATAAGACAAAGCCTTTGGATAAGAAGGTGATAACATTCTGTCCGGCTAGATGATGAGGCCCTCCAGAAAATGGATATTCCATGCATATGGTGTGCTTGGCCCTAAGCAAGACCCCTGTGAGAGCAACGAATAGGGCAGAATGTGCTTGCAGGTTGCCAGATGGATTAAGGCAGGTGCGTAGGAGACAGGACAAGCCTGTACACAAATTGTGTGTTGCACGCCATGTTCTGACCTTCTATTGCTGCCTTTCATGGTGCCCATCCGAACAACATCCTGTCTATATAGATAGCCTCTAAGATATTTTTTTCCTTAACAAATGCCTGCCTTCTATTCCTTCTACCTGTAGTCATTTGGGGGCTTTCTAAATCTCTGGCTATGTTATAGAACTTTTTATTCTTCCTTATTCCCAGCCTTCATATATCCAGATAAATATTGGTGTGATTAGTCACTGAGAAGCCTTAGACCCATACAGATCAACCGCTCTAATGCCCCATCCTGTGGCTGGTGTCAGCCGGTGCTGTTCAACAACTCCTAAATACAGAATGCTGCGGTTGCTGAGCCTGTGGGATCTCACATTGTTAGAAGGTGGTTCTGCTCTTAGTAACTGAGGGGGGCCTCCTGGGTCCTGCCTACTGACTCCACTTTCTGCCTTTGGAGTTAAAAGAAGCCTATTTTATTCTACACAGCTGCCCTTCATGTTTTTCAAACAGATAACATCCTTTCCAAGGCTTCTCCCAGCTAAATAAATGTCCAATCCCCTCTTTCTCTTGTAACAGACCCCTTACTACTCTCTCTGTCCTATGAGTACTCACTAGTTTGTCAATGACCTTCTTAGTGTGCAGTGCTCAGGGTTAGATACAGTTACTTTGATGGATTGGAATGAGGAAGATAAAGCTTAATAGAAACGTTAAATGCTTCATTTAGATTAAAAATATTTGACAATGTAATTACCACATTCCCCTTGGCTGGACAGAAGTCTGTGTGAAGAAGTGATGGCGTTTTGGTTCAGCTCACAGTGAACTCAGTTGGTAATTCATCAGGAGTTTCTGTGATTCATACTCTTTCCATTCTTAGGTGTTTTCCTATCGTATGTCTGCTGGCACTCATCTTCACTGTGATTTCTTATGACTGGAATGATGCTGTTGTGATTTCACATGGTATGCCTCGGTGCACTTGAATTTGCAAATCGAGGCAAACCTGAATGCTGTTGTCATTGTTAGACTGAGGTTACCCTTTAAGCTCTTGGTCCAGCTATGGCCATTATAATCTTAGGCTGTAATGGTCTTTTGAGGGTGGGGGTTGACTACTAGCCACCTGTGATGTGGACTGGGGAACTTTGGTGCCCACACTACAGAGCAAGGCAGACAAGTGAAACTGAAACAATTAATTCTGCAACTATTCCATGTTACTCTTTGAATTCAGAAGACATCCCCTATATACCTTGGTTTTAAAATGACAACACAAACCCCCCATATTCCCAATCAGATCCCCTTCAGCCCTTGTCAGAGACGTAGATGAGGAGATTCCTACTTTGGTTGGGAAGTGGATGCAGTAGTTGTTTGGTTGCTCATGAATATCTGGTTCCCTTTCTCCTGACCACTTGGTAGAATTGCACTTCCTTACAGTTTAACTTGGACATGACCATGGGATTCGGTTTGATTAAGGAAATATGAGCTGAAGCCACTTTCATAACATTTCTGATAACACATTTTGCCAAGCTCTTCCTTGCCTGCCATGGTAACCAGTACTGTTCTGGGAGGGTTGCTCCGTCAACCTGAATTCCAGAACCCCCAGCCAGCCCATGATGAACATGGAGCAGAAGCCAAAAGCAGACACCTTGTGTGTGCCAGTGAAATGTTGGATGGGGTTTGTGACCACAGCAGAACCCAGTTGATCCTGACAGATGCATTAGATTGGTGGGCTTCTAGGTTAGCTTCTAGAAAAGCAGCTGGAGAATTACTTGGTTGAATCAGAGTAAAGAAAGTCTCATTGGTCCTAGAAGCAATAGCAGAATTCCCAGAGAGAAACTATCCCCATTTTGAGGAAGAAATGGTATGTGGATGATTTTCTCTTTCTTGAATTAAGCTTCCAACCCATTGTCACTACTTTGGTCTTTACCCCCTTTAGAGAGAGGTGAGGCAGGGAATGGGACTGGGCAGGGCTTCAGCTCCAGGAGGCAGGCTGACCTTGTTTCTTGGTTCTCTGTTAAGGGTCAGGATAACTGACTTTATGCCTGGTATAGCCATTTGCTGCCTGGGTCTTAAATAATTTAACCTTGCCCACAAAGGGGTCTTGCCTTTGTTATGGGCTCAAAATATGATTTAGGGTAGGGGCTGGCAACCCCAGAAATACCAATAGTGTGATTTTGGGTCAGGAGCTGGTCATGCATAGGGTAGGGTATGGCCATATCAGAAAGATTGATGCAGGGCAGGTAAGCTCCAAAGTGGAGCTTAGCCCATGAGGGTTCTTGGCTTCATCCAGGGAAGAATTCAAGGGGAGCTGGTGGTAGGGTAGGAGAAAACAGCTTTCTTGAATTGGTAGTGTTACAGCTCAGGCAGTGTTACAGCTTCATGACAACTCCTGCAGAACAGGTCTACCCCATAGGCAGTGTGCTGAAAGCAGCAGCTCAGGGCAATTTTGCAGTCATATTTATACCTATTTTTAATTACAGGTAAATTAAGGGGAGGTTTATGCAGAGATTTCTAGGAAAAGGATGGTAACTTTTCAGTCATCAGGTCCGTGCCATGGAAAGGGGCAGTGACTCCTGGGTGTTGCCATGGCAGTGATAAACAGACATGGCACATGGGTGGGCCTGTCTTATGGAAAGCTGTTTCCTTGTTGTCCTTTTTTAGCTAGTCCTCAGTATTGTCCAGTGTCTGAGTCCTGCCTCCTACCTCAAGAATCAACTATGCCATTTAGGTTGGGGGCTGGAGATTGAGGTCAGCCATGTGGCAGTAAACCACACCTGCATAATGAAGCCCCAGTGAAAACTCTGAACACTGCGGCTCAGTTGAGCTTCCCTGATTGGCAGTATTTTGAGTATTGTCACACATCTTTGCCAGGAAAGTAACACGTTTCATGCTTTTCCTGGTCTCTGTCCTATGCATCTCTTCCTTTGGCTGGTCTTCATCTGTATCCTTTAGCTAAACTAAACACTGTACCATAAGTACAACAGCTTTTAATCAGTCTTTCTAGTGAATTGTTGAACCTGAGATGTCTACTTGTGCAGTTGGTGTTAGAAGTGAGGCCAGGTGTGTGGACTGTGGTTATAACTAGACAGTCGGCCCTAATGGTTTGCACCCCCTTCTACTTCAAGGCTCTTCTGGAATTCATTAGATCTTCGTCCTAGTGCTCTGCTGAATGGAAAGAATTGGTTTTCATTCCTTTGGAGGCTGTTTGCCTCTTTGGTTGTAAATGTCAGAAAGGAAAGATTGAGAATGTTTTTCTATGGGCTTGGAGGATTTTCTTCCTATAGCGGGTGTGGAATAAATACACAACTCATTCTTCCAACTTCAGGACCATTAGCCCAGGTGAGAAACAGTTTATCTCCATATTGCCCAATAGCCCCAGGAACCTGAGACTTCTCTTGTGTCAATCAAAAATTAATTTCTGTGCACTGAGGCATTGCTTTAGTTTCCTCCCTGTTCACTCACTCAGCACCATGTTTGGGAAGAGTTGCTGCCTTTTAGTTTCAAAAAAGATAATGTGTTGCTTTCCTTGAGCATTTTGCAAATAGCCGTCATTCATTTTCCCAAAATGGTAATTAATAAAGATAGCCTAGAGCAAGAAGCATAAAGTTATTTTAGATGTGGTATCTAGAACCAAACAGGATTTCTGGATCTTTTCCAGTTACAGTGAGCTTTACAGAATGACCTAACTGTTCCACATAGCAGATAAAAGAAGCAAAATTATACATCTACTCTGTATTGGCTGCCACTTTGTTAGTACTTCAGCTGATTTGTTTTTTAAAGTTTTTTTCCCCCTAGGTTGTTTGTAATTTTAAGAAGTACAACTTTCTGAATTATACTTTTCTGATGAGAAGTTAATTAATTCACCGTCAGCTATGGTGTTTGATAAATTTATTAAATGTATATTTATGTGTAGACTACACTGATGGTAGATTTGTTTCTGGAGATATTAGGTTGGTGCAAAAGTATTTGTAGTTTTTGCTATTGGAGCTGTGAAGAGAATGGGACAATTTGCTGGTTGGGGGTGGTTCTGCCTGCCGGACCTGCTGCTTTGCTTTGGAGCTGGTGGGCTGCATCTTCTCGGGACATGTGGATAGAAGGGAAAAGCATGGATTCTCGCTAAGCCCAGGGCCCTTGTTACTGATTGTGTTTATAGAGTGGCTTGCCAGGCAGTGTGCTTTAGGGAAAGGCTGGGTCCTCTGCTGGGCAAAGGGCTCCCCAGAACCACTGTCCTCCAGGAGCTTCCTTCACTCACTTGTGTCTCTTCCATGACCAGCCTGTGACTTGGTTGTCTCTAAGTCGTGCCAATGAAGAAAGCTGACTTTAAAAGTGTCCATAACTCAAAAGCCAAGACTCTTGTAAGGAGTTACTTAGAATTTCTTAGTTGTTGGAACAGAAGTAAAGTTGGGAAGCACCCTGTTCGTTCATGTGCCATGTTTGAGGAACCTCTGGGACAGAGTGTGATCTGCTAGGGTCCAGACCAAGAGATTTTTTTCTGACTCCAAATGAGTGTCCACTTTGTAGCATGACTGAGTCACCTTAATGCTCAGCTGCAAAGTTGGGAGAGGGTCCTGGCCGCACCCCTGCAGGGCCCCCCACATCTCACATCTTGGAACCAATGGTCTTCTGAAGAAAAATGAGATGATGGGAACACAGATTTTGAGAACAGGCATTTCGAAGGCCTGTGGACCTAAATATTTCCTGGCCCTGGTCTGCCTAAATACTCTGGCATCCTCACATTAGATGAACATTGTTGCATTATAAATAAGTTATCTGGGGAAGGTAACTGGCATGGGTTAACTTGGATTGTTTATTAGTTGAGAACAGGGTCCTGGGAAAATGGGAAGAGAGGCAGATGTTGAGGGTGAGAGAGTTGCAGATCCAGGCCTGGGTGGGCCATGGGGATGGTGGCACCAGGCCCCAACACCCTGGGCTCTGCCCTGCAGAATCGCCAGCCCAGGCTGAGGCAGGATGGCTGGGCTCTGGTACTTAAGCAAATACATGGAAATTTCCCCTTGGAACCACCAGGAAATGGGGTACTATTTCTTCATCTGTGGATAACAAGGGTTTAACTAATTAGGCACCAAAGTGAGTATTTTGGAAGGACTTATCAAACCTCTTAGAGGTTATTGAGCATAATTTCACTTCTTTTTTTTTTTTTTTCCGACTCAAGAGTCATCACCACAAAAGGTCAACATTTCACTGTGGTTTAGCATGAGATTCCTGCAAGCTCCACCAAGGTGGACAGGGCTTCTATCCTCCTCCTAAATGGAATCAGAGCAATTTAACACTGTTCTGGTGCCTTTCTTTTCTTTTGTCCTCTCCTGAGCTGCCACTTCTTCTGCAGTCTCTGTTCTTGCTTAAAGCAGCATTCCATTTACTGCTCCTGCCACCCCCCCCAAATTGGGCACACTCCAGATTCCCTTTCTCCTGTAACTTCTTCCCAAAATAATTCGTTTCCTGTGTGGGGAAAGAGGGCAGGAAGGAATGCTGAATACTGAAATCTTTGTGGAGATTGAAGTGATTCAGCTTGATAGAGAAAACATTCCATTTAACACTTTCAAGCACACTTCTAACTACATTTAGAAATACCCATTTTTTCTTTTAATTTTAGGTTCGGGGTATATGTGAAGGTTGTGCTTGTGGGTATATTTTAGGTTCAGGGGTATTTGTGGAGTATATGTTCACGGGTATATATTTTAGGTTCAGGGGTAAATGTGAAGGTAAACTTGTGTCACAGGGGTTTATTGTACAAATTATTTCATCAGTGAGGTATGAAGCCCAGTACCCAGTAGTTATCTTTTCTGATCCTCTCCCTTCTCCCATCGTCCACCCTCAATTAGGCACCAATGTCTGTTACTTCCTTCTTTGTGTTCATAATTCTTATCATTTAGTTCCCATTTATAAGTGAGAACATATGGTATTTGATTTTCTGTTCCTGCATTTTTTTTGCCAGGGATAATGGCGTCCAGCTTCATCCATGTTCCTGCAAAAGACGTGATCTCAATTTTCATAGCTGCATAGTATTCCATGGTGTATGTGTACCACGTATTCTTTATCCAATCTGTCATTGATGTGAATTTAGGCTGATTCAATGTCTTTGCTATTGTGAATAGTACAGCAGTCAACATTGGTGTACATGTGTCTTTATGGTAGAATGATTTACATTCCTCTGGGTATATATCTAGTAGTGGGATTGCTGAGTTGAATGGTGGTTCTGTTTATAGCTCTTTGAGGAACTAAGAGAAACTTAGCTGTTTTGAGGCAATTTATTAATGGGCTAATTGACAGAGCTGCAATAGTCATTGAAGATAATCTATACAGCTTCCTCGTTTCCAGCTGAGAAAACTGAGCCTAGAGGTTGGCAGGACAGGACCTTGTCTAGGTTCCTTCACCATTTGCATAAATTTTTAGTTGATGGCATTCTTTTATTTGAGGGCTGCTTTGAAGGTGGGTTCCATGTCTTAGTCATCTTTGGGTTTCTTGGGGCCTTACACAGTGCTGGCATAAAGCAGGCCCTGAAATAACGTTTGTTCAAAATGTAAGTGGAGTATAGATTTTCCCTTTTGGTAGATAGGCTAAGAATCCTTCAGGGGAACCTGGAGTGCCTCGTTGGTATGCAGGTCTGCAGAGCCTTTTGATTGTATGTGAAATAAACTGCCCTCGTGGCCACTGTTCTTTTTGCAATGCTTGAAACTTGTGTTCACTTGAATTAGCTCATTTCAAAATATTGGAGTCCTTACTATCATCTTCTAAGAATCCATGAGGGACATAAAAGTAAGCACTAGCCTCCCTCCCAGACCCTACCTTGTAAAGTGTTTAATCTACTCGGGCAGATAAACTGTTACCACTAGTGACTATAATACACAAGTGCCTATAACAGGGCCTATAGATATTCTGGCAATTGAAGATGGAGTTTAGGAGTTGGGTAGTTAGGGAATGCTTTGTGGGGCTAATGGTAATTTATTGAATGCCTTTGTGATAAGGGGTCTGACACCATCGTTTTCTTTCATCTTTGCTATAATTCTCCAAGTGTAGGAGGTTGTCTTCTTAGTAACATTTGAGAGAAGTTAAATGAGGATACTGCTTTACTAAAGAGCCACTAAGTGGCAGGGTTAAGATTTGAACCCAGATGCCTTAGACCCTAAGATCCGTACTCCTTCCATGCAGTTACCAACTTTGGTTGCACAAGAACTGTGCATGTTTGTACACACACATATACACACATAACCCTACCTCCAAAAAGTGGCCTTTTGGAGATCAGTTTTGAACTAAGCCTTGGAGTCTGATTTAGATTTGAAGAGGTTAAAAAGAATGAGCAAGAGCCATCTACCTAGGGAAGATGTCAGCACACTTGTCAGCTAATGTTTACTTGTATCATCACCTGGTAATATTACCATCCCGACTTCCTTTCTTAGCAATTTGCATGGATGCAAAAAAAAAAAAAAAAGTAAAAAAAAAACAAAAAACAAATATCCAGTTGATGTCCTTTCAGAGACTAAAGGCAGGTAGATAGTATTATGGGTGTATCTTAGACCCTAACGTGGCCACTCCAGTTGAAAGCGTTCCTCTAGTTAAATGGCAAGACCACAGGAAGGCTTCTCTAAGTACATACTGTGGGACCTTGGGAATATCACCTGAGTTATCAGTTTCATCCTCCTGTGAAGCTCCTGAATTAGCCGGCCATGTGAGGCCACAGAGCTCCAAAGCTGTATGCGTGACAGACGTGTGATACCGTGGAAGAATGCTGTGGGGCAGGCTTAGAGGACCTGCTGCATTCAGGCTGTGTGACCATGGGCAAACTACTTCACCTCTTGATTCCTCACCTGTCAAATAGGATGATAACGAACACTCTCTGTCTCACGAGTTTTTGTATGGATGAAAAGAGAGGACATGAAAAGCGCATTGTAAATTGACATACTGTAAAACTGTTAGACCACTTGCAGGCACACCTATCAAGGGCCTGTTGTGTGTCCTTGGCACTTAGCACTGTGCAGTGTTTCCTCCCAAGTTCATGGACAGGGTCTCCAGGTCACCTCCTAGCAGTTTCTAACAGTCTAACAGGATGTAGCTGTTTAAAAACCTGCTTTTACAATAGTAAGACAGCGTGCATGGAATCTCAATTGTCTTTAACCAATCCCACTTCATTTAAGTAATACACCAAAAATGATGAAATTAGCCATTTAAATACATATTATCTTCTCTCTGGGAATGATTTATCTAGATTGAATACTTAGCCCTTTCAACCAGAGAGGTGTCTTTGGGACATCCTTGGAATCCTTGTCTCTTTACCTAGAGGGTTTCAGTCTGTCCAGAGAAAGGTGTGTGCGTGTACATACAGATGGGAGTGATGTCAACTGTAAAGTGGATTTTTGAATCTGGCAAAGACGAATATGATCATCTCTTGACATGTTGGATTATCCATTCTCCTTTCATCATTACATAATTGATATCTTTTCACTTTCCCTAAACTTTGTAGGTTGAAAGGTTGAGTCTTCTGGACTCGCCTGTCTGCTAGACTGTCTTGAAAAACCTCAAAGCAAGCAGGCTTTCTTGAAGGGAGGAGAGAAGTGAAATTGGAAGGAAATGTGGCTATTTTTCTCTTCCAAAGTAGTACAGGGAGTAAGAAGTGGGAGATGGTCTCAGGAATATGAGGCAGGATACAAACACTTGAGGGCAGAATTTTGTTGGCAGTTGGGTCAGGAGAAATAGACTCTTGTTGCCTTGTGTATTTCCCGGTTGATATGTGTATTTAAAGAGGAAGAGTGGAGGGCATTATCTTAGAGGAACACACTTATTACAATCAGGCAGAGCAATCCAAATCAGCCTGTATAACAAACAGTTGAGGAACTTAATTTCAAAGCTCTGAATCTAGTTATAAATGATTGTTTTATCTCTTGCAAAGACAGATCTGAGTAAGTGTCTGTAGGCATTGATTAAGTGACTTCAAGCATCAAGGGAGATAATTAAGGTGGTTGAGGAATAGTCTGTTCTTTCAAAGAGTTAGCAGTTGACTTGGAAGACAAAAATTCCATGAAGAGAATATATGAAGTGCCTCGTGAGCAATCCCCAGGGCACCGTTTCCCTCAGCAGGTGGATGGAGTGTCTCTCTTTGACTTCTGGAGCCTCGGTGCAGCCCAGGCAGAAGAGAAGGGTTCTTACATGCAAGAAATCACTGAGAGCTCTGGAATACTAACCCTTGAGGCTGCTATTATTTATTTATTTATTTATTTATTTATTTATTTATTTATTTATTTATTGAGATGGAGTCTCACTCTATCGCCCAGGCTGGAGTGCAATGGCGCGATCTCGGCTCACTGCAACCTCCGCCTCCTGGGTTCAAGTGATTCTCCTGCCTCAGCCTCCCGAGTAGCTGGGATTACAGGTACCTGCCACCACACCTGGCTAAGTTTTTGCACTTTTAGTAGAGATGGGGTTTCACCGTGTTGGCTAGGATGGTCTCGATCTCATGACCTTGTGATCCACCCACCTTGGTCTCCCATAGTGCTGGGATTACAGGCGTGAGCCACCGAGCCCTGCCACGCGGCTATTTTTATCCCTTAATCACTATTTTTACTTGTTTTTATGTGCCTCTGTCTATCCCTTTGAAGTTTGAACAACAAATTTATTTGATAATGTATCTGTGTAGTTAAATTCAAAGAGCTGAAAAGCAATATGGTGATGTTTTCCTTCTGCCTTTGTCCCCAGTCAGGCAGTTCCTTTTTCCGGGAGCAACCAGTGTAACAGGTTTCTTGTGGATCTTTTTAGAGATACTCTATATCTATATATCTTGTATCTGTCTCACTCCCATCTTTAAAAAACCTTTATTTTCATTGCCCCATCTTTTCTTATACATAAGGCAGCATGCTAAACACACTGTTCTGCACTTGTGTCTTTCTCTTAAAGATATCTCAAAGATTGCTCCCTTTTGTGTTTAAATAACTCCCCCCACCTCCCTCCTTTTTTTTGTGGCCATATGGTTCTCAAACTTTGCATCTAGAATCACCTGGAGAGCTGATGAAGAATGCGGAGTCCCAGGCTCCTGGAGGTGGGAGGGGCCTGGGCCTTTGTGTTTTGACCAAGTGCCCCAGGTGATTCTGTTAAAGATCAGAGTCTGACAGCCACTGCTGTATAAGCCCCACCTTGCAAAGTGAGGAATAAGCTGGAGTGTAATATACCAGGACAGTCATGGGGTTGCAGTGGGGGGACAGACAGACAGACGGACGGACGGAGGGATGGAGGGATTTCTGGGCTCATCACATGACTTCTCTTGGTTCTTGAGTCAACTTCCTTCACTGGGCAGCTTCAGCAGTTGTGTCTGCACCTACCTTTTCCTTCTGGGTCATGTTTCTGACGTCTGCACCATATGAGCTTTCACTCTTTCTATTGAAGGTTCTTTTAATACTTTGGAATAGCATTAAGGCCCAAACATTAGCCTCGTTTAAGGCAGCAAGCACTCTCATGAACTCCTCTCTGATCTTGGGATGTAGTATCTTCTTTGTGGTTATTTTGTTTGTGCTTATTTTTACCTTTTCCAATTTGAGGAGAGCACTAGAGAAGACAGAGAACAAAAATAGTGTTTCTGTATGGCTTGAATCTCTTTTTGCCTGGGATATGTAGTCTGTGTTGAAGTACTTTGAAGGGGGCCATGGATAAGGAACTTGAGACTCACTCCTCCTCATTGATATTTTTGCTTTTCCAGGAAGGAAACAGTCATATTCTGGATTAATTCTGCCCTCAGCAGCATAGACTGGTCTTGGAGAATCATCTTCCAGGCTTATTTAAAACAAAAAGCAAAAAACTATGAACTTGGGTCTCTCTAAATTAGTAGAAAAAAATTTCCCCCTCCCACTGATTTAAATTAAGAAGGCTTTTAAATACATCCCAGTGGTTGAAGCTATGGATGTATATGTAACCAGGGAGCTGTGAGAAGGAGGTGGAGGAAAGCAGTGTGAAATGATTTAAGGGATTAAAAGGTATTTCCTTATAGAACTTACCTGCCTTTCACGCTTCAGCCAAGGTACTTGGAAGTTTTTGTCTCATGCTCCCACTTAACTATGTTTAAACATTGGAGGTTCAACCCATGCGAATTTTCTCTATCCACTTGCTTAGTGGCAACCACCATAATCTATTCCTGGGCTAATTCTGAGCAGGCAACCCTATTCCCAGGAAGAGAGATGGCAGAGAAGAGGGGAGCATGGTGGAGATAAGCATTTTACTGAGCACAAGTGAAATAAGTATTAATGTTCATTTTCTTCCCCAGCCTATGGCAGACTGCTGTTGACTGGACTTGTCGGCCTAGAAAGAGTTAATGTTATATATCAGCATTATTAATTTACACAGAACCATTGTGATGTCATATCACAGTACCTGGAATATATATTAATCTCATATTCAATCTTTACAACGACAGAAGGACACAAGTCTCTACTACCTCAACTTTACATAATTAAACTGAAACCCAGAGAGGTTTAGTAACTTGGATAAGGTCACACAGCTAAGAAGTAGCTGCACCAAGATTTGAGCACTTGACGTGTAACCATTATGCTCTGCTCCTCCAACCATGCCCAAATGTTCTTAAATTTCCAGAGGATCCTAAAAGGACTGCCGTGGCCACTGTTTCAAAGCGGAGAGCAAGTGAGGGTTTGGGGGATAATGCTTGTGTTTTGTTCTTGATTTTATTCTTAAAGTGGGGAGGAAGTATTGGCACACTTGGGAAGAGGGAAGAAAACAGGAAATGTGGTATATTTTGCTAAGCCCACTGTGGAAGCAGGAGCCCCTTTCAATAAAGAATTCTGCAAATTATTGTTTGGGAAAAAATAGTGCCAATGGGGGAAAACTGCAGGTACAGAAATGATAAATGTTCTCTCTTCACAAAAAGTTCAGGTCCAGATCTGATTGTGGATGGTGATTGGTTTGGTATTCAGCCTGCTGAATAATTAGAGTGATTCATAGTTCATGCAGAGTGTGTGTTTGGGAGTCCAGCATTGCTACAAATAATAGAGGGGAGGTGGTTTCCCCTGCTGTTTTGAAACTTGTGAAATGTCACATTATCACCTCCTGTCATGGTGACAAATGAGCTTTTTCACTGATCTCAGTACTGTATCCAGCTAAATGCTTTCAAACTGCCTGTTGCCCCCATAGGTTTTTGAGCTACAAATGCTTTTAATGCACCATTCAGCCTACCTTGCTATCAAAGAATAATAATACTTATGATGATAATTTAGCTCCAGGGAGTACAAAGCACTGGGCCAAGTGCCATGCCAATATTGAAATGCTTGTGGCCAATGTCAGAAAGGTGGCTTGATTGAAAGTGTCTGTAGGAAGTGGCAGGAGTGAGGGAGTGGGCTCAGTACCTATTATTTTTCCTTGGACTCTAACTTTGGATGTGATTTGATGAGGCCATTTTTGATAGGGATTTGGCTGCCTGTTTCATAGTCCTATTGGTGTGCTCAAAGACTCATGGTACAAATGTGCTTGGATGGAGTGGGATGTTTCTTCCTGGTAGCCAAAGTCTGGCAACAAAAGGCCAGTGAGTTGGTGGGTTAGAGCCTGCAGTGTGAGTTTTATCAAATAGTTTTCAAATTAGGACTCCCTTTCAGGACTAAGTTTCTATGCATTCTATTCTATGATTCCATGCAATTAATGACTAATATTAGCTAGTATAGGGCTTTAATGCTTTTAAAGTGCCGTGCTAGATGTCATCTCATTTGATTCTCACAGAAAGCCCTGTGACCTAAGCAGAACTTGATTCCTGTTCATCAGTTGTAAGAATTGAAGATTGGAGGAAGAGGCTTGCTGCACATTCCATAGCTGGAACATGATAGGCATGGGGCTAGAGGTTTTTCTGCCATGTAACTACTCAGCTTGGGATAAATGACTCCTGAAGTCCCCTGGAAGGAGAGGAGCTTGGTTAGGGTGATAAAGCCAAAAGGGAAACTACCTTTTCCTGAGAGATGAGCTTATTCGGGATTCCTTACCCATTTCCTGTTAGCAGTGCACATCACAGTCGTTTTGTAAAACGAGTCTTTTGCAAATTTGAGCAGATGAAAAATGGCCAGGGAAGAGTTTGTGGCATCCTGTGTAGACGATATTGTTGGTTCATCTGAACCGTTCTAACTGGCTTGTATTTCACCGGTGTTCTTAGAATTCAGGCCTGGTGTTCATGATTAAACAATAAATCCACGGAGGGTGCTTTTAATTTCCTGATTTCTGCATCAGTACCCACCAGTTCAGGTAGGGTGGATATTGCTCGTTCTCATTCTTCTTGTCTCCTTTTGAAGGAGCCTTTGCCAATGCCCAGGAAGACCTTCCTAGAGCCACAGAAATGAACCGCATGTGTGTACATCTCAGGGTAACCTCCAGAAGCTACCAAGGTTGTACAGGTTTCCTTCTGGAGGCCCTAAGGAAGTGCTCAGGCATAAGCCATCTGATTGCCATTCGTCAAATTCTACAGGGCAACTGGGAGTTTTTCCTTATCCAAGAAAACTTAATTATAAGTCCTGATGCCTTCTGCTGGCTAATCGATAATGAGCAAAGCTTTTTATTTCAAGGAAGTTCTTGAAAAAATCACAAGAGGCTTAAAAAAATATGGCTGATGTATTTTTAATTGTACCCCCAGTATTAACCAACATTTCTTAATTGGATCACTAGGTAGCTGACAGCTGATTCCAGCCCAGTCTCCTGGTGGCCTGCCTGGCACTCAGCCTTGCTGTGGTTGCATCAATGTTTCTGTTTTTGAGGAGCTAATTCAGTGCAGGCTGTGCTGAACATGCTGAGTGCTCAGGTAGGGTAGAGAGCTCTGAGCTGCACTGCTCCTGGGAAGGGTTTGAAGGAAGACTGCAGGAGGTGGGGCGGTGGTCATTGGGAAAAAAAGTTGGTTTAGTTTTCATTTTTCTGTCTAAAGAAGCACTTCATGTTCATTTTAGAAAATTGAGAAAAATCAGGAGACAAAACAAAGCCCCTCTTCTGACTTTTCTTGTTGGCGGAGGCTCCTGTACTAGTCCCATGATTTGGTTTAGAGATGCAAGGTATAGAGGATTTTTGAACTTTGGCACTCTTGAAAAGGGCTCAGGTTTTGGGATCTAGATTCTTGCCTGGACTCAGATTCCAGCTCTGCTACTCCCTAGGGACCTCGGGCAAGTTATTCCACTTCTTCACATTTAGTTTCCTCATCTGCAAAATGGAGATGATGTTTCATAGGGCTGTGGGAATTAAAGAAGTTACTACAGAAAGGCTCTAGGAAATGGGCTGGCGTATGGTGAGGTGTCTGTAAGTACAGCTGTTATGATCACATCTCTGGTATTAGCTCGTGGATCATTTGCCTGCATTCCTTAAATCAGAATGCTGGACAAGAGCTCCAGTGATTTGAGTTTTCTGCCTTATCGGAGTTCATTTCCTGTTTCCTTTCATGGAATATATATGGTGTTTTAGTTACATTGGTGGCATGACAATTAATATAGGGCAGAAGCTTGTCTGTTGAAGTTCCCTTGAGGAGAAAGGGATGCCCTGGGTTTGTGGTAAGTGTGCTGTGTGGACAGCATTTGCTGGAGTCTATGGGATTGTAAATGTGAGATAAGCTCTAGCTCCAGCTCCAGGAATTGCTGTACTGGGAAGTCCCTGCCCTCTCCACAGTCCTGCTTGGGCCCAGCCCTCCATCCCTCTCCGTCCATCAGGCCATGCTCCCACCACCGTGGGGCCTGGCCTGGGCTCCTTTCACATCACTGAGCATTCCCTGCCACCTCATTCTCCTGAGCCGGCTCTGACAGCCCTGCATTAAGCAGTGACTTACCGTGAGATTTGGCAGGTGGTTCTTCTGTGATTTTAATTAGGCCCTGGGTGTGTTTTGTGAAGGTGATCCTCTGCGGGTTTGTCAATAAAAAGCCTGCTTTTCCAGCCGGCAGCCGCTGATTGGGTATTCTGAGGCTTCACACCAAAGCAGTTTCTGGTGGAAGGTGGTTTCCCCCTTCTCACTGGGCCACTTCCTCCTCCAATGTTCTTTCACATTTTATCCTCACATTCCTTCTGGTACGCATGTCACAGGGAGGGAAACTGAGACCCGGAGGGCTTGAGTGACAGACTGGGGATGTGTAAAGGATCTCGGATTCTTAGGTGCTGGCACGTGGCCTTCTCCCTGGGCTCTTTGGCCTTTGTACCTGGGCAGGGTGCAGAACTGCTCTCCGAGCTGTTGATAAATCCAAGGGAGTGTGAGAGTCCTCTGTTCTCAAGGCACGAGAGACTTCCTGTCACTGAGCTAGGCGCTGCTATCGCACCCCACATGTCTTCTCCTACCTGGACAGGTATATGCTGCTGGCCTCCTGGGCTCCAGGCTTTTCTACGCTTATCCATGTGGGATCACTTCTCCTAAACTCTGCTTTTGTGTGATTCTCAAGATCACAGGCACCCCATCTACCTGTGTGGAGGGTCATGTTCAGAATCCATCAGCTGTTCTCAGATCAGCTGTTGCACCTCACAGTCCTCATTCCTGTTTGTTCTCTCTCCCCCTTCAAAGCCATTTTCTCATGGCCTTCCTATTCTCTCATTTTTTCACATCTTCGCTTTTCATTCAATTTCTTAGACTTCTGGAAGCTTTCCTCCCCTTTTACTCTCTGCCAAACCAATAGTAGTGTATTAGGATTCTCTAGAGAAAGATAACTATAGGAAATACACATATTTATATATTATGGAATTACTCACACAATTACAGAGGCCAACAGGTCCTAAGATCTGCATTCAGCAAGCTGGAAACCCAGGAGAGCTGATGGTGTAGTTCCAGGCTGAGTCCAAAGGCCTGAGAACCAGCAGAGTCAGTGGTGTAAGTTCCAAAAGCCAGCAGGCTTGAGACCTGGAAAGAGCTCATGTCTCAGTTTGAGTCTGAAGGTGGGAAAAATAGCAGTGTCCCAGCTCAAACAGGCAGGGTTCCCTTTTACCCAGACTTTTTGTTCTAATTGGGTTTTCAACTGATTGCATGAGGCCCACCCGCAGTGGGGAGGGCAACCTGCTTTACTCAGTCGACTGACTCAGATGTTAACCTCATCTAGAAACAGCTTCATGGACACACCCAGAATAGTGCTTGGCCAAATGTGTGGGCACCCAGTGGCCACATAAGTTGACACATAAAATTGATCATCCCAGTAAGCAATCTTTAAAGCCCCACCTAAATCCCACCTCTTCCGTGAGGTTTTCCCTGATTACATCAACTTACACTTGACTGGCTTAGCTGGATTCCTCTACCTTTTATGCGCTCCACCAGGGCTCAGCAATTAGTGGTACCTGCCCCTCCATTGTTCTCTTTCAGCTGAGGACTCCTTACCTCCTCTACCAGGTGTGAAGGGTGGCAGATACCATGAGTTTGACCACTCTTGTCTTCCCTGTAATGTAGAGCACTGCATCTGTTGTAGGTGCTCAGTAAAAGCTTGTTCTCTTAGCCCAGTTTTCCAGTAGATAAAGTGAAGCGTTCAAAACTTGGCTGCTGGGATTACAGACCAAGATGATGGGCTTGGAGAACCTGGGTTCTTGGTTCCTACAGGCACTAGAAGAAAGGATGGCCAGTATCTGGTATATAATAGGTGCCCAAATATGGTTGAGATGCTAGAAATTTTCATCAAATGCTTTTGAATTATCGTAAGTGCCACAGTGTGGTGGGAAGAGTAGGGGGCTCTAACTAGCAATGTAA
Organism: Homo sapiens; assembly: GCF_000001405.40. Lineage (NCBI taxonomy): Eukaryota > Metazoa > Chordata > Mammalia > Primates > Hominidae > Homo > Homo sapiens. The sequence continues at coordinate 50,127,139 of NC_000018.10, read as the reverse complement.
ACTCAAGCAACTTGCTCTTCCTTTGCCTCAATTGCCTATGTTAACTGGGGGCAGTTTGATCTTGCCCCACCTGCCTCTTGGGTCTTATGAGGTTGGAATAAGGTAATAATGATTATGAGAATAACAGCTAACTCTCTATGTGGCAAGGATTGTTCTAAAAAATACTTTTTAAAAACTTGCTTTTTTCTGTGACACTAACCAATGAATTGTAAAAACTTCCTGTATGTCAGCTCATTTAATAACCCTATTTTACAATGAGATGCTGAGATTCAGAGATCTAGTAACTTGCCCAAGGTTACAGAGCCAGAGAGCAGCAGGGCTGGGATTCAAGCCCAGGAAGTCTGGCTTCACCATGCATGCTCTTCACTGCCATAGTGTGCTAGAAGATGGTGTGAAAATGCATTGGAGGCTTGGAGAGCTGTGCTGCTGTTCTGAGACCCATTTGATCAGGTCCTGGAGATGATTCACGCATGACTGCTGTTCACTAGGGAGTTTGCTAGAGCTTGGACCACGTATGAATTGAGAGCAGGAATGTGTGCAAGCTCTTGACTTGTCAAGGCCTTTGCTCACCAGAGTGACATGTGGGGTTTGCTGTAGACATTTCAGATAACTCGGGATTCTGTAGCTTCCTGGCAACTTTGCCCTGACAGCCCCCACTTTGTGGTCCCCTGTGATTTGCCCTCTTAGCTCCATTCTTCACTTTGTGGTCTCTGCCTTAATTGAATTAAAAGATGGTTGATGTGTCTCCCCAGTGGAATGCAGGTTCTATCAGGGCAGGGCTAGAGGCTGTTTTGTTCACTACTGTGTCTCTAGTGTCCAGTGTGGTGTTTGGTCTGGCCAGGGGTGCCCACATCTGGAAAATAAGCATTATAGTAAAGGACCTGTTTCCCTGTTTCAGGGTTGTTTGTTTTTATTATGGTAAAATATAAGTAAAATTTACTGTTTTTTAACTTTTAAACATTTTTTAGTTGTGGTAAAATACACATAACAATTTACCATTTTAACCATATTTTCACCATTTTTCAGTATACAGTTCAGTGGCATTAAGTACGTTCACATTGTGTGCAATCACGACCACCATCCAAGAACTTTTTCATTATCCTAAACAGAATCTCTGCACCCATTAAACAGTAACCCCTTCCTCGCAGCCCCTGGCACCCACCAGTCTACTTTCTGTCTCTATGGATTTGCCTCTTCTAGGTCCCTCATGTAAGTGGAGTCATACAGTCTTGTCCTTTTCTGGCTTATTTCTCTTAGCATAGCATCCTGAAGGTTCATCCATGTGATAGTATGTGTTAGAATTTCCTTCCCTTTTAAGGCTAATAATAATGAATTGTATGGATAGTCTGCTTGTTGATCCACTGATCTGTGAATATTTGGGTTGTGTCTACCTTTTGTCTATTGTGATGAATGTGTCTGTGAACTTGGTATACAGCTATCTGTTTGAATTCCTGCTGTTGATTCTCTCAGTTACATTCCTAGAAGTAGAATTGCTGAATCATCATAGGGTCATTTTGAAGATTGAATAACCTAGTATTTGAACTGTTCCTGACACATAGCAAGCACTATATATGAGTGTTTGCTAAATAAGACTTTTCTTTCTTTTTATTATTATTACTATTATACTTTAAGTTGTAGGTTACATGTACACAACGTGCAGGTTTGTTACATATGTATAAATGTGCCATGTTGGTGTGCTGCACCCATTAACTCGTCATTTACATTAGGTATATCTCCTAATGCTATCCCTTCCCCCTCCCCCCACCCCACAACAGGGTCCGGTGTGTGATGTTCCCCACCCTGTGTCCAAGTGTTCTCATTGTTCAATTCCCACCATGAGTGAGAACATGCGGTGTTTGGTTTTCTTTCCTTGCGACAGTTTGCTCGGAATGATGGTTTCCAGCTTCATCCATTGATGCATCTCTTAACATTCATTGTTCAGTTTGATATTTAGAAAGGTGTGCAGCATAGTGCCCTTGAGAAAGAGAAGCTGTAAAGGTAGGTTTGCGCTCTGTTCAATACCATTCAAATGGCTTGGAGACCCTGGGGCTTGTGCCAGGCCTTGCAGTCAGCAGGGGTACCATCTGTGGCAGGCTCCCCAAAAGTAGGGCTAGGAGTCAGGGTGGGCTTGGTTTCTGAAGACTTCTGCTCCAGCTGCTTATATCCAGTCCTTGATTTGAGTCTGGTTTCCATACTGTAGTCTCTTTATTGATCCTTGCAGCCTCTGTCCTCTCCCAGTCTGGGGAAATTAAAGTGGGGCTTCCCAATTCTTATGTTGTTATCTGCAGTTTATTAAGAAAGACTGTACACATTCCTGAAATAAGTTGACGCTTAAAAATAACATATACTTTTCAAAATGATCAAGCGGGGTGGGGCGGGGGGAGAGATGTGTCAATTGCAAGCAGTGATGTGGAGTTACTGATAGGAAGGGCACCAGGGGGGAAAGATTTCACTTTGCTCACAGCAGGTTTATGCATATTCCAGATGAGGGATTTGCACAGGGATTCTATGCAGGCTATACATGTCTTTCCTTCTGGTTCCAAAGCATTTTCTAGTTACAGGGTATTATTCTTCAAAAGTTTTTTGTTGTTGTTGTTTTCTTTTTTTTCTTTTTAACATTCACTTGAAAACAACTTGAAGTAGACAATCACACTTTCCCTAATCCATTTAATAGAAGAGCAGAACGATGACTCCCATAATAGGAATGCCGCTACCCCATGAGTTGAAGGAGAGTGATGGGACCATGTGCATGGGAAAAGGTGTACCAACTCCCCTTTGGGAATGATTGTCTATTCAACCAAATAAGCCACATGTTGAGGAAAATGTTTTGCACTGTGTATTGGAAAACTCTGAAAGAATCTCACAGTTTTATAACGAAGTCTATAAAGCTTCGAGAATAAAATGTTCAGTTACCAGAACCTCTCTGCACTGTCAAGACCCAATTTAAGTGAGGCCATCTTATCGGAGGATGTATCTGGTATTTGCACATAGGTTATAAGGACATTGTGTGTTAATCATAGGGTGCAGTGTGACTTTGTTGAATTTTTAGATGAGAATTTAATCAGATTTACTAAGCGCAAAAGCACAAATAATGTGCCCATGGTGGAAATGGTCTTATTTATAGACACATAATTATGGGCATATCTGCAGTCACTCAAAAGACTCACTGAGCTTTGACTGGGAGAAAAGGATGCCTTCTGTGGACGGCATGTATCTGTGTGTGTATCGTATATATACATAAAGTATTTGATGCTACAAATGATCCACTAGGCTGTAAGATATATGAGGGCAAGTACCAGCATTGTCTGGTGTTTTACGTGTAGCAGGCTTCCAGTAGGTATTTGAGGAATGACTGCAAAAGAGTGACACCTCTATATCTTTCTTTGAAAAGTGGAAAACCTTTTATCATCTTATAGAGCCTTAACTTTTTTTGAGACAGGGTCTTGCCCTGTCACCCAGGCCTGGAGTGCAGTGGTACGATCATGGCTTACTGCAGCCTTGACCTCCCAAGGAGCTGGGACTGTACGGTGCACCACCATGCCTGGCTAGTTTTTTTTATTTTTATTTATATTTTTTGCAGAGATGGGTTTTTGCTATGTTGCCCAGGCTGGTCTCGAATTCCTGATTTCAAGCAATCTTCCCACCTTATCCTCCATCGCTGGGGTTACAGGTGTGAGCCACCTCACCTGGCCAATTTTTAAAAATTGAAGTGAAATTCACATAATATACAATTACCCATTTAAAGTGTACAGTTCAGTAGTATTCAGTTCATCCACAATGTTGTGCAAACACTCCCTCTCTCTAGTTCCAAAATATTTTCATAACCCACAAAGGAGACCTGTACCCATTTCTCCCTCCTGTTGGCCCCTGGTAGCCACTAATCTGCTTTCTGTCTATGGATTTGTGTATTCTGGATATTTCATATTAAATGGAATCATATAATATGTGACTTTTTGTGCCTGACTTCTTTGACTTAGCATATTTTTGAGGTTCACCTGCATAGTAGGCTGTATGAGAACATAGTCCGTTGTAGGGATGTACCGCATTTTCTCCATTGTGCAGCTGATAGACACTTGGGTTGTTTCCACCTTTTACCTGTTGTGAATAATGCTGCCATTCACTTTCATAGAAAAGTATTTCAGTACCTATTTTCAGTTATTTTGGGTATATAGCATGCAGTGGAATTGCTAGATCACATGGTAATTCTGTGTTCAGCTTTCTCAGGTGACATCAAGCTGTTTTCCACAGCAGCTGCAGCATTTTACATTCACATCAGCAGTCGATGTCTGAGGGTTCCAATTTCTCTACATCTTTGTTGACACCTTATTTTCTATTTTATTTTTTATTGAGGCCATCCTAGTGGATGTAAAATGGTGTCTTATTGTGGTTTTGATTTGCATTTCAGGGTCTGTTATTTTTTAATTTTTATTTATTATTTTTGAGATGCAGTCAGTCTCTCTCTCTCTCTCTCTCTCTCTCTCTCTCTCTCTCTCTCTCTCTCTCTCCCCCCCCCTTCCCTCCCTCCCTCTCTTTCTCTCTCTCTCCCCCTCTCTTCCTCTCTCCCTCTCCCCCAGGCTGGAGTGCAGTGGCACAAACTGCTTCCCAGGTTTAAGGGATTCTCCTGCCTCAGTCTCCCAAGTAGCTGGGATCATAGGCACCTGCCACCACACCTGGCTGATTTTTTTTTTTTTTTTTTTTTTAGTTGAGACAGGGTTTCACCATGTTGGCCAGGCTGATCTCAAACTCCTGACCTCAAGTGATCTGCCTGCCTCGGCCTGCGAAAGTGCTGGGATTACAGGCATGAGCCACCACGCCTGGCCAGGGTTCTGTTTTTAAATTAAGCGCCACCAAAGAAGAACCACATTTCTACTTAGGGCAGATATCCTACCACTTAGTGGCTTTTAAAATGAATTTGTGTGATTAGGAGAAGGGTGTTTTGGTGGCGAAAATTGTCATTGAGCAAATGCCTCATCTGTGCCCAGTGTTCTGGTACTTTCTGTACTTTATGTTTAGTTCTCACAGCACCCTGCTTTTTCCACGAGGAAACAGACTGAGACTAAATTATGCACTTGAGGTTGCATGGCTGCAAAGCAGCAGCTTTGGGGGTCGGTTCAGTCCTGCCTATTTGACTGCAAGCCTCATGAACTTTCCATAGCCAGTGTGAATCTTGGAAGTAGGAAAAAGGAAACAAAGGGTGATGTCCACTTCAAATATTTTAGTCAAAAGCAAAGACTTTACAGATTGCAGTGAGAAAGGGCTGTTATTGGTAGTTGCATGGGGTCCTGGCAGTCTTTGGTTGTCTGCTAGTAGATCCATGAGTCAGGACCTACATTGCTGGAGGTATCCCTGGGCTAGAGGCTGTGGCAGCTGCAGTGGTTGGGCATTAGTGAAGACAGTGCCTGTTTGGGTTTGTGGGGCTATAGGGTCTTTTTCTTGTCCCTGTGACCATTTAAGTGGGTGCTTTGTATTTACATTGAATGATGAAGTGAGGAGGCACACAGGGCAGGCCCTGATCATAGTGAGTTCTGAAGAATGCCTTCCATTGGTGATAGTTAATTCTCAGTAAATTGAGAGTTCCTGAAAAAATATCAAACTGAATCCTGTTTTAATGCAGGGGCACTTGATATTTAAAGGAGTCCTCTGGTGAATGCTGCTACACAGAGCCCTTTGATAAATCTTTTAGGTAAATCCAATTTTCACATGCTAAGTTTGTTTAGAAAGACATACACAAGACTTGGAATTTTACTTAAGAAGGTCATTGATACTATAATTGTCTCACTATATAAAGCTACCAGTGTATGTATTCTAGCAATGTTTATTAGACCACTTTGGACACTGGAGTGAAGAAATAAGTGAGGCCTTGAGGTGCTTATAATCTAGAAGGGACAGATAACGCAAGCTTTGGAATGAAGACCACGTGGGCACGCTGGGGGCTGATGGTGCTACTGCAGGAGTTCAGGGAAAGTTTCACAGAGGGAAGGAAAGAGACTTCTCAGGACAGAAAGGATTCACAGAGGAGGAACCCACACTAGGCCTCGAGGACTGAGAAACAGAGGAGAAGGGAAAGCATCTCAGATATGGGAGTGGGGTTTGAAAATGCCCAGAGGAGAGCAGGTGCATCTGCACTGGCCGTAAGTTGCTGGTCTTGCTGACTCCCGGGCTGGAGGGCAGGCTGGAGGTGGATAGAAGAGTCCTTCATTCTCTAGCTGAGGAGTTTGGCCTTAGAAGCTCCTGAAACATTGGAAGCCTTTTAAATGGCGTGCAGGTCAGCTTTCACCATCTACCAGCTGACCAGGAAGTAGCAGTGCTCATCAGCTGCTCTTGTGAAGGTGGGCCAGCCTGGGGGTGTACATTAAGAATGGGGACTCCCCTAAAACCAGAGGTAGCCTTTTACCCTGGCACAAGGTGTTCTCCACCCCTAGACTAAGCAGGGATTATTGTCTCCATATCACATACAAAGAAGCTGAGGCTCAGCTATGACCTGCTTGAGGTCGAGCAGCTTACTCAGAAGGGCCAGGCTGGGACCCTGGATTGCTGGCTGGCTCCTGTCCAGGGCATTCTGCATACCACCCTGGGGGAAGAGGGCTGAGGACGGTAGACAAATGCTCCTAGTGGCTCTGACAGTTCCACTTCGTAGGTGTGCTTCCTTAGGACATGGCCCGTTGAGACCTCACATGGGATTCTCTGGGTCCCAGCAACGCAGACCAACACTGCCCTGAGAATTGAGGGGTCACCCTCCTGCTGCCTGCATCTCCTTCCATGTTTCACCTTTAGTGAGTCAGGCAAGGGGTTCAGAAGACAGATGCTAGAAACCTATGGCTCTGGGAAGCCAATCTCGAGCAGACATTGTCTTCAGACCTCACTTGAGTCTTCCACATTTACACTCGGTGCTTCCTGGAGGAGAAGAACACTGTGAAGGTTGTGAAGCTGACCAATTATACTTCTGGCCCCCAAAAGGCATTAAAATTGAAAGCACTGCTCGATAAGTCTTTGTTCCTTCTGTCTATATCATAAATGCTGAAGTGGATTGCTTAAATACTTAAGTTTTGTAAATGCACACACCACTTTCTGTGGAGAACACAGTGGTGTTTCTGTTTAATGCCTTTTTTAGTGCCGTATGTGCTAGAAGCTAGACCTTTTTTTAAATATGTTCCCAGGGAGCACAATATTCAACTTTGGAGCTATGAGAGGGCTGCCCCTCTCTCTTGGTTCTAGCCCACTGTTGAGGAAGGGTCTAGTTCACCAGTTCATTTAAAATATTTGTGCTTCTCAGAAGGTATCACAGCAAACTAATTTTTTTTCCTTTTTCAGCAAGACCTTCTCTAGCTTATTTTCTTTAAAAATTTTCTTTGAAGCTCTGGGACAAGTACTTGAAAAAGAGCTGGAGTGTAGTTCAGTGATAAGTGGCGCGATGAACAACTCGGGCTGATTTATATTGATGAGGTTTTCCCTTTAATACATCCCTCCCTTAGGAGAAGGAGACATGTGAATAATTGAGCTGGAGATCATGAACTAATTCCTGCCGCTCACTGACCCTGGGACTTCGGGAAAGCTCCGGAATCTCCCTCTTTCTCATCTTCAGGATGAGGAAATTATCCTTTCCAGTTGTCTCTCTCTGACCCTGTCATGCGAACTGGATAGATCATTGAACAGAAAACTTCTACAGCCCACGAGATTACTCTGTTTGCAGTGACAGCAATCTCTGAATCCACAGACAAAAAGTTGAGGGAGATGGAATGCAGCTGTTGGTGTAATGAGTGAGGAGAGAAAACAGAATTTGTTGAGGATTACAAGAATAGGAAGCTGAAGGATGTGAAACCTGTAGGGTAATTGCTACTCAGCTTCATGTTTAAAATCAATATAAATGCTGTTGGAGGAGCCCCTCGTCTGGGATAGAACAGTGCAGCTCCATGTGGGCCCCTCTGCAGCATCACCCGGAGCTGGTTATAATCCAGATTCCTGGGCCCCACCTCAGATCTGCAGAATCAGTAAGTGGGGAGGAATCCAGGAATCTGTTTCCACAGAATCCAGGTATCTCTTTCTGGGTGATTCTTATACATGCTAAAATTAGAGAAACACTATTCTAGAAGTCCAGAATTTGAAGAGCTCTTGATCATTTACATCTTATAGGTAGAGACAAGACCAGAGAGGTTAAATGGCTTCCCAGGAAGGTTGATAGTTGACTCAGGTTTTCTCAGTTGGTTATAGGTGAGCCGTGGTCTAAGCTGGTACTACTCTTAGTGTGGTCTGTGACTAGCAACAAACAGTAGCACCTGGGAGCTTGTTAGAAATGCCAACATGTCCTGGCTAACGCGGCGAAACCCCATCTCTACTAAAAATACAAAAAATTAGCCAGGCATAGTGGCGGGCGCCTGTAGTCCCAGCTACTCAGGAGGCTGAGGCAGGAGAATGGCGTGAACCCTGGAGGCGGAGCTTGCAGTGAGCCGAGATCGCGCCACTGCACTCCAGCCTGGGCGACAAAGCGAGACTCCGTCTCAAAAAAAAAAAAAAAAGAAATGCCAACATGGCACATGTATACATATGTAACAAACCTGCACGTTGTGCACATGTACCCTAAAACTTAAAGTATAATAATAATAAAAAAAGAAATGCAAATTGAGTCCCACACCAGACCTGGGGATCAGCACTCTGTGCTGTAGTTAAGCCCTTCAGGAGACTGTCAAATTTGGGCATGCATATGAACTACTAACCTAGGCTTCTAGCTCTTAATTGAGTGCTCTTCACCAGAAAGACACTGACTTTAAGTTACTAAAGGCTGTGACAACCTCTTTCTGCAACTCTCATTGGGCTTCAGGTTGGACACATGCGGTCCTATCTAAGATTTGTTTTTCTGCAGCGGCAGCCATAGGTCTGCTGGTCCTATGGTGACCAACCATCCTAGTTTGCCAGCCTTTTGTTGCTGAGCCAGGGAAGTTCTGGGCAAACTGAGACAGTCATGCTAGCTGGTCTCAGGGTTTAGTTGGGGGCGGGTGGATGGGCAGTTGTATCCTACTGAGTTGCAATCATTTGGCAAACATTTGCTTGATTGCATTGAGTGAAGGAGGCTGAGTCACTAATAAAAAGGCCATTTTCATCAGGCCGGTGGTAATGTATGGCTGTCATCCACTTGAATTTATTATCCTTTCACTTCCATGTGAAATCTGGCAGTGCAGGAGCACAGTTTCAGGAGGAGATGGGACTGCCCAGCACTGACTTTGCTCCTTTCATACAGTAAGTGCTTACTGTGTAAAGCCAGATCGTGAGCCCCTGGACCCAAGCATGGCGTACTATGTGGTGGTGGTATTATATAAGCCAGAGACCTCTTCTATGGGCTCAGGCCTGAGGGGTCTGAGAGAGGAGGGATGTTTTTAGCAACAAAATCACTCCCATTTGTGAGCCGAAGCTGGGAAGCTGTTTGGGTCTGCCTGTAGCTTTTCTTTCTCTCCTGCTGTGCTGGGAATTGCTGGTACCTATGGATAGAGAATAATGGCCCTGTTTTCTTAATGCACTTTTTTTTTTCTCGGCTTTTAGAGCATTTAAGGAACAAGTAGGTATTCTAATTCTCCCATTTTGTAAGTTACAAGTTTTTCCTCTAGAGAGGAAGAAAGACTCCCAGGGAGAAAGGGGGCGATGATATGGTATATAGAAAGATATAATCTAAACTTTGAAAATTCCATAACTAATGTCTTCTGCTGTGCTTAGAGATCATGGAGGCCTGTCCCTCATCTGTTCATGGGGCTGGAAGTGCTGTTCCAGGCCTTAGACAGGCTTTACAAAGGTGTGGAATGTTGGGTCTTCCTGGAAGAGCCTTGAAGAAATAAACCCATAGAGTTTGGAATTCATGAGCATGCTATTTTTTTTTTTAAATGAGAATTTGAAGTTTCCTCTCTAGACTTATTTGTAGAAATTTTACTGCTGCCCTTTTTTATAGGGGCTTGGTCATATTCATATTCACCTAAGTTGCTTTTTTTAATCACCCCAAATTGGGACCAAAGAACATAATCGTATCTTGACCAAAAAAGGGCATTTTTGAAATGAGCTACCAAATATAGATGAATATTCAGAGATTGCTTATTATCAAAGAAGATAGGGTTAATGTTTATCTCATAACAAAATGTCAATTGCTGCTACGTACTTAATAGTACTTATGTGCTGTGACAGTGTGTCATTGTCAAAAAAGTTGGGTATGTGAGTCTTATGTAGGAAATACCTTCATAGCTAAATGACATCACAGATGCTGATTCTTCATTGTTGATGTTGTGTGTGGTTTTTGTTTTTTGGTTTTTTTTTTTTTTGGTAACTCAGTGGTTCTCAGACTTTAGTGGGTATCAGAATTGCCCAGAAGGTTTGTTAAAGACTCCTGAATACCCTAGACTGCTGATTTAGTGGGTCTGGGTGGGGCCTGAGAATGTACATTTCTGACGAGTTCCCCCGTGAAGCTATGCGGCTGATCCAGGGACCACACTTTGAGAACAGCTGTTCAAACCAGAGCAAGGGTTAAGCCACCTGAGGTTAGGAACGGCCTTATTCACCTTCTGTGTCCCATTGGGTTAATTGAGAACTTGGCACATTGGAGAACTCAAGAGATGCAGCAGGTTTTTTTTTCTTTTTTTGGATTTAAATCTGAAGCTGTCTCTTGCTACAGAGGGGAATGATTCCAGTTTGGGTAGGCAAAGTTAAGCCTATCTTCTTTATTGGCAGAACTGCTTCTCAGCTCATGCCTGAGCTTTCCTCTTTTGGATTTGGGGAACAAGCATCCTGCTTCCCAGGTGTTCATTTAGTAACAGTGAAGTTCTTCTACAGACTGACTGCAGAGTGCCAAGTGATGACTGTTGACTAGTGATCAGGCTGCTCCATCCCTCAAGTACTCCGCCTATACTGCAGAGAGAAGGCTGTTGTGGGCATGGATCGCCACACGTAGGGGGATGATGGTGAAAGATAAGTAGCCATGCCCATGGCCGAAAACTTTGGTCTATTAGGGTCATAGGGATGACATGATTGCTCTTAGGAGTCTGTCTTAGACTTTCAGTTTTTCCTAATTTTGTTTAGTGATCCATTTTAAACCTTCTTTTAGGAAAACCATTTTGGTTAGTGTCTTACACCCTGAAGAGATGGGGGGATGGAAAGGTAACAGGCTAGGGAGTAAAGGTCCCATGGTGTTGCATTGTTAGTTTCTTTCCTCATGCATCTATGATTAGTGATAACTGGAAACATTCAAAACCTGTTCGTTTAAAAGTAGAAGGCAAGCAGCCATTAACAGCTACCTTTTTAAACAATGAAAAAAATCCAGAACTTTACCTACCACTACCCTCCCCCCTCCCACATACCCACAGAATCCTGACCAGAGAAACTGTTCCCCATACACTGTCCTTAAGAATTCCCTAACATATGAGGCCAGATATCCGGTAATGGGGATTTAAATGTTGGAGCTGGTTATTAAGTGGCTCTAGACTATTCTGTAAGATTCTGAAGTCATACTAATCATTAGACTCCCACCATAAGGGGATTTGATCAGCTTTACTAGTAAACTGTCAGCTCTGAGGATAGGGACAGTTTGTGTGTGTGTGTGTGTGTGTGTGTGTGTGTGTGTGTCTCTCTGTGTGTGTGTGTGTGTGTTTTATTTATTTTTGTCTGGCCACCAACTTTCTAGAGCCTAGCACAAGACCTGGCCCTGGTAGGTGCTCCGTACATAATTTGGTAAGTGAGGAATGCAAGTTCTGCAGGAAGGGAGAGGGTTGCATAACTGTTGACTTCTGTTATGTAAGGCTAGTGAAGTCTAGCCGTAAGATTGAATTCCATAGACACTTTCTGAAGATTAGCCAAGGGCTCACTGCTGTCTGAGTATTGTGAAGAGTAGGGGAGAGGACCTTGTGGTGTGTTTGAAGAGCTAAGACATGCTCATGGGATGCTGTTGGAGAGTATCCTAACACAGTGTGCAGGTGGCTGCCCACCTTGGGGATCAGGATCCCTGGGAGAGCTGTTGGCATGACTGGGACAGGTATGATGGAGCAGAGAGGAGGAAGGCACAGTGTGGGGACAGGTGTAAGTGGTGGGCAGATGCAAACTGAGATTCAGCACTGAGTGGACCATCAAATTGTGGAATCAGAAAGGTGCTGTCCTCTGGCTTCGTCTCTGTTCTCTGCTATGTCTGGATTTTCAAAATGTTCTTTGGAGCAACTGGGAGCTTCCTGGGTGTGAAAGCAGGAGGCAAGTTGCCATGTGGCTTCACCCAACTTTGGTCTGGAGGAGGGTTCTACAGATAAACAAGGTCTTGGGCAGCACTGCCTCCTGTCATGGGCTTTATCAAGGGGGCAACCACCACACCTGCTCCACCTGTGGAGGTAACACCAGCATTACTGGTCTTCCCCACACTTCCTGCCCTTCCATTTTTATTGCTGTTCTGCTCCTAGATGCAGCGGTGCTGGCCACTCAAGTAGAAGGATGAACTCTTATTTCTGGTCCTCTAGTTCTTTGCCAAGTTCCGTCTGGAGCAGCGTGTGTCGAGGCTCTGACGGAGTCAGCTGACACTTAACATGCTTGCCCAGCTCAGACAAATGTCTGAATTGGGAACAGTTTATGTAACTTTATTATATAAATGTGATTCTCTCCAAGGCCTAAGTTACCTCTTAATTAGAAGGCAGCTATCCTGGGAAGCCGGGCTGTACCTCTGGGTTCTTTGAGGATTGTGTGGGCACCCTTTCCCAAGAGGAGCCTTGGTTAGCTTGGAGGAGTCAGTGCGGCTTTGAATAGGCTGAGAGTTAGTTTAAGCTGAAGCTCTGGGCCATGGTTGAGACAGGCACATCCTTTGTTTCTTTGCCCAGCCATGACTTGACTTTCTGTGCATTCTCCAAAATTTACATAACATAAACTCAGTATTATAACAGCACGGCAGTTTAAAGAAACAAAGTTCTACCTCTACCACCTTTTTTAATTTTTTTCTTTTCTTTTTAACTTTTGCTGGCTGGCATCTCAGTTTACTCATCAGTAAAATAATACCATCTCCTCATTGCAACTGCTTATTACCTTACAGGGCCGACATTAAGCCAAAGGAAATAATCTAACATGATTTAAAGAGAAGAGGCAAAGAACCACAAAGCCAAGCTCAGGTGGCAGATAGATTTTTAATGCCCTAAATGGGGCTGTGAGATGGAAGTTTAATCTTTTGAAATCTGATCCCATTTGTTCAGTCTAAGAACTTAACTTGGGAAATCGATAAAATGAGTTAATTGTGTGTTCTCTTTTTCAATTGGTGTAGCAGCTCTTTAGGCTTTGGACAAAAGCTAAACTTCCATGTACTTTAAAATAGCATTTGAGATGCCTGGATGATAAGAACAGCAGCCTGAGTCACTCCTGGTGAGCATAACAATCAAAGCCAGAAAGGGGAGTGGGTAAGAGGGGGCTCCTCTAAGCAGCTCTCACTGATGGACTCTGCCATGAGAAAAGACCCTCACACTAACTTCAACCCTTCAGGGCCCCACAGTACCTATCTTTGTGTAGTTGATGCTTTTTGGAGCATTCTTTAATGTACAGAAATAAGTTGCAATTTTGTACGTGCGCCTGATAATTACGAGGCCACACTTGATGTTCAGGCATAAAGAAAAGGAGATAGCAGCTTCCTAACTTTAATAATTAAACCATATCAGAGCAGTGTTCCATGGTCCAGCAATGTGTTTTCTCTAACGTTCAGTTGTCCCCCATCTTAACACAAATGTGAAATGTAGTTATCTGCCTCCAAACCATGGTGAGCCCTACAGTGCAACTGGCAAAAATGATCACGACAGCATCACAGGGAGGCATCAGTGACTCTTGGGAGGGAAGGCAAGGCTTTTGGTTTTATGTCAAAGCACCCCTTGATACTGCTTTAGGATGCGAAGCTTCCTGAGGGCAGGGAAGCCTTTTTGTCTTTTTTGTTCACTGTTTTATGCCCGGTACTTAGAACAATGCTGACTACAGGTACTGAGCAAATATTTTTTGAGAATGGATGGGAAACTACAGAAGATGCCTCCTCACACTCAGCAGTGTAGGTGGTGGGGACGGGCAGGGAATTGAGGCACACTTGAAACAGGTCTCAGGGAAAAACGATTAATTCTTGGAGATGAGAAAGTGTTCTAATTGTGCGTTATTTATAAGCAGGCACTCAACGTCCATGTAACCTTCATTATGTGGAATGATTTTAAAGTTTAATGTGGGTGACAGGATTGTGTGTTTGTGATTTAATGACTGTGTTGTGCTAACAAATGTCTTATTGAAATAAATGACCCAATTTTTTTTAAAATACGTTGCTGTGTTGAAAGTATAATAGAAAGCTGCTATACTGGATGTTACACTGCTGAAAATTGGTTCATTTTCACAAACATTTTGACAATAGGGATGTTACTGTCATTAGTCATTGTTATTTATTATAATTCATCAGTTACTGAGCTGCTACTGTGTACCAGCTTAGAAACCTTCAGTCCAGTAGGGAGTGACTTAATATAGTGGGGGTTTTCTTGTGTATGTACCAGAAGGGCCTGAGTTGCCTTGGAGCAGACAGAAAAAGGTTTTTCGTGGGGCATAACCAGTCTCAAGTGTCATGCACAATGCATGCTCAAAGGCAGATAGGGCTGGTGGTGCTCAGCTGGTTAAGGCGCCATGGGGGTCCCATGCGGCCGTCTTTGGAGCCCCATTTGGGTGTGGGCAGGTGGGTGGGTGGCTCGGCAGGAGCCTTGCCTTTGCCTCTTGATGGGGACGTCTTGGTGTTGATGCTTTGCTGCTCTGATGGGCCAGTATTGTTGGGTACGGAGGATTCCATATTTATCCTTAATAGCAGTGTTTCTCAAAAGGAGCCCCTTGGAGCCGTGATGCAGTTGCTTTGTTGGTTCGCTACAGTTATGGATTCCTAGATGTAGCCCAGATCTCTCAGGAGTGGGGCTTCAATTCTCTTTACTATACTTTTTCCCTACTCAATATTTAGGAGGTTTGCTCTCTCGTTTCTGTCCTGTTGCTTCTCCATTGCCACTTCCTTAGAGAGGCTTTCTTTGACTACTCGATCTAATATAGCTCTCTTCCTTTGCCCACTTGGGTTGTTTCCAAGCCCCTTACCATATTTACTTTTCTTCATAGCAGATGTCTCTGTATCTGGTTTTGCCTGTTTCCCCCACTAGGATGTGACCTCCATTAGTACAGCGATCTTGTCTCTTCCTTCTCTGCTCCAGTGCTCAGAGCTTGCCTGGCACATAGTAGGTACTCAGTAGGTGCAGTGCATTGAAGTCTCCAGGTGACTCATGTGCTCAAGGTGCCTTATAGGAAGAGGGGATGAGTTGATAAGAGGCAGAGTCTTCAGAAGTTCAAAGAAATGAATGAAAGGGCTAAGACTTAGAAATTCCAGTCCCAATGTTCAGTTAGTAAACGTAGTTTTATTTTACCTTAATGAGATCCCTTTATCAGCATAAACTGCAGAGAATTTAAGGACCTTAATAACTACTGGTTATAATTGCAAAAGGTTCTGCAAACATACAGCAATAAAAGCAACAATAACCATTATAGATCTCAGTTCATGACTGACCCCTTAAGGAAGATAGGGTTTTAGCAGGTGCCTGTTTCTTTTGAATTCAGTCTTATCTAAATTTACCCAAGGAACATGTATTTGAATGAGAGATACAATCTGGAGAATTTGCCCCAGAACTTTCAAAGAGAATGAGAACCAGAAGGATCTGTTTTTCTGCCTACTAGTTTAAATTATAATCTTGACATGGGTGTGTATCTTTCAATCTGTGACTGTCTAACAAAATAATTTACTATTCAGTGCCCTTTGCAGAGTAGAGATTTTGTAGTTTTATGAATAGAATTTACTTCTGTGAGATAACTGCAGTTTAACTTTTTGACACTAGCAAAAAATGCTACAGATTATAAATGATGGCAGTGCAACCCTCAGTGCTGGCCTCATTACATACCTCTGAATTACCAAGGCATCAACATTACTGAGTTGACACAGCCTCTGTTCCCACTCTAGTAATCTTTGAGCTAATCTGAGCATTATCCCTTTCTTCTTTTTTTGCCTATTTGCCATTTCCTTAATATAGTCTCCACCAAAGAATGAAAACGTTAACCTTATGAGAGGGGAATTAAGTGACTTTCTGAAGAGAAATCTCAATGGTGTTGAAATCTTATCATTGTGAACATTTTAAAGTAGTTTTATCTGCTGCTCTCTGTTTATGGTACACTATGATTGCAGGATCTTCTTCTGATATGTTTTGTATTCAGTAAGGCATTCTTTGAATCTGTAGGTGTTTGCCTGCTTTCTCCTTTATCTAATTTTTATGCTTCTATTTTTATTTTTCTAACAGACTCATACTCTACCTTGTCTAGATCTTCTAGGTGGTTTATAGCCCTTAAACTCATCATTCTCGCTAATCCATGCTACAGACATATTTGGAAATTGTTTACTAATGAATAAAATTTGGTTCCTTAACTTCCGTCCTCAGTTGGCCCTATACTTCAACATTCTGCATTTATGGAGTGTGATTGGTGAGTTTCAGTGACATGCACTCAGGGATAAAGAAAGCACATTTAAGAGGAGAGGCAGGAGGGATTCAGAACATTGCTTTGGAGCTCTACAGACCTAGGGTCAGATCCTGGCTCTGGTACTTTTCAGTAATGTGTACTGGGCAAGGTGCTTAATCTTGCCAACCAAGTACCCCACTTTCTTCTTGTATAAAATGAGAGAAAGCACTATCTTCCAAATCCTTGAGTGCCTATCAGCTGCTGGGCATACCTGGAGCAAATGAGGGAGGAAGGTGGGAGGGTTTAGGCCACAGAGAGCTTATCTCATGGTGAGGGAGATAAGCAGGATAAAGTATTTAGGGCATAGATGCTGTTGTTGCCAGGAGAAGAAAATAAAGCAGAGAAAGGAGACATGAAATGGGGTGAGGGAGGTGATGGTGAAATTCGAGGCCATGCAGAGAAGTTCACGTTTGGCCAAACACTTGAAGCATTTGAGGGAGGAAGCAGCGTGGATATCTGGGAAAAGAACATTCCAGACAGGGAAAGCAGGTGCCCAGGCCTGAGGCACAGCAGGCCTGGTGATTTTGAGGAACAGCAAGGAAGTCTATGGCTGGAGCTGAGTGAAGGGAGTGGGGAGAGAGGGTAGGATATGAGGTTAGAGAGGTGAGAGAGGCCAGACTGGGTAGGGCCTTTGAGGCTGCTGCAAGGGTTTGACTTTCGCTGGGATGGGGAACCCGTGGAGGATTTTGAACAGGGCAGTGACATGATTTGTTCTTGTTCTCACATGGCTTTAGGCCTGCTTTGGGTGTTTATGTTGTAGTATGGAGGGCGGTGGATACTGAGCATTGTATGTAGCTCACCATGGTGCTGCCGTTGGCCGGATGAGGGTGCCTTTGCCTACCTTGGTTCTGCTGCCTTTGAAAAATCATGACCGCTGGTCGTGGTGGCTCATGCCTGTAATCCCAGCACTTTGGGAGGCTGAGGCAGGTGGATCACAACGTCAGGAGATCGAGACCATCCTGGCTAATGCGGTGAGACCCTGTCTCTACTAAAAATACAAAAAAAATTAGCCAAGCATGGTGGCGGCGCCTGTAGTCCCAGCTACTTGGGAGGCTGAGGCAGGAGAATGGCATGAACCCCGGAAGCGGAGCTTGCAGTGAGCTGAGATCACGCCACTGCACTCCAGCCTGGGCGACAGAGCAAGACTCTTGTCTCAAAAAAAAAAAAAAAAGAAAAATCATGACCAGCGGACCAGTTGTGATAAGATTGACAAGTTGGTGACAGAGCATGTTTTGTGAACCTCTGAACTCTTCTGGGGGCATTTCTCATAATTTATGTCTTCTTGTCTCCCGGCTTGGGTGCCTAGCACTCATGGTTTTTCCTGCTGGTCCCGTAACAAATTCCATTTTCTTGGAAAGGTATGTGGTCTGTCATGTAGCTTCTAGTCTTGGCTGGGATTCAGTTGCCATTTGCCCTCTTAGGGTATTGACACTGGAAACTTTCTTATCGTGGTTCTTCAGTGGAAGTTTGGTGGAAGCTGTGGATAGGGGAAGTGGTGGGACGGGAAGATAGGGTTTCTAGGGCTTTAAAAATCACTCAGTGCCAATTTTCAGTTAGTCCTGGTCCATTTAGCTAGTCTTGGTATCATCACCCCAGTGACTTTATTCTTCTTGGAGCCTGGTTCAGAGAAGACAGTTTTAGCATGTGGGGTCATTCAAAGCCAGGTGAACTGTATTTTGTGTGAGGAAAGGAAAGGGTTGCCTCACCCAGCTAGCCCAGCTGTATAATGGAAGCAGCACATATAGCCTCATGTTAGACTTGAACACTTCAGAGCTGGCTGGGGAAAGATAATCAGTTTTTATCTACATACCTGGTATCCTCAATAGTAGAGTTACTACATATTTTTTACTGATTCTGGTTTATCAGCACACAGCAAGGCCTTATTATTAGAACCCGAGATAATTGCTGCATACCTCCTTATGAGGCACTGTGGATTGTCAAGGATGCATGTTTGTCGGGGGTCCATCTGCATAGTTTCCTGTTCTTGGGCTTCTGTGAAACATGTAGCCGGTCTAGGCTGCCTGGAGAACTTGGCCTGTTTCTGCTCTGGGTACCCAGGTATTTTCAGTACAATCATGTTGAAATTGTGTGGACTCAGCTGATTCGATGTTAAAAACATAGGAGAAACACCATCAATATTTAAAACAAATACATTGTGGTTTGTTCATGTACTAGAATAGCACACAATAGCGCGAATGAATGGACTCTGGCAACACATAGGGACATGAACATATCTCACTTAATGCAGAGCAGAAGACTCAAACTATAAAACAGTACACACTTCTGTGAAGTTCAACTATAGACAAAGCTCAGCTGTTTGTCAGAGATTCTTACATAGGTGGTTAAATTATAAGAGAAGCAAAGGAGTTATTTCAAGAGACAGGATAATGGGCTGGGCATGATGGCTCATGCCTGTAATCCCAGCACTTTGGGAGGCCAGGGTAGGCAGATCTCTTGAAGCCAGTTGTTCAAGACCAGCCTGGCAACATGGCGAAACCCCATCTCTACTAAAAATACAAAAATTAGCCAGGCATGGTGGTGCATGCCTGTAATCCCAGCTGCTCAGGAGGCTGAGGCATGAGAATTGCTTGAACCTGGGAGGCGAAGGTTGTAGTGAGCCAAGATCACGCCACTGCACTCCATCCAGCCTGGGTAACAGGGTGAGACTGTCTTAACAACAACAAAAAAGGATAATGGTTTGCTCTAGAGGGAGGGTCACATGGGAGTTGGGGACTTCAGGGTGTGGTATCCTTGGCTTCTTGGGGGCATGGTTATGCAGATGTCCACTTCTGAATAATTATACTGTAAGTACATGTATGCTATGTGAATGTTAGCATATACAACTTAAAAACACATACAACAAAGCAGTGAGAGAATGATTAACTAGGGTATTTTGCCTCTTTCTGTTGCTCCACAGATGTGTAGTGCTGTGTGGCATGAAAACCGGAAACAGTGCTGGAATCACAAGGCTGGTTTCTAGCAGGAAATGGCTGTGTGGCTGGAGCCAGTCCCTTAACAACTTAGGGTTTCAGTTTTGCATCTGTAAATTGAGGGGATGGTAATGGAATCTGGGATCTTGTTAAGTTTAAGTTGCAAAACTCTGAAACACAATCTTAATTGAAGCTCAAGATGTGAGAATACGGTAGAACTCCCCTGGTTGTGGCGGGAGGAGCTGTCTTATCTGAGCTCCTCATTTCTCTGGTGGTTGGTGGATCTTGGAGTTCTTCAAGAGCACCCTGGATATCACAAGGTCAGGAGATCAAGACCATCCTGGCTAACATGGTGAAAACCTGTCTCCACTAAAAATACCAGGCATGGTGACGCATGCCTGTAGTCCCAACTACTTGGGAGGCTGAGGCAGGAGAATCACTTTCAAGTGCCACCTGGGAGGTGGCAGTTGCAGTGAGCTGAGATCGTGCCACTCTACTCCAACCTGGGTGACAGAGGGAGACTGTCTCAAAAAAAAAAAAAAAAAAAAAAAAAAAAAAGGCACCCTAAGGCATTAGGAAACCCTGGACCAGGCAATCTCCAAGCTCTGTCTAGCCCATGATTCAGAGTCAGGGCAGCTGGAGGTCCCATAACTAATCCTCATTGTCTGGCTGTTTAGGCCAAGATGTTCTCCTCCCTTTGCACCCTCCCTTAGTGAAGGCAGCAGAGTGGGTCTTGGTCAATGAGCATTTATTTCTCCAGGGTTTTCTTTATGAGGTGGGAGGGACATAGAGTTATGTGGCCATACCAAAGGCACAAATTATCTATCGGCAAGCCTTGAGTTCCTGTTATAATAGACACTGACGATACAGCAGTGAATAAGATGCCTTTCACGGACTGGGTCTGTCAGGGACACAGATGAATTGTCTGACATGTGGAGTTAGCAGGGTTGTGTCAGGGGAGGCACAGAGGGGCACATGCCCCAGGCCTCGGGAGTTGGAAGCACTTCCTGGGGGAAGTGACATCCAGGCTGTGAAACCTGAAGAGGAATAGCCAGATAATGAGAAATAGGGTGGGCGAGCATTCCAGGCACAGGGAGGATACTGTAAAGGCCTAGCAATAAGAGCATGAAGCATTTAGGGAAATGAAAGTAGCCTTATTTCCAAGGTAAAAATGGTAAGAGATTAAACTTAGTAGGCAGAAACCTCTGGACAGGGCCAGATGATGAAGGCCAGATGATGATGACCCCTTTGACACACTAGGACTTGGGTCCCAAGAACAGTGAGGAGGGCATCTAAGAGCTCTGAGCAAGGGAGGGAAATTATTTGATTTACATTTTTGAAATATCACTTTGGCTGCAGTAAGGAGAATGCGTTGATGTGGGGTCATACCAAAGGTCAGGGTTTTACCCTAGTGAGAAAAGGTGAGACCTGGACAGGGATGGCAGTGGTGGAGGGGATGGAGAAAAGCAAACAGATTTGGGAGAGAATCGGGAGATCTGCTTGGTGAATTAACGAGGTAGAGGGGAAGTGAAGACAATGTCCAGGGTGCATTTTTGGGCAAGTAAGAGGATGGTACCACTCTCTGAGGCAGGGAAGGGAGCAGGCGGAGGATGCAGGGGCAGGATGGGAGGATGAGTTATGGCTTGAATAGTATGAATTTGAGGTGGTTCTATAAAAAGTAGCTGGAGAGGGTGACTAGGGTGGGTAGGGTGGACAGCCTACAAAGGAGGCTTGTTTATGTGTTTATGTGAGTCTTTGAGAGTCAACAAAGAGCTCTGTTTTTGTGCCAGAAACACTGGAAGGTGCTGAGCTGGGAGGGCTGTAGTGGTGCTCATAGGAGTGACTTCATGCTTTTGTCTTTACTTAATTTGTCCAGCCCAGCTCCATACTCCAAATGGCATATGCAAGGCCTTGTGCTTTGATGTTCTAGAGCAGTGGTTTTCTTAACCTTTTTGGGGAGTTTCGTATTCCTTTGAAATCAGGCGAAACCTGTGTGCAGAAAAATACACACTGCAAAAAAGAAAAAAAAAAAGAAATGCACCCTGCAAACATAGTAATTTTTACAAAGTTATTTAACCTGGCAACCACTGACCTGTCCTCCATCACTATAGTTCCGCTTCTAAGAAGGTCACAAATGGAATCATGAAGTACGGAACTTAAGGAGACTGTCGTGGAGTGCGGTTTTCCCATGTTGGATTCTGTGAACCTGGTTCAGAGCTCACAGGTTAGGGAAGAAGCATTGCTTCATAGCTACACTGTTTTGTTTGGTAGAAAGTAATTGTTTAAGACTCCAGATGGTAATGACATCCTGGCTTTCACATCACTCTGAACAACATAAAGGGGAGCCCTCTCTATCCTGTCATCCTGCCTGTCCACCCAGCTCCAGTACCAGCATCAGCAGCTATTTTATCTATTTTTTATTTATTTATTTATTTATTTATTTATTTATTTATTTATTTATTTTTACCATGCCTTGACCTCTTGCTTACACCCTGACTGCTAGTGACTGGTCCCGGTCTTTTTTCTTCTTCCAGCCTCATCTTGGTCTGATTCCTACCTTGGTTTCCTTTGTAAGTATCCCAGTCAATAGGGAAACCATTCTCCTAAAACTCCAGAAGCCAAGTCTTAACTTCCTGCTCCTAGATGTCCTCGTGTACCCCCTCTGGAGTCCTCCCGGTGGTTGAGTCCTGGTGGTCTCCAGAGTGCTCCATCCCAATTTTTCCATCTGAGCACCAGCCAGCCCACAAGTGTTGCTGTTCTGGCCTTTGGAGTTCTGTGATTGCTGGTGTTTATGCATTTTGGCAGGTCTGGGATATCTCTTGTCCATCTACTTCCAGTTTCAAGGTTAATAAGGGGCAGATGCTACCTGTGCGGTCCATGTCTGTTCATTCCCTGGATAAAAGAATTTTCCCCTAGGACCCAGCAATTTCAAACTTAGGGAAAAGGCTATGAAAGATTATTATCAACTTAGCTGTAATGTAAGAGCGCATGGTCTGAAACTTGTCATTACTATGAAGTACATTAGTCATTATTTGCGAGGAACTGGTTACATAGTTGTGGGAAACCTAAGAAGGTCTTTCCTGATGCCCATGCTTATAATCATTACTCTTCATCCCCAAATAAAGACAGGAATCATCATGACAGTGAACAATTGTATGATCTTTGTAGAAATGTTTCTTCTAAACTAAAATACTAGTCATTTAAAGTAAAATTTTCCTCATTGAATAAATTAATGACCACAAATAGATGATCAGATATTTCACAGTAGAGACATAAACTAAGTAAAAACATTTTTTTAAAAATTGGTAAATTTTTTTGAATTTTTATTCAAAGAATATGAGGATGTTCCTTTTTAAATTTTTTTGAGATTTATGAGATATATATATATATATATATATATATCATGTATAGATCCCCAGGAATCTTAAATTTCTGGCCAAAGACACCTTAAAGTTGTTAATGTCCTCCTCGCTAGGTATAATTTTCTTTTTTTTCTTTTTAATAGACAAGTTCTCATCTGTTGCCCAGGCTGGAGTGCAGTGGCATGATCATAGCTCACCACTGTAAACTCAAACTCCTGGGCTCAAGAGATCCACCTGCCTCAGCCTCCTGAGTAGCTAGGACTGTAGGTGCACACTACTACACGGGCTATTTTTTTTTTTTTTTTTAATGGAGATGGGATCTCACTGTGTTGCCTCAAAACTGATACTTTTAACTAAGAAGGTGATCCTTATGTTACATTTAACATAATTTGTAAACTGTGTTCCCAGATGATGATGCATGCTTGCCCTACCCATTTGGAACTGCATGTGCTTGACGGCAAATTATTATTTAGAGTCCATGAAGTTTCAAAGAGTGATTGGTGGTATGATGTTAGAGTTCCTAGGTGTTTGGAATCTGTTTTTTGTTTTGGTGGGGGCAGATGAGGAGACAAGGTCTTGCTCTGTTGCATGGGCTGGAGTGCAGTGGTATAATCATAGCTCACTGCAGCCCCAAACTGCTGGGCTCAAGCCATCCTCTCAGCCTTCCCAGAAGCTGCCACAGGTGCACACCACCGTGTCTGGCTGATTTTTAAATTTGTTTTAGATATAGGGCCTCACTTTGTTGCCTAGCTGCTCTTGAACTCCTGGCCTCGAGTGATCCTTCCACCTTGGCCTCCCAAAGTGCTGAT
Source organism: Homo sapiens (assembly GCF_000001405.40). Classification (NCBI taxonomy): domain Eukaryota; kingdom Metazoa; phylum Chordata; class Mammalia; order Primates; family Hominidae; genus Homo; species Homo sapiens. Next base: position 50,103,496 of record NC_000018.10, on the reverse strand, counting down.
ATTACAGGCATGAGCCCACATACCCAGCCTTGACCAGAATCTTTATAAAGGAAAAGAAAAAAATGGATTGAGACTTAACCAACCCACACCAGGTAGGGATTTTGAACAAGCACAAGATTGTAAGATACATTCTAACTTCCAGGGAGGGTCAGGATAGAGTGTCTTTTACCCTTCCCAGCCTCCATAGTTTAGGTTGGTAGAATCCACACAAAACTGGTTGGAAATGGAAACTAAGATAGTGGCTTAATGAATGGCTAGGCAGCACCTAGTTACCCTCAAATTTAGGACCTTTTGGTCCACTGTTGAGGTCATGGCTTTGCCAAAATGCCCAGAGAGCTTTGCCCACAAAGTGGGCCTCCTGGCTAGTTAACCACAGGAGCTGGAAGCCCAAGGTGAGCCTGTAGCCATGAGCACAGTCAGAACAAGGACAGGCGGGGCAGGGGAGAAGTGGGAAGGAGAGAGCAGAGCCTGTTTCAAGAGCATTGCATTTCCACTCACTGATCACATACAATCTGTTGGATTTGCTACTCTTCTCCTTTGGGGGAAGGACTGAGTTCCTGGGGAAGAAAAAAAAAAGGACTCCCTCTTCATTGCTCCTGGGAAAGGGCAGAAAAGTCTCTTATGGGCTGAGGCTGGGGAGGGGAAGGAAAAGACTTTGAGAAACTTTGGGCTGGTACAGGATTATCTAATTCTTTGGCCTGGGGGGTTTTGGGACAGGCTAGTATTTTAATGTGCATGTAGAACACTGGGGATTTTTTTTTTTAATTCATTGGTTCTGAGGTTAGAGATTCTGCATTTCTAACAAGCTTGCAGGTGCTGCTGCTCCTGGTCTAGGGACTATACTCCAGAGCCAGGTTCTGATTCTCTCTTCTGGGCTGTGCAGGACTGGGTTGGAGCAGCCTTCACCCTGCATCAGAGGTATTTTGCTAATTGTGGAAACTCTTTGTCTGGCATTAGTATTCCTAATCTGTAGCCACTCTTGCATTTCTAGCTTTTCATTGGATCTGTGTGTTGCTGGACCATTGAGGAGGTTCCTTACCTGGCTTTTCTCCACCTGGATCGTATTCCTGCTGTGAGTTCCCTCCCAGCAATCTGTCTTCCTTTTCTAAGAGTTAAGATTTGGAGGCTTTTTTTTTTCTTTAAGTTCTGGGTAGGATATGTATGCAGAACGTACAGGTTTGTTACATAAGTATGTGGTGTGCCATGGTGGTTCGGTGTACCTATTAACTCGTCTCTCCCCTCGCCCCACAACAGTTCTCAGTGTATGTTGTTCCCCTCCTTGTGTCCATCTGTTCTAGTTGTTCAACCCCCACTTATGAGTGAGAATAAGTGGTATTTGGTTTTCTCCTCCTGTGTTAGTGTGCTGAGAATGATGGCTTCCAGTTTGAACCATCCAAGGACGCAATCCTTCCTTCACCCAAGGACATGATCTCATTGCTTTTTATGGCTGCATAGTATTCCGTGGTGTATATGTACCACACTTTTTAAATCCAGTCTATCATCAATGGGCATTTGAGTTGGTTCCATGTCTTTGCTATTGTAAATAGTGCTACAATAAACATACGTGTGTGTGTCTTTATAGTAAAATGATTTATATTCCTTTGGGTATATACCCAGTAATGGGATTGCTGGGTGAAATGGTATTTCTGGTTCTAGATCCTTGAGGAATTGCCACACTTTCTTCCACAATGAACTAATTTACATTCCCATCAACAGTGTAAAAGCATTCCTATTTCTCCACAGCCTCACCAGCATCTATTGTTTCTTTACTTTTTAATAATCACCATTCTGATCTGCATGAGATGGTATCTCATTGTGGTTTTGATTTGCATTTCGCTAATCCGTGATGTTGAGCCTTTTTTATGTTTGTTGGCTGCATAAATATGTCTTCTTTTGAGAAGTACCATATCATTTTCCCAGTTTTCGATGGAGTTGTCTGTTTTTTTTTCTTGTAAATTTAAGTTTCTTGTAGATTCTGGATATTAGACCTTTGTCAGATGGGTAGATTGCAAAAATTTTCTCCCATTCTGTAGGTGAGGCATTTTTATAGTTATTTTTTCTTTTTAATATGTGTCAATCAATATGCCTAGGACTTACAGAGAAGATGGCCCCATACAGGAATATGATGGTCCAGGACTCAGGGATACCTGGCTGGTGCCTCACTAAGTACCCCTCTTCCCTGTGACCTTCTTTTTCCCTTCCATGTAGCTTTATCAAGGTACAGTTGACAAAATTGGCACTTAAGGTGTACAACTTGATGCTTTGATGTACATATACATTGCGGAATGATTATCATCAAGCTAATTCACATACTCGTCATCTATCACCTCACATAGTTACCATTTTGGGGGATTTGTTTTGTGGTGAGAACACTTAAGGTCTACCCTCTTAGCAAACTTCAACTATACAGTATGCTATTGTGAACTATTGTCCCCATGCTGTAGGTTAGATCCACGGAGCTTATTCATCTTGTAACTGATTGTTCAATACCTCCCCATTTCCCTTCCCCGGACCTGTGGTCTTCTTAAGGAACAATTGCCAAATAGTAACTGAAGTTCTAGGTTTTCATTGGCCCAAGCCCTGTCCCTCCCAAAGCAGAGTTCTGGGTGGGAAACTGCAGTTTCGGGTGATGCTGCTGGCTCCAGCTCTCCCTCAGCCACTTCCGCATCTAGGGGTCTTGCCATGCTCTGATTGATTGTTCCTTGCAAAGCAAAGACAAGAAGAAGAGAGCAGAGAAAGAGCCCAGTGCTTTAGGAGGAATCTTCAGCTCTGGTTTGGTTTGCTGATCCCTAGACCTGGAAAAGAGAGGGGAGATGCATGCATAGTATGTGGCTTTTGGCCCCCAGTGACTGTGCCTGAGCAACAGCTAGTACCAGGTAATGTCTTGGACCCTGACCAGTCAGTACGATGTGCTTTGGGGAAAGAGGAGAGAAGTAGAAAGTGGGGAGGGTGGTAGGCAGAGGGGTAAAACTTCCCTTCCCTCCATACCATGCAGGCCGTTTCTCACTTGAATATAGTTGAAGCATAATTCTGTGCACTAGTTGAGGTCTTCCTGTGGTCAGTGGGTCTGTTGACTTGCAGTAATAGATGCTTCACAGATACCAAAGGAAGCTGGGAGTCTTGTGTCTGAAAAGGTTATTCTCTCAAGCTTTTGCTGGTGCAACACAACCAGCATCATATGTTCCTGCCTTCAGTGTGACAGCTCAGGAGGAAACAAGATCCTGATTTAGCAGAAGCAGATGTCTCATAAAATACTTTAACCATGACAAAGTGAAACTGTGAATTAGTCATTTAAGTATTTACTCTAGTGAATATCCAAACAGATGTGCTCATGTAGAAAAGAAAATAAGCTCCTTCCTTCTGTCATTGGACCAATGTGCATGTGACTTTATAGTGTTCTTCCGGTTTCTAGCCAGGTTGTTGCTGAAATATCTTGGCTGTGTATCTTGGATCTGAGCTTGGAAGGCACCTATAGTGATGTGGGAGGTAAATCTCTGAAGGTTGCTTTAGGACACTGAGAATCTGTGTGTAGACTGTGGAGCCCTGGTCCTATGTCCAGTGTCCTGAACTGGCCCAGTGAACCCATGGCAGGCACACACGGGCCCTAGTAAATAGTAGTCTATATTTAGCCCTTTTGGTGGAGGATAAAGTTTATATATCTAATGTCAGGTGCCCATTGGCATCAACGAAGCCAGTTGGCTTTACAGGGGGAACATAAGTACAAGATACCGTGTATTTCTCAGCTAACTATTCTGCAAATTCATGTAAAGATGGTTGCTGAAATTATGTGGAACTTCATCCCCACCACTTAAAAGCAGCTCAAAGCTCCAGTCCTTGCCATATGTTTCCTGGGGGCCCAAATCACCCCTAATTGAGAATGTCTCACTTAGAGTAAGATCCTTGTGTTCTGTGGTGGCCTGTTGGTAGTAGAACCCCAAGAATCAACTACGTTTTACTTACAAGGCTGGCTGACTGGCTGGCTTTGCATCTAAGCCAGGCTTTTGGGAGTGGAAGGAACCATGGCATCTTGTTAGACTTCTGTTCCTCCTGTTCCCTAAGTCTCTACTGTGTGTCCCACTGTTGCTAAGTATCCTTGAAGCACAGTCTTCCTGTGTCACTTATCCACTCTGGAACATCAAACAGCTGCCTGTGTTGAGAAGCCTCCATGATCCTGTCCCACTCTACCTGTCCAAACCTACTTCTCATTATTGCTTGACATGCCTTTTTTGTTTCAGGTGTTTTGGGTTTTATTGTATCAGTTGTTCTTATTCTGAACAGTAGGTACAAAAGATATGAACACTGTTGTGTCTTAGGTTGGAAATGTGCATCCTCAGACTTTAAGAAACTCCAGATTGAGACAAGCTTGGATGCGGATTGAATTCATGGTCAGAAGATGAATTAAATGGAAAGAAAAAAAGGCAACTTGTGCTTGAAGCCTCTAAGCAGTTGCTGAGACTCATTCAGCTCTTGTAGTTGTGCTTGGATCATTCATATAAAGGCCGTTTTAATCTGTTCTTCAGATTCATTCAGGGGAGTATAAAGGTTTACAACTTTGACAGTGGGGCTGGGTGTTGACAGAGGTGACTAGGAAGCTGGTGGCCTTGGCATCCTTAGGGTTTTCTTCTGGGATTACAGGAGCTGGACTGCAAGGATCAGAGGTTCCATCATCTGAACTGCTGTCCTTTGGTGAAGGTTTCTTTCCCAGCTGCTCAGTTGACCACTGTTGGTACCTGGATTGCTTATGCTCCAAGAGCATGTATTGGAGTCATTACATTGATGATACAGAGGAGCTTACTACATTGTCCATGTTATCTATGTTATTTCATTTCTGTTTCTAAGACTTTCTTTTTCTTCTGCATAAATCCTACCATCTCTGCAAGCCTTTCCCAGTTAATCCAGTCCCCATGCCACTGTGCTTCCAATCTGTACCACACAGTTGGACATTTACCTTTTCAAAGCTAAGTTGTAGTTTGTAAGCTACTTGAAGTTAAGGCAGTCTATTTCCTTGTTGTGTATTTGCTTCCTCACAGCCAGCCTAGTAACCAGTAGATATTTTGGTATTGATTTTGATGGGACTCTTTAGGACATCTAATATGAATGTTATAACTTCATTGGAATCCATAGAACATGGCAACTAAGTTTGGAGCCTGTAACTCCAAAGCAACGATTGCTAGTTTACACCTTGCCCCTTAAACAATTGGAACAATACACCTATAAGATAAAAAAAAACCTGATTTTAAGTAACATAGTGTTTCCACGAATCTGTTGGTATTAACTGTTGTTGAAGTATACCCCTAAGTAAGTAGACAAACTGACCTGCTTGATGGAGGATGTTGGATATAAGCAAGTTATATTGTGGAGTAAATGTTAAAGCAAATATTTTATTTCGAAGGGAATTCTTTACTCTGACTTCCAGAGGTGCTCTCTTGGCTTAGACTTTGAATGTGGTTCAGGGTGTGAGAAGTTGGTCATTCTTGTCCTTTCCTGACTCATACCACTAGCCTCTTTGGCAAAAAGCAGTGTGTAGTTTCTTTGTTTAGGGTAGAGCATTAGTTTCCAGGGTGGTGACTTTTCTTTGCTGGTCTGAAGTCATGCTGTCTCCAGTTTCCTGTTTCATTCTCTGCTCCTCCTCAGTTTCACCAGGGTGTGTGATCCACTGCCCTCATTTCCTTGTTGGCAGTGGGTCCTTTGGCACCTGCGGCTGCTTCATGGGCAGTCAGGGTTTGCCTGTAGGCCCCGAGAGGCTTGGGACTTGCAACAGAAGTTTACCATCCTTCCCTAAGCACTGGCTTGTGTCATTTGATGACTACTTATTCAGAACCTGGAACTTTCTGCCTGTGAGGTCGACATACCCATCATGCTTATTGCCTGGAGAGGAAGCCCTACATTCTGCTGCTGCTGCAGAGTGATGATTTTTAACAGACCAGAACTTACACATCTAAATGAGTGTTGTTGTTCAGTGAAGTCACCTTAGGACAATGATTTAAATAACACCGCGATTTCTCAAGAAGTTTGGAACTTCTCTTATGGTTGAGTTCAAAGCCATTTTATGTTATATGTGGCCCAAACAAGTTTTATTAGTACAATTAAATCTTTATTGAGGACTTTTGATGGACCACATAGTGAACTTGGACTGGGAATCAAAAGAATGGTAAGGCAGGGTGTCTGCCTTCACTGTGCCTGCAGTCTGGCTGAGATGCACATGTGAGCCACACTAGCACAAGCCAGCATGCACTGGCCTGTCACAAGAGAGGTGAGATCAATTCTAGGGATGCGGAGGTGGGAGTGATGACATCTGTGGGGAATGGGGATGGGAGGAAAGTCAGGGAAGACACCAGCAATGAAAGACTGGGAGGATTTGAGAAGAAAGATAGGGGAGGAAGGACAAGGGAACCATATCAACAGCAGTGTTGAAAATCTGGGGACTTGCCTGGGAAATGAAGTCATTTCACTGGACTGACAATGCATGCTGCAGTGTTGGTTTCCCTTCATAGGTGGAGCCAGGCCCAGCATAAGCACTGACCCTGTGGATGGATGCCAGGTGAGGCTGGCAGGTCTGCTGGCCCAGGTGTTGTCTCCCGCAGGAGCTGGGAGCAGACGTTGTCTGAAGGTAGGGGTATATTGTAGCCATGCTGAGGAGCCAGCATAGAAGCCAGTGTTGGACCTAGGGAGCTCCAGCAGGAAGACACTGGGGAGAGACATTGAGAAGAGGAAATAGAAATGCAAGGCAGGGCAAAGGGGGTTTGATGATGACGGTGATGATGATTTTTTAAGAGTATGTATTGTGAACAAAGTAGGAAAGGACTTGTGCTTATTTACAGTGGACAGACTGGTGCTGGGGCAAGTGGGTACATCGTAGAAGTTAGGATGAAGGAGAGATGGAAATGGTGACCAGTGGAGATCAGCCTCAATGGCTTTCAATACAGACTAAGAAGTGTGACCTTGATCCAGGAGGCTCTGGGAGCCACAGTGATCCTTCTTGAACACGGAGTGACATAGCCAGACCTAAGTTTTAGAAAGAGGGATCTTCTAGCTCTTGGTGGGATGGATTGGAGGGGGGAGAGGCTGAAGGCAAGACAACCTTGGCCTTCACAGCCTAATTTAAAAAGTAAAGAGCAAACACTTGAGTCAGAATGCTTCAGAGGGGGAAAGGGGGGAATTTGGTGTGAGAAGCAGATGTTGAAAGGATTTGGGGATGGCTTGGATGTTGGGTGAGCACACAATCCTTGTTTTCCCCAAAATGCCTAGTTGCAGCCCAGTGTCTCAGCATAAGTGAATCATGGAGCTGCCTTTCTTTAGGTCAAAAATGGCCAAATGTGGCTATTTAATGTGGTTCAACATAAGGTTAAATGTGCCTCCTTTTCATATATGGGAAGTGTCCTGGTTTGGACAGTAAATGATTTGGTCCCCCTAGTTAGACATGGTGAGATATGGCAGAACAGTTTTCTTCGAAGTTCTGAGCTTGGTGACTGGGAGAATGCCCTGGTAGCAGAAGTGAATTGGGATTGGGAGGTGGGTGATATTGACCTACCTGCTCACCAAACTTGGGACCGACTCACATTTGACTTTCAAATAATTCTGTTCCCTCTCCAAAGATGTAACACTTTCATCTCTAAGGATATTGGAAGCAAAGAAGCTCTGAAGGTGGTTCCTGTAGAAGCTCTTAAAAGATTGCTTTCAGTGGCATGACCCATATGGGAGTGTCTAAGTTCTGGTGGATGTGTTCATGAGTGAGGCTCCCTGCACTGTAGTCATTTCTCACATGGGTGGTTAGAGTAGGTGGCTGGCCATCCCAAGGCGCATGGGTCTCGTTCACTTAACTGTATCCATTAACTGATTTCTGACTCTTTCCTGAAAGACAGCTAGGCTCACACATGCTCATCCTTATTCACAATGGGGCTGGGCTTAGGTGTGTCTAAGGGCTCAGTGCAGACACACCCACCCATGTGTGCATCCCACAAAGAGTGCCCAGCAGAACCACTCTCATTCTGAACCCCAGCACATGTGCCTGCTTCATGATTTAAGCAAGTACCAGGTATCTAGTGGAGAAGCAGAAATGTCACGGTGATTAAACTTTTTAGTTTTATGAGATCTTGCTTCAGTCCCTTGAATGCACAGGTTAACTGCACGGCTTGCTGTGTAGAGGAGGGAAATGCAGGGAATTACATCCACTTCTATTTCATGGGTGGAATTACTAGCTATACCAAAGCATCAGTTCCTAAGGATAAATAAATGGCTTTGTCAGGCCAACTATGACAATAGAAGATACTTCAGTGGAAACACATTTTTCTGAAATGGTTGCACTCAAGATCGTTGGTGAGGGGATACTCTGTGAGAAAGGTTGTGCAGGGAATGTTGATGGATTTCGGCCAGTTGTGGTGGCTCACACCTGTAATCCCAGCACTTTGTGGGGTTGAGGTCAGTGGATTACTTGAGGCCAGGAGTTCGAGACCAGCCTGGCCAACATGGCAAAACCTTGTCTCTACTAAAAATACAAAAAAATTAGCCAGATGCAGTGGTGCACGCCTGTAGTGCCAGCTACTCAGGAGGCTGAGGCATGACAATCACTTGAGCCTAGGAAGTGGAGGTTGCAGTGAGCTAAGATCACATCACTGCACTCAAGGCTGAGTGACAGAGCGAGACTGTTTTAAAAAAAAATGTACAGGTTTATATTACTGAGCAAGTCCATAGGCAATAGATCCTGGTTTCAGTTTTTAGTGGCCTAATGGCTACACAAAGAGTCAGGACCACATCAGTGTGTTATGTACCAGGTTTATGGATGAGGAGATCTACAAACACCAGAGTTACCCAAATCTCTGTTGTCTTTGATAAAAGCAACACTGGTCTCCATATAGGTTTTTTCCCTTGTTTGGTAAATGTTCCCATGGGGCAGCAGTGTAGCTCAAGGGTCATTTCTGCATTTTCTGCATTTTTCTCCTCGATGGCTTATTTCTTCTCTTTGAGAATGAACTACTCCTTTCTGTGTTTCATTATGAAATCTTGAGGTTTTAAATTCTTTCCAACTACAAAAAAAAACTCAGTACTTAAGAAAACTGGGAGAACACCAAAAAGAAGTGTCGTCCATAATTCTAGCATTTTTTTTTAAACCACATTTTCCCCTCCCTGTTTCTAAGCCCACCTGCTCAGAGTTACACTGCTCAATTTTGATGTGAACCTGTCTAGTACAGCCTTTTGCTTACTTAAACAGTGTATCCATAGATTGTTTTTTAAACACAAGGATTATACTATAACATTTTGTAACTTGTGCTTTTTGGTTAATATACCATGATTATCTTTCCAAATCAACCCGTTAGTCTACTACATATTAGTGGCTACAGGATTCCCATGGAAGACTGTTTTACTGGAAAGGGGTCCTGATACAGACCCCAAGAGAAGGTTCTTGGATCTCACACAAAGAATTCGAGGCGAATCTAGAGTAAAATGAAAGGAAGTTTATTAAAGTAAATGAATTAAGAGTGGTTACTCCGAAGGCAGAGAAGCCCCAAGGGCTGCTGGTTGGCCATTTTTATGGTTATTTCTTGATTACATGCTAAACAAGGGGTGGATTATTCATGAGTTTTCCGGGAAAGGGGTGGGCAATTCCCAGAACCAGAGGGTTCATCCCCTTTTTAGACCATATAGGGTAACTCCCTGAAGTTGCCATGGCATTTGTAAATTGTCATGGCACTGGTGGGAGTGTCTTTCTTTTTCTTTTTTCTTTTTTTTTTAGCATATTAACGCAGTATAATTAGTGTTTAATGAGCGCTGAGGACGACCAGAGGTCACTTTAATTTCCATCTTGTTTTTGGTGGGTTTTGGCTGGCTTCTTTACCACAACCTGCTTTATCAGCAAGGTCTTTGTGACCTGTATCTGGTGCTGACCTCCTATCTCATCCTGTGACTTGGATGCCTAACTTCCTGGGAATGCAGCCCAGCAGGTCTCAGCCTCATTTTACCCAGCCCCTCTTCCAGATGGAGTTGCTCTGGTTTAAACGCCTCCAACAACTGCATGATGATTTGTTAACATCCCACTGAACATGAGGCAATTTTCAATTTTTGCCCTTGTAACAACACTACAGTTAACATCCATATTATTTACTCTTCCCATCCTCAAGCTAGTGTTACTGTAGGAGAGTCTTCTAGACTTGGCATGACTGGATCAAGTTGCTCTCGAGGGTTCATCCATTCTGCAGTTTTGTCAACAACATGAGCATGCTTAGTTTCCTATCTTGGTATTACTAATATTCTTTTGTGTGTGTGTGTGCCTCTCTGTGTGTGTGTGTGTGTGTCTGTGTGTGTGTGTGTGTGTGTGTGTGGCACAAAGCTCATAGGTTAGTAGTATTTCACCATTTAATGGTCATTTCTTGAATCATGAGGGAAGTTGAGCATCTTTTCATGTTTATTGGCTCTTTGTATTTTTTCAGTCTATTTACAAATTGTTCATAGTTTCTTACTGATTTGATAGCTTTGAGAATAATAGATATTGAAAGTTTCTCTGCATGTTTGTTAAGGTTTCTTCTGCCATTTGCTTTTGTTTGCGGAGTCTTTTAAAAGAGAATGCATGCTGTCAAATCTGTCAGTCATTTTCCTTTATGTATTCTGAATTTTATAGCATGCTTAAGGTTTTAAATTTTTGAAAAAAGTATTTTTGGAGTCTAACACTCTTGACATTTATTCAATGATTCAATAATTCAATATTAGAGTATCTACTTAATGTGTTCTGTTCCTACTAATTACCATATCATTTCCTCTTCCCCTTCAGTTCCATTTTGGGCACTAGTATGTTACTGGCATTCATTCATGATTGCAGCTTTTTAGGAAATTGAATATCACCCTGTTGAAAAGCCTGAAAGTTATGGTCTAGCCAAGCAGCTGACCAACCTCTTCCAGGAACCCCCGTGGTTTCTGGTCTTTATAACCCTTTTACAGTTCTTTGAGCAGACTGGGTGCTCTTGTGTTTAAAAAAAAACAAAAAACAAAAAACTGATTGTTAACCAAAGTCGATGGCTTTAGACACACCCTGCTTTAGTGAGGTGTGTTAGAACGCAGCAGCAGCAGCAGGATGGCTATAATCTTCCTTCTCCATTATGCCATGTGACCTTGGGCCTGTCCCTCAACCTTTTGTAATCCCCTGTGCTCACTTTTCAAATGCAAGACCCATTCTTCCTTTTAATGCTGCTCCCATCACTGTTTCTTGGTTTAGTGATTCTTCTGAATTTCAGCTTGGGGCTGCATCTGCTACTACAGTTTTTTGGCTTATCATTTTTCTCTTCTAATCTTTTCTTCCCATCTTTGAGCCTCTTACTTGAAATCCCTTTAAGGCAGGCAGTTATTCATTTGGATTCTTCTTTGTTTCTGCTGGCCCTTATATGTGTCTGCTTCATTTCCTGGTCTCTGTCTTTGAAGCTGAAATTAGAAACCTGCAAAAGCATAACAGATGCTAGAATCTCATGAAGTAACAGCCCTGAAATAGCCCAAGTCTACTGGCACAGGATTTGGCCATAATTCTAGTGAAAGCTCACAATGGGGCTGCCCTGACTAATCACATTTGTCCCTGTTTCTCACAAACTTTTGAGGATGGTCCCAGTGCATTGTCATCCCCTTAGCCAAAACCCTTGGCTTTTCTAGTGCCATTTCTCCTCTTTCCCTTTTAGTATATTAGCATTGAAAACTTTGGGAAATTTTCAGTGCAAGCCTATATATTACAAATAGGCATTTAAATCTGTAGAAGCTGCAAGCAGACACTGAACAGAAGTCAGGGGTGCTGAGATACATGTAACAGGGTGTGGTGGTGTCAGGTGGCTCAGTTGATAAACAAATGGCTGCCTAGTGCCCTGTGAGACTCCTACAAAGACAGAAACAGCCTCCAGCAATGGGAAGAAGGCAGACAGTTGCCAGATTTGGGTTGAAGTTTCGGGGCTACCAGTTACTTTTTGTTGTACATACATCCGTTAGGTTCTCTGAGTATACCTACCCCATAGGATGGTTGTAAGGATTCGGGGATGAGATTGTGTATGTTAATTACTATGAAGTGCCATCTATACATAGTAATAATAGGTGATTAAATTTCCAAGAATGCAAGGATGGGTATGCAAATAAGCTTGAATACGAGTAAAATTTATAAATGCTCTCAGAGACTTTGCAGATACAGTGCCAAAGAACTTGAGAGGAGAAAGCTTCTGTCAGTCTGGGTATTGGAGGGGAATGCATAGCATTGATGTTAGTAAATACGCAGTAGTTGATCAAAGCTGCTATGAGATGGGCCTCCACTCCCTTTATAAACTTCCAGTGCGTCTGAATGATAGTAGAGGACTTTGTTTTAGTCTCCTTTGACCTGGTGGCAAGTGGCTGCAATGCATCTATATGCACAGGTGGGGCTGTTGCCCTTCCCTGTCTTCAGGTGGGGCCTCCACTAACTGGGGGAATTCTCTCATGCTGGTGGTACCTGGACACCCAGGCACATACCTGCCGGTAAGCAACTTAAAATGAACTTCTTCATAGAAACATGTCACTATATTTTAGGAATACAGGCTGTGCAGGCTGTCCTGGGAACCTAGCATGGCTAGAATTGTTTCTGCTGAAAAAGTGAATTCTGAATTCCAGACCCAGAACTTTGAACACAGCTTGTTTGAACAGGAAGCCCTCACTTAATGCTATAGGAGGATGGGGGATGCTGTTGTAGGGAAAGTGGTGATACAATGAGGCTCTTTCTGGATGGATCCAAGGGGCAGCAGCTCCCCTGTGCTGCATTATAACGCAGAGCAGGTCAGTTGTAGGCAGACTTTGGTACAAAAGTGCTAGGGAACTCTTCTGCTTTGATTTTTAAAACCACATTTTGTAAACCTTGGCTTACAGAAAATCCCCAAGAAGCCTAAAAAGGGTAGAGACAGCCACAGTAGAAATAGGAGCAGAAAGGCGAGGTGGTTTGATTTTGGCGGTGGTTTCCCAGTTGAGTGTAAATTCTGACTGTGGAGCACATGGGTGTTAGTTGATGAGTGTGGTGACAACTCAAGGAGGGATACTACCTAATATTCTATGGCTGTCATTTCCTGGAGTCCCTGTCAGCAATGGTTGCATTTTTATGAGCAGACACAAAGTGTGTCTTACATGGACATAATTTGTTAATTTCCCTCAGAGGGAATTTTTTTTTTTTTTTTTGAGGGTCTTGCTCTGTAACCTAGGCTGGAGTGTGGTGGCATGATCTTGGTTCACTGCAACCTCAACCTCCTGGGCTCAAATGATCCTCCTGCCTCAGCTTCCCCTGTAGATGGTGATTTGATTCCTCCTGGAGTGGAGGAACACCAGGGTTCTTTGTCCTCATGCTGGTTTAGATAAAACAACATGGACTTATGTGGAGTAGTTTTAAGGAGTGGATAATTTAATAGGCAAGGAGGAAGCTCCCTCGTACAGAGACAAAGGGAGTGGGGCTCCAAAGCCGAGAGAGGGAACCCCAGTTGGGGCGGAAACCAGCCAGATATATAGAGAGAGGCTGAAGGAGGTGGTGTTTGATTTGCATAGGTCTCAGGGGATTGGTTTGACCAGGTATGTCATTCATGTAGCCTTCGAAAAAGGTGGCCCTCCCACCCTAGCCTTTTAATATGCAAATGCAGGGTGCCATGATGTTCTACACATGTGGGGTTATGCGGGGGTGGCCATGTTGCCAGGAATACATGGGGCAAGGGCACAAAGGCCCAGGGAATCGCCTTGTTGGGTGGGTATCAAAGGTTGCCGACCTGGCTCTAAGGGCCAGGACTTTACAAGAAACGTTTGTGTTTGCAGAGCAGCGTTAAAAACAGAAACTTCCCAAGGACCTCTTTTCCTTTCCATCTGCCTAAAATAATTAATTAATAACTCCTACGACACTGGGACACAGGCAGGTACCACCACACCTGGCTAATTTTTTGATTTTTTTTTTTTTTTTGGTAGAGATGAGGTCTCACTTTATTGCTCAGGCTGGTCTCAAACTCTTGGGCTCAAGCAAATCTCTCACTTTGGCCTCTCAGTGTGCTGAGATTACAGGCATGAGCCACTGCACTTGGCTTCAGAGGGAATCTTTGGTTTGCTTTTTGTGTCTCTCACCCTTGATAAAAGGTTCCTATAACTTTTTTTTTCCTTTTTTGAGACGGAGTCTTGCTCTGTCGCCCAGGCCAGAGTGCAGTGGTGCGATCTTGGCTCACTGCAACCTCCGCCTTCTGGGTTCAAGCAATTCTCCTGCCTCAGCCTCTTGAGTAGCTGGGACTACAGGCATGTGCCACCACTTCCGGCTAATTTTTGTATTTTTAGTAGAGACGGGGTTTCACCATATTGGCCAGGCTGGTCTCGAACTCCTGACCTCATGATCTGTCCACCTTGGTCTCCCAAAGTGCTGGGCTTACAGGTGTGAGCCACTGTGCCTGGCCAGGTTCCTATAACTTGAGCTCCAGATAAACTTTTAAAAAATGGTACTTAAAGGAAACTGACTTGCTTTCCAGAAGGTTACTTTTGCCAGGTTACTGACCAGGAAAAATGAGCATTTTAGGGAGACTTTTCTCCCCTTAGATGATATTCACAAGTCTAGGAGCAAAAAACATCAGCTAACAAAGATCTGTCAAGCACTAACATATGCCTTCTGTTGGGCCAAGTCTTTTGGAAGAACCAAAAAGGTGTAATATGCAGGCTTTCTTCAAAAGAAGTGTGTTGATGGATAGATAAGATAGATATGCAAAACAATGACTGGAAAAGACAGTATGAAATGAATTGCTATGCTATAAATCACTTTTGGAAGATGGAGGATATAAATTATACATGTGTGAATGCATACATTTTAAATGGCCATGTGCTTATACATAATCTAGACAATTAGTGAAAATTGATAATTTCTGAAAGTGCAGGCTTGAGCTAGTCCTTGAAAGAGGGTGAGGCTATGGGTTGTGCAAAAGGATATGTCAAAATATAGACTTTAAAAATATTGCTCCTTCAATTTTATTCCTAACAAACCTGGAGTTAAATGAAGAGGAACACAATTATTGTTTTAAAGATTTTAAAGTCACCTGAGAAATATTTCACATTGGTGGTTTTACCAGTGCTGCACTTGTATTTAAGCTGTGTCTAGGGTGGTAATAAATCAATAGCACATCACCTATTTTTCCTGTGTGTGGTAGGTGTTCCTATACATGCCTGTCATGTGGAGTTTCCTGAGGCTCAGTTCCAATCTCACCTTTGTCTGTTTCGGAAACTTTCAGTAGCCTCCAGTAGCTTACAGCATGAAGTCCTCTCTGCAAGCAGGGTGTTTGGGGTCCTCCATGGTCCACCTATAATCCTGACTTGCCACGTTTATTTCCTTCTACCCTCCTTTGGACACCAAACCCACAGCCAACAGCAGGTCACCCCACACCGGTCCTGCCGCTGTGTGTCACAGGTGCTGGCTTCTTTCCCTGGTCTATGAATTCTGTCTCTGCATCTTCAAATCTTCTACATCCTTCAAAGCTTTGCTCAAAGTCCCTGCTTCCACTAAACCTTTTCTAACCTTCCAGCCAAAAGAATCTCTGCCATCTCAGAGTTTCTGTGGTACCCAACCCCTGCTGCTCTTGTGGCTCTTAATACTCTCTTCCTCACACTGTTAGTTACTGTGCTTCCCCGTTAGCATGAGGGCTGAGTCCCCAGGCCTTTCTCATCTTGGTTTTCCTGCACCTAGCATCACCTTGGAGACCTGAGCTCTTTGGGAAGGGTGCCTCATCAATCAAAACTGGCAACCTCCAGTGAACGCTCTGGGCTTCATGACACAGCCCTACCTAGGAGACACCTGGGCCTCTTGTTGCTACCTCTGCATGTTTATTTAGAGGTTTTTACTGATGTCTGCATAGATGACAGACACAGGCGGTTAAACATAGTGTGATTCTTAAAACATTCATTTTATTTATTTTTATTCTTTTTTTTTTTTTTTTTGAGATGGAGTCTTCCTCTGTCACCCAGGCTAGAGTGCAGTGGCACGATCTCACCTCACTGCAACCTCCACTTCCCAGGTTCAAGCGATTCTCCTGCCTCACCCTCCCTAGTAGCTGGGATTACAGGCGCGTGCCACCACACCTGGAAAACTTGTTTTTGTATTTTTAGTAGAGACGGGGTTTCACCGTGTTAGCCAGGATGGTCTCAATCTCCTGCTTCGTGATCTACCCGCCTCGGCCTCCCAAAATGCTGGGATTACAGGCATGAGCCACCATGCCCTGCCAACACTCTGCTTTTTAACAGTCTCTAAGATGTTTTATCCAGGGTAGAATCCTCAGAGCAGATGGAGGAGTAAACAGGCAATCTTTAGAGACACTTGGCAAACATCGAAGTCCTACCTGGCTGTGGCTTTAAGGAAGTATCTTGCAGAATACTGAGAGAGAGCTGAAATAGGACATGTCCATGGCTGCATGTTCTGGTATTGAGGAGTGTCCATGGCATGGTGGTTACCTTGTTCACAGCTGTGAGACTCACTTAGCAGTTTCAGGTGTGCTATTATTGTGAGTCTCTTTCACAATTTACTGTAGAGGTTTACTATTCCCAGTCAGTCCGATTTGGGGATATTGGTGGAGTGGTATCCTTTTTGGTTCTATGTTGCTGTATACAGACCACTCCACTATATGTAGTGGCACAAGAACAGTTAGTCTTTTGCATTTCTGTGAGTTGACCAGTTGTGTGTGTTCCTGTGGCCTGCTCATCTCCTCTACTGGCATCACCCTCCGCCTGTAAGCAGAAGACTTCTAAGCCTATTTCTTAAGTCTTTACTCTCTTCTGAGCTCCAGACATGAAGATCCAACCGACTGCTGGCATAGTCAGTGGAATGCCCCAGCCTTGGCATTTCCACAAATGTGGAAATTATCTTTGGTTCCAAATGCAAGGGTTATATAATTTCTCCGTGTCTCCAGTGCCTGCACAGTGTATGGTACACATAATAGGTTCTGAGCAATATTTGAATCAGTGAGTAAAGAACACTTGTCAAGGTCCACCAGTGGGTGCTAGATATGTCAATTGTGATACACACACGTGCACACACCACAATGGAATACTGAAATGAGTAAGCCAGATCTATGTGTATTAATAAGGAAAAAATCGATGGTGAGTGGAAACAAATGTAGAATACGTAGTATATGCTACCATTTTTCTTAAGTATACAACCAAACAATATTACATATTTACAGGTGTATCTAGTCATGGTACACAGACATAGATATGAGGGAATCACTCCACTGTCAAGATAATGGCTGTCTTTTGGGAAAGAGAAAAGGCAACGGAAGAGGGAAGGAACTCTCAACAGTAATAAGTTTATTTTTAAAAATCTGGAGTGAGTAGAAATAGGCCAT
Organism: Homo sapiens; assembly: GCF_000001405.40. Classification (NCBI taxonomy): domain Eukaryota; kingdom Metazoa; phylum Chordata; class Mammalia; order Primates; family Hominidae; genus Homo; species Homo sapiens. The sequence goes on along the minus strand of NC_000018.10, from coordinate 50,086,172 downwards.
AAATCCGTTAAACAGGGTGTTGAGGATATGGATGTCTGCTTTAACTCTGTACTTCAAAAAGTCTGCCATATTTTAAAATTAAAATCTTTTTTTTAAATTTTATTATTATTATACTTTAAGTTTTAGGGTACATGTGCACAATGTGCAGGTTTGTTACATATGTATACATGTGCCACGTTGGTGTGCTGCACCCATTAACTCCTCATTTAGCATTAGGTATATCTCCTAATGCTATCCCTCCCCCCTCTCCCCACCCCACAACAGTCCCCAGAGTGTGATGTTCCCCTTCCTGTGTCCATGTGTTCTCATTGTTCAATTCCCACCTATAAGTGAGAACATGTAGTGTTTGGTTTTTCGTCCTTGTGATAGTTTGCTGAGAATGATGGTTTCCAGTTTCATCCATGTCCCTACAAAGGACATGAACTCATCATTTTTTATGGCTGCATAGTATTCCATGGTGTATATGTGCCACATTTTCTTAATCCAGTCTATCATTGTTGGACATCTGGGTTGGTTCCAAGTCTTTGCTATTGTGAATAGTGCCGCAAAAAACATATGTGTGCATGTGTCTTTATAGCAGCATGATTTATAATCCTTTGGGTATATACCCAGTAATGGGATGGCTGGGTCAAATGGTATTTCTAGTTCTAGATCCCTGAGGAATCACCACACTGACTTCCACAATGGTTGAACTAGTTTACAGTCCCACCAGCAGTGTAAAAGTGTTCCTATTTCTCCACATCCTCTCCAGCACCTGTTGTTTCCTGACTTTTTAATGTTCGCCGTTCTAACTGGTGTGAGATGGTATCTCATTGTGGTTTTGATTTGCATTTCTCTGATGGCCAGTGATGATGAGTATTTTTTCATGTGTTTTTTGGCTGCATAAATGTCTTCTTTTGAGAAGTGTCTGTTCATATCCTTCACCCACTTTTTGATGGGGTTGTTTGTTTTTTTCTTATAAATTTGTTAGAGTTCATTGTAGATTCTGGGTATTAGCCCTTTGTCAGATAAGTAGGTTGCAAAAATTTTCTCCCATTCTGTAGGTTGCCTGTTCACTCCAATGGTAGTTTCTTTTGCTGTGCAGAAGCTCTTTAGTTTAATTAGATCCCATTTGTCAGTTTTTGCTTTTGTTGCCATTGCTTTTGGTGTTTTAGACATGAAGTCCTTGCCCGTGCCTATGTCCTGAATGGTATTGCCTAGGTTTTCTTCTAGGGTTTTTATGGTTTTAGGTCTAACATGTAAGTCTTTAATCCATCTTGAATGAATTTTTGTATAAGGTGTAAGGAAGGGATCCAGTTTCAGCTTTCTACATATGGCTAGCCAGTTTTCCCAGCACCATTTATTAAATAGGGAATCCTTTCCCCATTGCTTGTTTTTCTCAGGTTTGTCAAAGATCAGATGGTTGTAGATATGCAGCATTATTTCTGAGGGCTGTGTTCTGTTCCATTGATCTGTGTCTCTGTTTTGGTACCAGTACCATGCTGTTGTGGTTACTGTAGCCTTGTAGCATAGTTTGAAGTCAGGTAGCGTGATGCCTCTGGCTTTGTTCTTTTGGCTTAGGATTGACATGGCGATGCGGGCTCTTCCCAACTAGAAACAAATTGTTGTCACTACCATCAGAGCAAATGTCGAGATTTGGCCATATAGATTTGGTTTGAAAGTTCCCAGAAGGCAGGAGAAACATAAAGAACTTTGCAGGCCTTCAGTAAGGTAAACAATTGATGCCTCAGCGATGAGTTTTCCTGCCCTGAGAGTATTGAGGCCCAAACTGGATAACCATTTTTGTGCCAGAGATTCAGAAGAAGGGATTTGAAAATTAAGTAGGCAGTTCCTCTCTAACTCTAGAGAGAGTAGTAAAAATGGTTAAAGCAGAGTTTTAGAAAAACAAAACTGAGTATAACCCAGAAAGAGAAAGCTAAGGGAGGACGAATGAATTCTGGGTCAAAATTAATACTCGATTCATCCTGAATAAAGGGTTAAAGGAGCACAGAGTCTTCTTTTCATTTTGCAGATGGAAAATTGAAACCCTAATTGGCAACATGTGCTGCTAAATGTTAGCAACTAGGTGCCAGATATTGTTCTGAAAACGTTATTACGCCATGGAATTCTCTCATATACCTTTTAGAAGAGGTTCCATGATAAACTGAGGCACAGGGAGATGATATGACTTGCCTGAGTCACATAGCTATTAAGTGGCAGTAGTACCATTCTGACGCTAGGGTCTTACTATGAAACTTCTGTGGCAGTTTGGGTGAATGATGATGTAATCTTCTGTAATTTGCATTTAACTGCAAACCTTCCTTGGGGTGGACTGGGATGGCATGCCTGGGGGTGAATGAGTTTGAGATCCCTGGTTATCTTGGGTATCAGGTTGGTGACACCCACTAGAGGTTTTACCTCCTCCCAACTCCAGCTGTAGGTGGCCTTGGTGATCCACCTTGTAACTGAGCTCATGTAGTTGCAGAATGGTTGAACAGATGAGGGGAAACCCTCTGAGGCTCTGAATTAAAGTTAACTGCTCCTGACCAAGGATTTAATTCTGGCTTGCCTTTGTGTGCTCAGTGCTGTGATGCCCACGTGTCACATGCAGCATGCATGCCTGTGACAAATGTGTATATTTGGGTCTTTGTCCTCAGTTCTTGGCACACAGCTCCTAAAACCCTGGGAATCTCTGGAGTGATAAAAGTGTCTTTTGTATGCTACTGAGATGGCTGGTGGCCCCTAGGTATTACAATAGTTTCAGGATTCGGGCTGAATGTCGGAGAGACCAAGGCATGATTAGAGGGTTGGAATTGTCCCACTGCTTGACCTCTGGGAGAGGAAAGGGGCTGGAGATTGAGTCAATCATCAATGGCTAATCTGTCATGCCCATGTCATGAAACTTTAAAAAACTCTAAATGGTGGGGTTTGGCAAGCTTCCAGGTTGGTAAACACATTGAGGTGCTGGGAGGGTGGTACACCCAGAGAGCTCACAGAGACTGTGTGCCTTCCCCCATACCTTGCCTGATGCACCTCTTCTATTTGGCTGTTCCTGAATTATGTTCTTTATGATAAACTGATAGTAGTAAGTAAAGCACTTACCTAAGCTCTACAAGCTGTTCTGGTAAATTACTGAGCCTGAAGAAAAGGGTCATGGGAACTCCCGGAATACAGGTGGGAACCTTAGACTTGGCACTGGCAGTGGGTATGATCTTGTGGAACTGGGCTCTTAATCTGTGGGGTCTCCAGGTGGTTAGTGTTAGAATTGAATTTTAGGAGGAACACCCAGTTGATGTCTGGAGAATTGGTTCTTGGGTGGAAGAAGCCCACATATCTGGTGTTAGAAGTCCACATATCTGGTGTCAGAAGTGTTGTGAGTAAAAACAGTTCTTTGCCTAAACTGGCTGTTTTCTTCCTCAAATTTGCAAGTCTTTCCCTTGTATTAAGGTGGTACCATTCATTTTTTAACTGAAGTAAAATAAGCATGCGTTGTCTAATGGTCTTAGCTCCTAGGAGGGACAGAAGTTGGAAGGGATATCCATGAATAGAATTGAGGTCCCAATCCTACAGTTAGTATTAGGCTGCACATTCCCTTGAGGTAGGAAGGATTGGGTCTCACAGTATGTTGATGACATTGGTATATTTTATCAATCCGCAGATAGCCTTTGCTTTAAGCAGAGGAAACACTTAGGTTCTAGACCTGAATTGGTTTTAAACAATGACTTCTGCATGTTGATAGCTCCTAATAACATGGAATATCCTTCTAAATTTTTCTCTGTTCACATATTTGGAGTTTTAAGATGTGTTTTTTCACTAGAAACAATCTTTTTGCAGGTCACTGTTTCCAGGTCAACCTGTTGGTCCATAACACACTTGAGCTTATAATATTCATAGTATAAGGCTGAGGCCTGGATCCTGGAATCCAGTAACCACAGGGAATAGGATTTGGTCCATGGTTTAGTGAGGACTTATGTCTGGCACTTTGCCTGCCTCCTGTTATATTTAACCCTCTCTCCAACTCTCCTCCAGCCCTTGGTACCATTGTGGGCCTTAAGCCCCATCACACTTGAGGCTACCTTAATCTATGATAAAAAGACATTTCCTCTTAGCTGCCAATCTCAACTGTTTTTCTGCAGATGGCACTGAACTGACTTTTATGGGTATAAATACTAATATATCATATTTCTTTTATAGGTGTATTTTCACTTTTAGAAAAGAATTTTGTTAAACCAAACAAATTACTTCTTGGTAAAATTTCAGGTTCCATAACCAAGAATTTGGGAAGTGTGGAATATGAATTGATGAGGCAAGAAAGACCATCAGGCTAGCCTCAAACCCTTCTCCCCATCCACAGTTGTCTTTTTGTATACAATTGTGAATTCCTCAATTGTGGGCTTTATTTTTTTTTTAACAAAGATTACAGAGCAGAGGGGTGGAATAGAAAAGGTTGCATGTGTGAATCAGAATGTTGAATGTTAAATGTTACTTGGACTGAAAAAATTTTCCCAGAAATAATACTTTTGTCCCCATATAAGCCTTTTTGTCCCAGGACACCTGATTTATTTACTATGACCAAAACCAAACACAAAACACTGAAATCAGCCCCAAAGTATGGCAACCCTTTATTTGGGAGAGAGCTTTTAAATTGTATTACAGTGCAGGGATTGTGTACCTTCACAATGAAGATGTTTCTCTCTCATAGTGTTTTCCTCCCTTTTCCCACCACCTTTACAGTAGCTGGTGGATGAATCACCTGTGTGTAGAGTGTATGAATCAGCTGAAAGAATCCCGAGCCCTCAGTTAGCTTTTGTTGGCTGTTAGCTGGTTATTTAAAAATAGTAGGTCTTTGTTTTCCTAAGGGTTGGGCAGCCTCCCATTGGGAGCATGGGCTTGGAGGGTCCTTTTGGCTCTGGGAACAGGTCATCTTTGGTCAGCCAATCCTCTGGTGACTTTAGGAGATAATTCATTCTGAGGGCTGCTGGCCACAACAGAAGGACCCACTGAAGAGGTTGACCTAAATCCAGGCTTTGTCAACCTTAGGAGAGGTGAAGGAGGAGGAAGGGAAAGCTGGTGAAGTCACCTGAGAAAACAGAGCAGATGCTTTCTTGGAAGGTGTGTTTGAGTCTCTGGTGACTCATAACTTTATTCCAAGTTTAGCTTGCTACTAGCGGCATGAAAATATATATATTTTTAGATTCCACCTCCTAGTCATATTTTGGCTTAATGATGAAATTCAATATTTTAAAGAAACACCCAACATGAAATGTGGAACCTCCCAAAGAGTGGGACGGGCTGGCAAGTGACTTAATGATGAAAGACCCCTCCTATGCCTTCTTCCCTGCTGCATGAACACCTCAGCAACCTGGATGGAAGGGCCGTGCCCCTGTGCTTATTTTGAAGTTCTCTTATGGGAACTTGCTTCATCCCAGCTTGTCCCATCCCAGCATGGCAACCTGGCACCATCCTTCGTACATAGCAAGTGTTGTGTAAATGTTAATTGTTTAGTATAACTCCATTGAGGCTCTTGATTCAATAGGCTTTTTCAGTTTGTCCCCCTTCCTGTTGTCATCATCTAACTCAAACAGCTAATACTTGAGGAGGCTTCTGGTGACTGTGGATGGCCTACAAGTGGCATGTGGCCTCTTGCCAAACTGTGACTCTTGGGGGCAGCTGTTGGGCAAGTCGCCATTGGTTTCCCCCACATGCTGTATAAAAATGTCTGCCCTTGGAATAACATATGTCAAGAGCATTGAAAGGATGCAGGGAGAGAAATTGGCGTAGAGTGAGGAGAGGCTCGCCTGTAGATTTGCTTTCAGGGAGGTAGTTGCTTTGATTGGCTGCCCTGGAAGTGAGGGCAGCACCTCCCCGCACCCCACAGATGTCCTCCTTGAGCCTAGATGCAGATCCTTTAAGAAACTGTGTCGTTAACTCGACCTTGTCACTAATACCAAGTTGCTGTAGTGTCAGTCTGCTCCCAAGGGCTTGCTGAGATATTTACTCATAGTTCCTTCTCTCGTGTCTTTTTAAAGCGGTACTGGTTGATGGGTTGTTTCCTGAGTCCAGAGCTTGTTTGGGATGATGAAAATTCTGGACATGGACAGTGGTGTTGGTTGCACAATAATGTGATTGTATTCAGGGCCACTAAGTTGCACATTTAAAAGTGGCTAAATTGTAAACTTTATATTTACCACAATTGAACTAAAATTGTGAAAATGACACTGGTAGCAGGAGCAGCCCCTCCCCATACTTGTCATCTCAGGCATCTGAGTTGTGACTGAACAGCACCATTGTGCTCCTGTGGCAACAAAACCCCTCTGCCCTAGGATAGACTACGCTGGCAGAATTAAGGAGGGCAGGCAGGCAGGCATTCAACTGGAGACGGCCCAGCTGGGCTGTTGCCCAGGGGTTACATAGCAGATGCTTTGCCCTGGACTTGGACAGTCTGATTCCGCTGCTACAGAGGCTCCCGCCCATCCCATGCCACCTTTTGCTGCCAGCTCCCTTGAGACCTGGGCTTCTTCCAGGAGCTGGAGAGTGGCAGGTGGCTGTGCAGAAGAGGAGTCAGCCATTCATAGTCATCCATTCATATTCTCCAATGCCAGTGAGACCAACAGGTATTTGAAAGGGAATGTGATTTCTGTATCCCAGGGTTTGAGGGAAGGGCTCTGCCTCAAGGGGGGAGAATTTGAGGAGTTTTATTTTGGAGCACTCTGTCTTTTAAGTCGAAGTGTGAGAGGGAGGCAGTGGTTGGTCCAAGGACCAAGGGGTGGATGCTCTCATCCCCATCTTCTGATACCTGGAGAGTGTGGGACAGCGTTCTGTGGAGGAAGAGATACCACAAGTTAAGTGTGGTACATTTTCCTAGAATATGAGTTATGAAAGATTCTGGGGGAGACAATATAGACACACATGTGGTGAGGGTGTAAAGCAAGACGGAAAATTCTCTAACTTTCTTGAACTTTTTATTGAAGTAAGATTTATATCCAGAAAAACACATAAGTGTATATCTAACTTAATGTATTGTCACATACTGAACCCACCGATGTAACTAGAACCTGATCAAGAGACAGAACTTACCAGCATCCCAGAAGTTTCCTTTGTGTGCCCTTGCAGTCACTATGCCCTTCCCCAGAGTCACTTGTCCTGACTTCTAACACCATTGTTTACCTTTGCCTGTTTTTGAAATTTCTGCAAATGGAATAGTTTAGTATGTATTCTTATGTCCACATTATAAATGAGATGTGTCCTTGCTGTCACATGTAGTGGTGGCTTCTTCCTTCTCATTGCTGTATAGTATGCTGCTGTGTGAATATACTGGGATGTATTTGTCCATCCTACTGTTAATGAACATTGGGTTTTTTTCTAGCTCTTGGCATTTACAAAAAAAAGCTGCTGGGCATAGTCTTGTACTTGTCTTTTGGTAAACATACGTGTGCATTGCTTTTGGGCATGTATCTAGGAGGAGAATTGCTATGTCATGGGTGTGGTGGGTCTTATGCTCAGCTTTAGCAGATACTGCTGAAGAGTTTTCCAAAATGGTTTTACCTGTTGACACGTTCATAAAAATAAAGGCTTGTTCCACATCCTTGCCAATGCTTGTTTTCTTTTCTTTTAGGCATTATGTTGAGTGTAAAGTGGTGGTGTGTGTAATGGTATCTCATGTTTTTAATTTGCATTTCCTTGATGACTAAAGTTGAGGGCTTTTACAAATTCATGTTCATTATAAAGGTGAAATGTGTCAATCCAGATTTTAGTGGGTGGACAGTATGCATCTACTCCCTCCTGCCATTAGGGGACTTGCATAGAAAAATTTGCCTTAAAGTCCACCAAAATGTGCTTTCTCGCCTTTGTCTGTGCTGTGTCATAATACTAAATGGCATATAGTGATGTAAATCAAGCATGATCGAAAGGCACCTAATCTACTCCCAGGATGCTCAGGGATCTGAAGCTTATTTATGAGAAGGTACCAAGTGCTGATCAATTTCCTTTCCCTGTAGGACCTCCTGTGGAAGGATTTAGTTTAAAGAAACCAGATCTTTGAGTTTGGGAACTCTGCTATAGGCTTTATGTGATCTCAAGCTAGATGGATTCACTTAGGGTAAAGGGAATATTCCCGCTTTCCCTAGGATTCCAGTATTGACCTAGCTTCTGTGTTGTCATCTTGATTCCTCAACTTCCCCTGCCTCCAAGGAAATAAGTCCAGGCTGTGATGCCTTTTGTGCTAATATATGTCTTTTCCGCAATATAGGATGTGCAGTTCTTGTGTGGAATTTCCAGTTCTGGGAGTGTGCTGAATAAAGGTCAATGGATGTGTTATTGTAGTATGTAGGAACCGGAAACTTGCAGTGGGCCTTAGGGTGAAGAGGGTGTCTTGTCCCTGGGTTACAGAGCAAGTGAGCAGCAGAGAGCCCTCCTGACTGCTGTTCAACTGTTCTTTCCTCTGTGCCTTTGTTTCCCAAAGTGCATTTAATGGAATACAAGTGTCTCTCTTGAAGTTGCGTTGTTTTAAGATAAAGCTTCTTTGTCAGGTGTAATTAAGAAATTCTGATTAAACAGATTTTAAAAACTATGTAGTTAAGCATTATGAATCTATAGGAGATGAGTGGGAGATGCAACATTCCTGAAATGGGCTGGACCATTGAAGTCCTTTACTGTGTGTGTGTGTGTGTGTGTGTGTGTGTGTGTGTGTGTTTGTGTGTGTGTGTGTGTTTTGCCTTGATCACGGATCACCTTAGCATCTCATGGTAGGCATGAGGTTTAAGCATCCAGATGCAGGGCCACTCTGAGTTACAGCCTAATTTCTCTTAGAAAGGGACTTCCGAGTTGTAATCTAACATGCTGTGAAGTAGCAAGCGTCTCTGGTTCCTGTAACCCTGTTTATGTGCAAAGCTATAGTGTGTTATACAAACTTGAACGCATAGAGCAGACGTTAGGTTTCATGAACTAGAAAAAATAGTGAAAGACCGACAATAAGAATTCAAGTCACTGATGTAAGTTGTCTTTTTTTTTTTTTTTTTTTTTTTTTACTTTGCCACAATAAATTAACCCTAAGCAAAAACACCAATTGCCATTTACTATCCCCATTCTGTTTCTTAAAAACGAAGACATTTTAACAAGGGCATCCTCACAGCATAAAGAGTAGTCTGTTACATGTAAAGACTGATGACATCTTTGCAGGCATAAAAAGGAAATATATTTAAAAAATATTTCTAATGAGGAAACATTGCCAAAATTTTATTTTATACTATTGGATTTTTTTTTTTTTGCAACATCAGTTTTTTAGTCTGGGCTTCTTTATTGTTCAGTGTAACAGAAAGTGAAGTGTGAATGTCCCAACTGGTTTTCATCACAATTATTGTCAAGCCACTCGCTGGACATTACTTCACCCGATTGGGAATATTCTGAACAATTGAGAGACACACACAGGGAGCTTCTGACTGCATCTCTGGCTTTTCCAGAAGGAGCAGGAAGGCAGCGGGGGCAGTGGACCAGGTGTGGAAGTCACGCCTGCTCGTGGTTAGTTGATAGGAGAGGAATCACATGACCACCTTTTGGAATTGTCTTATTTAGACCAACTGCCGGATCCCCTTTGCTCATTTCTAGGAATTTGACAAGCCCAAGGCTATGTCATGACAGGGACAGGAAGGACAGGAATGGATGCCGGTGTGTCCTGACATATTCCGTGCTCTGAAAAGCGCTTGGGAGGCCTCACCAGGTGGCTGCCATGGCTGTGTGATCTTTGCTTCCCCTCCTCCTGCCACGCCTTTCCTTCCTTCCTGTTTCACCCTCATGCTACTGAGGCAAGTCATGTGTCTTTGGTGGCTGGTGCCCCTTACTCTCAGGGTGTTTGGGCATGGATGGAACATGGTATGATCGTCCACTGCCACCTCCTCAACCTTGTCAGCTTACAGTTCAGCTCACTTTCCGTACAGTTCTGCAGCCAGGGGAAGGATCTTGACGGCCTCCTGAGCGTTTTCCCTTAGTTTAGCAGTGAGTGAGCTCTGCCTCTGGCTGTAGGTTGCTCTCTGGCACGCCTTTTGCAATTAAAAAGAAGAAAAAGGAAATATCTTGCCAACCCTTCTTTCTTGTTGACCTCCCAGCTGTGACTTCTTTTGAGACTATTTTTCAAATAATGAGATCATCCAGGAGATGTCAGTGGAGGGTTAACAGGGGTTTTCCTTGAGGCCTTCGTGGATTCAAATTGCAGTTTGCAGTCAGACTTTCTGAATCAAAGTCCAGCCCTTCTGATCATTCTGCAGCGTGGCATGGCCTGGCCTCTGATGTGCATTTACTGGTAGAGCTGTACATTGCCACTGATACTTCTTTTGAAATGGACTGGTGGTGGCAGGAAGGAATGCCAAGAGCTGGAAGCTGTTGTCCTGGGGTTCTGGCTCCATGCTCCTGTTAGAATGAAAACTCGTCTCTCCTGGATCCAAACTGAGTGCCACAGCTTGTTTTCAGGGGACTTGGGCTTCCTGCCCTGTGTTCTTCTTTCCCCTTTTGGCATCCACTTCTTTGAATCTAGAAGCCTAAAGCCTGTAGTCTGTCTTGGGGAACACAGTGTAGCACTGGTGGAAAGTGTAGGACCTCACACTAGGATCTAGGCTTGCTCTGTCATCGCTGCATGGCCTTGGGCTGAGAGGGAGGCACCTTCTATGGGCTGCAGTCCCCAGTAGTCACAGAAATGAGGGTATTCATGTTTTACCAGAAGAGTTATAAGGATTAGATGACAAAGGTTAGGAAATACCTGCTGCCTTCTTTGCCCTGCTATGAAGAAGGGCAATGATAGGTTAATTTCACCATGGAATTCATGGTATACTCCTGTGTATATGTAGGTGTTTAAAACTTGGATTCTTCATGTCTTGGCACACACCTGAGATGTCTTCCTTCCTTCTCCATCCTGCCTCTTTTCTGTGAAGTCTCTCCAGTCTTCCATACCCATGGAATCCCAAGAGACCCCTCTCTCCCCTGAATATTAGCACTGGGGCAAGGACAACTGGAATGCGCTCCCATGGTCTGTTCTAGCTCAAATGGTGTCCCCTACAAATATCTGAGTACACTTGGCACTAGAGATGTAACTGAGAAAAACAGGTCTCCAGGCCAGGCATGGTGGCTCACACCTGTAATCCCAGCACTTTGGGAGGCCAAGGCAGGCAGATCATGAGGTCAGGAGTTCGAGACCAGCCTGACCAATGGTGAAACCCTGTCTCTACAGGGTGATGGGGTGCGCCTGTAATCCCAGATACTCGGGAGGCTGAGGCAGGAGAATCACTTGAACCTGGGAGGCAGAGGCTGCAGTGAGCTGAGATCATGCCACTGCACTCCAGCCCGGGCGACAGAGTGAGACTCCATCTCAAAACAAACAAAAAAACCCCCAAAAAAACCATGGGTCTCCAATCTCCTGGAACTTATATTTATGGGCATGAGACAGGCAAGAGATGAACCTGATCGTTTCAGATAAGAAAATCTGATAGTGGGGATGGTGGAAAGTGATTAACAGACCTGTTTTTACATTAGTTGGTCGGGAAAAGCTCTTCAAGGAAGGCGATGTTTCAACTGAGATTTACATGACAAGAGCCTTGTGAGACTCCCTGAGCCAGAAGATCAGGGTGCAGATTCAAAGGCCCAAGAAAAGAAAAGACCTATCGAGCTAGAATTGCAGTGTGCTGGATGGAAAGAGATGAGGTTGGTAGAGAGGACATGCAGGATTCAAGAGCCTCATTGAGGAGTTCAGGTTCTATTAATGCAGTGGAAGATTTTAAGCAGGGAAGTGACATCCGATGGGCCCTTTCAAAATGATGCTCTGACTGCTGTTTAGGAAATGCATGGTGATAGGTTTGGCTGTGTCCTCACCCAAATCTCACCTTGAATTGTATCTCCCAGAATTCCCATGTGTTGTGGGAGGGACCCAGGGGAAGGTAATTGAGCATGGGGGCTGGTCTTTCCCGTGCTATTCTCATGATAGCGAATAAGTCTCATGAGATCTGATGGGCGTATCAAGGTTTTCTGCTTTTGCTTCCTTATTTTTCTCTTGCTGCTGCCATGTAAGAAGTGCCTTTTGCCATGATTCTGAGCCTCCCCAGCCATGTGGAACTGTGAGTCCAATTAAACCTCTTTTTCTTCCCAGTCTCGGGTATGTCTTTATCAGCAACGTGAAAATGGACTAATACACATGGTTTGTGGAGGTTGAGAGCAGAAGCAGAGACCAGGTAAGAAGGAGAAGGAGCAGTCTAGGAGAGGAGGGGGTTGGCAGGGTGAATGGAGAAGGATCAGACACAAGATACCTGTTGGTAGTAGAGTGAATGGGCCTTGCCAATGGATTGGATGTGGATAATAGGGTAAAAAGATAGGAAGCCAGGATGATGACATCTCCAGGCTTTTGCTTGAACCCCAAAGTAGATGGAGGTATCATTTTCTGAGGTGGGAAAGACTAGGAAATAAACAGGTGAGGGGTAGGAAAGGATTCAGGGGCTCAATTTTGGCTTTTAAAACTTTCAATCTACATATTACATACCCAAATAAGGGCACTAAGTTGGATATGAGGGTTGAGATCTCAGTGGGAAAGTGGGGGCTCAGCTGCATACATGAGAGGTAGCAGCCATGTGGCTGGACAAGATCCCAGCAGGATTATGTTACATGCACAGAAGAAGGGACAGGGGTAAGTAACAGGTGCATGGACGAGGGGAGCCAGGGAGCTACCCAGCAAACAGGTGGCCAGAGTGGAAGGAGGAAGGCCAGGAGTGTGGTCAAGAAAGCCAAGTTGTTTTGGGAATCTGGCTTCTCACGATGCTTGCATGTAGAGGAGGGCTTGTCCTTCCCAGTTCACCTGGGTTTGAGTTCATTTGCTTAGCTTCCTTGGCTTTTCTTATTTTGCCAGTTCCATCTGGGTGCAGAGTTTTGTTGAGTGATAAAATTGATATAAATTATTTGCTGGTATGCCTCATGGTGGTTTATAATATTTTTATTCTGTCATCTGGGGACCCTTGACAAGGTCCCAGCTTCAGTAGTAGGTACCAAGAATAGCAATGATAGCAATTAGCATTTGTATAATACTTGATCGTTATAAGTATACTTTCTTTTATCCAGATCGCTAAACTACTCAGTCAACTTCTGGCTTCTCCTGTGTGAAGGATTAGGTGAGAGTCCCTTGGCTAGGAGTAAATCTTTGGCTACGATGTGACTCCAACCTGCCTTTTGGAACTTGCCTCCCACCATACCTTTCCACAAATCCCTGGCTTCAACTCAGCTGATGGCCTAGTTGGGCCCTTTCCTTGCACACTCCAGCCTGGAATGTGAGCCCTGGTTGCTCTCCTGCTTCTGGTCTTGCAGGCCAAGTTCTCTTCTGGGACTTCCTCCTGGACTCTTCCTTCCTCCAGTGGGAGCTCCCTATTGGCATCTCGGTGAGCTGGTTCCACTCACTAGATGCAATCCTGTACTGGTTTCCAATAACTGTGTGTCCTGCTGCTTACTTTCCATTGATGATTAATGTTTTCTGTTTTTATGCTTTGCCTGCTTAACTACACTGTTAGCAAAAACCTTAGAATGCACCATAGTGCCTGGTGCTGTCATCTCATGCCCACATGAGGTGTTGAGTATCTGATTGGAATTATTCTCTTTTGATGCCCTTGTGAGGTAAGATAGCTCCTACAAATGAGGAAACTGAGGAAGGACGTGGGCCAGCAGTTTATCCCAGGACACAGAGCAGTTAGGTTTGGGGCCAGCGTTCACACCACCAACCCTCATTTCTAATTTCCCCCCAGGCTACACTCCCTGAATGTGATGCCCTTCCCTACTCACTCTTGTCTCTCTCCCACATAAATGGGGCTGCTTTTTCACCAGCTGCTCCACAGACTTTGGACTGGATCCCTGAAGCTTGGAAGAGCCTCAGCTAGACTGTGGCCTATTGTCTGTGTCCTCACAGGTCAGAGGCTAAATGTTAGTTTTTTTTTTTTCTCTTTTTAAAAATGGTTCCTGGTTATGTAAGTTGCATATATACTCTAATCACTTTTTGCCTGGGCAACCACAGAGTGTCCCTCCTCCATAACATCAGTTCCCACAGGACTGAGATCAGTGTTTTCTGAAGTCCATGGAGAACTTCCAAAGGGAGTGCCTAGAGAATTAACAGGGCCTAGTGGTACCAAGGAGACCTTGATGACTTCTAGCTCCTATTTCCCTTTAGCCCAAGCCTTAGAGGGTTGCTTGTCCCCAGTGATGGAAGCTAGATGGTCTGTGTTATGCAGCACATTGTAGAAGTCAGCTGTTGATTTGTCTCCTGTTAACAGAAATGGGGCTGGAGCATGGGACTCAGTGAAATTCCTCTCAGATGCTCCCCTATAGCTCTTAAGCCTGTGCTAAGGATCCTGCTCTTGGCATTCTTCCATTTAGTTTTAGAGAAACACAAAACACTGTATTCATTTAACACACCCATTGCTTCAGAGCTTTCTAAATTTGTAGGACCCAGAAATTCCCACAGAACCAGGAGTAGTGACAGATAAGACCTAGAAGTTACAGGAGCTATGGCTGTGCTAACTCTGCAGAGAGAAGTGCAGTGTCATCAGACTCCATGCTGGAGTTTGAAGACAGAGCTGCTCTTCCTTGTGCCCAGATGTTCTCGAGCTGGTGACAGCCCTGTGCTGATGAGTTATTTAGATAGTACTATTTTTAGCCTTTCTGGTGGGAGAGAGGCCATAGCTTCTTGCTATGAGAAGCAAGAATCTATAGTGCTAGAGTGTGTGTGCACGCGTCCGTCCATTCAGCATCTGCTTCAGTGCTTTGCAGGCCCTGTCCTGTATGCATGGGGCATCATGATGAACATTTTGTCTCTACCCTTGAGGAAATAGAAACATCTGTACAAGTGAATATAGTAGAATTCAAGGCTGTTATAGTAAAAACACAGAGAGACCCCTGGGGCAAGCATGAACAAACAGTCTTGACAAAGGGAGTAATGTTTATGCTGGTCCTTAAAGGGTGAATAACAGTGGAGGAAGGGAGGAAGATATCTTCAGCAGAGGAACCAGCATGAGCAAGGCCCACTGGCAGGAAAGCTCAGGAAGGATTTAAAATAGGTTAGTGCTGGGCATGGTGGCCCACACCTGTAATCTCAGTATTTGGGGAGGCCAAGGCGGGAGGATGGCTTGAGCCCAGGAGTTTGATACCAGCCTAGGCAACATAGCGGGACTTCATCTCTACAAACAATACAAAAGTTCATACAAGACTGTTTGCAATTGGCCCAAATGTCCCAGCTACCCAGGAGGCTGAGGCCAGAGGAGGCTGCAATGAGTAGTGATCTCACCACTGCACTCCCACCTGGGTGACAGAATGAGATCCTGTCTCAAAACAGGTGAATGTGGCTGGAGTGTGGGATGAGATGGTATGCAGGCAGGGGGCAGTGGGGGTGTGCAGGGGCCGGGGGGTGCAGGTAGGATGGGGATGTGGCCAGAAAAATCATTTGGGCCAGTTGCGAACAGTCTTGTATGAACTTATCCTGTAAATGACATGGACATTTTTAAGCAGGGGAATGGTATCGTGCAGGATGAGGTGTTTTTGTTTTTGAGATGATTCTAGAACAGAATTTCTCAACTGTGGCATTAATGGTATTTGGACTAGATAATTTTTTGTTGTCAAGGGCTATCCTGCGTGTTGTGGTATGTTGTTATAGCGGCATCCCTGAGCTCTACCTACTAGATGCCAGTAGGACCCTCTCCCCAACCCTTGTGATAATCAAAAATGTCTAAAGACATTGCCACGTGTCCTCTGGGGACAGTTTTGTCCCCCACCCCAGATGAGAACTGCTCTAGAAGCAAGCAGTCTAGAAAATCAGTTGGAGTGGGAACAAATTGGTTGCAGGAAGACCAATTAAGAGTAAATTGCAGCTGGGCGCGATAGCTCACGCTTGTAGTCCCAGCACTTTGGGAGGCTGAGGCGTACGGATCACCTGAGGTCAGGAGTTCAAGACTAGCCTGGTAAACATGGTGAAACCTTGTCTCTACTAAAAATACAAAAAAATTAGGCAGATGTAGTGGTGGGTGCCTGTAATCCCAGCTACTAGGGAGGCTGAGGCAGGAGAATTGCTTGAACCTGGGAGGCAGAGGTTGCAGTGAACCGAGATCACGCCCCTGCACTCCAGCCTGGGTGACAGAGTAAGACCCTGTCTCAAAAAAAAAAAAAAAAAAAAAGACTAAATTGCAATATTTCAGGTAAGAGATGAAGTCCAGAACTAAGGCAGCAGAGTGGAAGTTGAGAGTGGATCCTGAATTTGAGTTTGATGTTGACATTATCTGGCATGTTCTAGGTGCCTGAATAAATAGGGATGAACAAACAGGTCTTGGTGATTGGTTGGAACTCTTCAATTAAACTTGAATATTGGGTTGGGCTTGGAGAAGTAGAAAGAGCACTGGCTGGGGAGTCAAGGTCTATTTCTGGGTTCAGTTTTTTTTAGGGATCTGAGCATATCTAGGTTCCTTAACTTCCTGGATCTCAGTGTCTTTCATCTGTAAACTGTATCTAAGAATCCCTGTGCTTCCTGTCCCATGGAATTCTAGGAATTACTATTTGCATAAGCCCTTTGAAAACTGCAATTACTCTCTAAACAGTGCTCTTCTAGTGGTACCAGGCTGAGGAGTGAGGGCAACGGGGACAAGCATGCTCAGACATGAGTGTGAGAGAGAGATACTGTGAATAGACAGTGGACAGTGTGTCACATCTAGCTGTAGACTAATGGACGGTGAGGCTGGACAATACTGAAGACTCGGGGGATGGGATGTTGGGACTTGGAAGGGAAAATTTTGCCAATGTTGTGGTGCTTAACGTCCCTGCCGTGAGTGGTGGAACTCTGTCCTGACATGATGCTGTTCTTCATCCTTACGTCAGCAGTGAAAACAGACTCCAGAGCTCAGCGTTAACCCAAATAAGAAGGTTCTCTGTTAAACACAGACAGATAGTAGATAATAGCAGGAGAGGGAATGGCCAATAAGGGGTATGTTTTAAACATCCAATGGTTATTATTATTGCTATTTTTTTTTTAACCGGGGAACATTGCCCTTTTACCCATTTCCTACTTGCACCCAGGACAGTTTTTGGACTCCATAGATGAGTGTTCTTGGGCTAGGCACTGATCCTCCTGGGAGCCTTGTTTCCCTTACCTGCTAAATAATGATAGAACCTACTTATTCTGAAAACAAAGCACTAAACTGATTGACTTCTATGGTCTCTCTGATTAGAGAGAGGCCTATCTGTTGAGCCACAAACTTTGACCTTTCCATGGATATATTAAAGGTGGACATTAAAGATGTTGCCCTGGGCAACCGTCTTACTGGGAAGCAGGAAGGTGGTTAAATGATAAGTGCAAATGGAGTGTTGAGAGCTTAATTTAGTTAACCTACTGATTGGGAAAACCAAGGTCAGGAGAATGTGAATGATTTGTCCAATGCCGTTTTGCTATTTGGATGCTGAGGGAGGTCTGTGTGCCTTGGTAACTTATTGACCAGAGCCACACTTCTTCTTTCACACCAAGACCCAGTTGCCTTTTGCTTGACATCTCCAGCTCCATATTCTCAGTCATCCTGGAAAGAATAAATGTGACGTGGTCTGTGTCCAGAACCAGCGTGCTTCCTTTTCTTTCATTCTGTTTCCTTCTATGCATTTCCAGTTTACTTAAGGTGGGACTGCTTGGATCACTTAACTTTGTTGGAGGAGTTTTGGTCAGTCCTTTGTGATGTTCTCCCAGACTCTGATCTATGGGGGCTTGGACCCCAGGAAGGCCTTGGAGCCAGGGCAATGGCAGGGGCCACTGGGGAAAACTAATGCTGTAGATCTGGGATGTGTCCCTATTTTGACACCTAAGTGGTGGAAAGAATACAGTATGACTCAGGCTGTATCCAGAACCTGGATGATTTAACACCTGGTGTGGGTTTCTATTTTAAGAACTAGATGTATACTTGTTAAAATAGGGATGTGCACATATTTCAGTATCTACCATTAATCTCACATATTTGACAAAAGCTTTATTGGCTACCTAGTATGTAAGGCATCTGTAAGAAAGTGAGAATTTTATTGAGGAATAGGGTTTGCTTATGTTGTCCCAGAGATTCTGAGCTCCTTTGGATTTAAAATATTTCCACTCTAAAAGTGTTGTGTGTGTGTGTGTGTGTATATGTGTGTATATATATATGTATGTACGTGTGTGTATATATGTATGTATGTATATGTGTTCTAGAACATGTCTGTAGTGTATACTTGGTAAGGAAAACAGCACCAGCAAGACTGGAGTGCTTTTGTGTTACCTATCCCCATGGGTCACTGTTCTTAATAGTAATTGTCTTAGTCCGTTTTTAGTTGCTATAAAGGAATACCTGAGGCTGGGTAGTTGATAGAAGAGGTGTATTTGGCTCATGGTTCTGCAGACTGTACAAGAAGCATGGTGCCAGTAAATGCTTCCAGAGAGGGCCCCAGGCTGCTTCCACTCATGGCAGGAGACAAAGGGGAGCCAGCATTTGTGGAGATCACATGGCAAGAGAGGAAGCAAGAGAAGCAGGGAGGTGCCAGGCTCTTTTTAACAATGGGCTCTCACGGAAACTAAGAGTGAGAACTCACTGCCTTCCACCCTGGAGGGCATTAATCTATTCATCAGGGGTCTGCACACGTGACCAAACATCCCCCATTAGGCCCCATCTCCAATATTGGGGATTGAATTTCAACATGAGATTTGGAGGGGACAAAGATCCAAACTATAGCAGTAGCAATGGTAACTGGGACTCTGAACAACAGCTTCTGAGGGCAGCACCGCTCATCTGATGGGTGTGTACATGCTGCTCAGGTTTGGGTTGAAGGAAGGCAGCAGGCAAAGGCTTCTCCTTGTAATCCTTGGGTCCAGCCATAGCTCCCATGTACAGATAGAACAGGAAATATAACCGATCTTCCCATTTACTTCATAACTCCTCAAATGGTTTTCACAGTGACAGCTCTCTTTTTGTGCAAAGTTTTAGATTGAGAAGATGGGGCCCATCTCTCATTTTACTTTTTCTCATTAAGATGAATTCCCCCTTCCATCTTCATAGTAGAGTGGATAAAGGGTACATTTCACGCAATCTCATCTCTCCTTCTCTCTTCCTAAACTCTACTAAGTCTTTTCTTATGAGGAACACAGAGTGTCAGGCCAGTTATCTTTAAAGTTGCAGACACAGTTTTCAACTGGACATGAAAGGACATTTCAGGATAAAGCTGCACCTGAATCTCTCTAAAACATGTTCATTTGGCCTAGAGGAGTTTGAGGTAGCTGTGGTCATCCTAGGGGATCTATGGTTATCTGACAGCTCAATTTGTTTGATATTAACACTAGATAGAGCTCTCCAGAGAATGATTCGGTTCCAAATAGGCAGGCTGTATTATTGATAGTGTCTGCTCAGTAATTCATCTCAGAAGCAGGATGGAAATCGGAGGCAACTTTTTAAGGTCTTAGGGTAATAGTAATTTAAGCAGCAGATACCCACTTAACTTTCCTAGCTCAAAAGTCACAACTGGTTTCATGGCTGCAACTCAGTGTGTGTGTTGATTCGGGAACATTTTTTCCTTCTGATATCCTAGAATTTTAGATGGTATTATTGTGCCGTTTTGCTAATGTACCCAGGTTGAACATTTCTTCTCTATTCTTAGCATTAAACTTTTCCATTCAACCCTCTGAAACAACAAATTAGCTCCATATTGCCTTATGCAATGAAAAAAGTTGGTAGACCTGGTTGATGATGACATGAAATAATACATGAATAAGGAGGTTTCAAAACTGTATAAGTATTTCTACAGAAGTGTGGTGGGAATGGCAGTTTAGCAATTGGGTGTGATACAAGTACCAAATAAAAAAGGAATATTCAGGGGCAGAGTTTCAAAGACAGTTTGTATGGGGATAGTGGTAGGACAAATGATGTCCATGATTTCGTATCATTGTTAGTGCTCATATGAGGACAAAGGGAAGGGACTGGGGTTATGCACATTGCAAGACTGAACTATCTTGCTGATAATAATTCTTCCATATACACTCCATCTGTAAATCTGATATTTTTATCATGGAGTTTTGACCATGTCCTTTCCCATGTTTGAAATCCATGTGTAGTTTTCCATTGGCTATAGAATACTTCAAAAAAATCTGTAATGTGACCCCCAAGAACCTACTGGATCTGGCTTCTGCATCTCTTGCCAGTGTCATTTTGAGCCCCTTTCACCACTGTCCTCTGTCTCCCACCCACACTGGCCCTCTTTCAGTTCCTTAGCGAGCCCTCCTCCTTCATGCCCCAGACTTATCACACAGGTATCCTCTCAGCCTGGAAACCACCTCCTTCCACATCTTGCCCAGCTACCTCCTTATCCATCTAGGATTCAGCTTGAATCATCTCCAGTGAGGCCTTTCCCGATGACCCACAGTGGGTTGGGTCCCCTGTCACATGCTGTGAATGTCGGTGCTGTTGATGCATTTATGACCATTGCAGGAGATTAGCCGCATGTGGTCCGGGATCCTTGAAGGGCCCTGTGATATGGTTTGGCTCTGTACCCCAACCCAAATCTCATCTTGAACTGTAATCCCCATATGTCAAGGGAGGGACCTGGTAGGAGATGAGTGGATCATGGGGGCAGTTTTCCCCATGCTGCTTTGCCTACAGTGAGTGAGTTATCATGAGATCTGATGGTTGTATAAGTGGCGGTTTCCCCTGCACTTTTTCTTTTCCTGCCACCTTTTGAAGAAGGTGCTTGCTGCTGCTTCGCCTTCCGCCATGATTGTAAGTTTCCTGAAGCCTCCCCAGCCATGCAGAACTGAGTGAATGAAACCTCTTTCCCTTATAAGTTACCCAGGCTCTGGTATTTCTTTATAGCAGTGTGAAAACAGACTAAGACATCATGTCTCCTCTTCACTGTGCCCAGCACCTCGCACAGTGCCTGGCTGTTGTGTAGAGGTCTTCAGTAAATACTTGTAGAGGATTAGGTGAACTGGAGTCCATGGTCCAGTCTGTAAGCCTTGGTAACCTATTAGGGACATATAGGAGTTGAATGTTTATTGAACAGCTTCAAAGATAGGTGTTTGACTAATTGGAGATGGGGGAGACTGACATGCTCCTGTGGAAGGAAAATTGAGAGCTCGCTTGAGTCCCAGATGCAAGTATGTGAGGTGTGTAAGTTCTGAGATAGGTCATCTCTTGAAGACAGAGTAAGGACAAACCAACTCATGCACCCAAATACAAGGTGCAGTTTCCCCCAGGTTATTTCTTAAGAAAGAGTGGTGCTCCTATGCTTTCTCTTAATAATTTTGGTCAGTGAAGTGGTTCGCAGAAGAGAACTTAGCCTAAAATAACTTCAGTCAGTGCTTGCTTTGGTTGTTTAGAGAGGTCAAGGAATGGAACAGGTTTTTAAAAAGAAAAACGAAGCAAACTTAGACTGCATAAATATTTATAGGGCTATGACCTTTCAATAAGTGTTATGGTGATCATAAACTGTTAAGGTTGTTTCTCTGGGGAAAGCAATATACTGGTCTTTTATAGAGATGAGAATGTAAATCCACTGGATGAAGAGGAAAACAACTATCCTGTGATAGAATCAGAAATGGATTTTAAAAGTTGGATTATGTCAGTGAGCTTTGAAAATGAAGGTGGTATGCTCTGGAAAACTATCTTAAGTGACTTAAAGATTTTTAATATGATAGTAGATTGCTTAATTCATATACTTGATTGCTCTGTTTAGGGAGGTTTGACAGTCTAGGAGCTGAATTATGGAAGTAGGATTTTAACAGTTTTAGCTACTTGATTGGATCTGGACATATCCTTTAGCTGCATGATATGCATTAGCTTTGAGGAAATCTTTTTTAGCTTTTTTGGCAAGCAGGTTAATGGATTCAGCATTGCAGCCTTAAAAAGCTGACTTACTGTGGACACATCCCTTTTTAAATGGGAGCTTTCAGTGATCTTTCCACTTAGGCCATTAGGTCATTCACAGTCTCCAAAGAATGTTCCCTTGTGCTCAATTCAGACTCGGGGATTTACAATCCAAGTTCATTGAAAGTGGACATGCAGAAGGTACTAAACTGATATGTCTGTTGTCCAAGTAGATTGTGGGAAGTCTTGAAGTGAGAGCATGACCGCATTGCTTGATAAGTATTTCTAAGCCTCTGCTATCACTGCTTCCCTCACCAACAAGTATACTACTGGTATAAACCAGTTGGATAAAATGATTCAGCAGTGTTCCTTGTACACCAAACGCTTCCCATCTTGTCAGTTCATCACCTGAGGACACACTGCTTACTCTGTTAACTACATTCATAGGGCAGTAAACAGGTAAATTTTGCCTTCATCAGCCACATGGAGACTCGATTCCTTATTAGCTTCAAATATAGATATAGAATGTGTGATAAATGGAATTGTGACTGACACAATGAGATATCACAGAAAGTTGACTCTTTTCTGAAGAGACTGGGTTGAGATGATACGATACATACGATACCATAGCATGTGGATTTGCCTTTTGGTTATAATTGACTTTTGTTTCATTTAAATGATAGGAAATGTTGAATATTATTATAATTGTGCTATGTGACTATGCAGTTACCGCATCAGAGCGACTCTTTCTTCTCTGCTTTTTTCTCCTCTCCCCCGAGGTTGCTCAGTGGCTCTCTGCTGTCCCCGTCTGTGTATATTATGTTATAGTTCTTTCTCCTGGTGCTCTGCATACCCTAGTTCTCTGTCATTTAAGAGAAAACAGCAGCAAGATAGGGAGGCATCTGGGTGGGACTTGGGAGTCTACCTAATGGGCTCAGAAATCATACCTGAATTTTTAGTTACTTAGGTGGCTCTGGGCAAATGGGATATTTACATGTAATTCCTTGTGGCTCTAAATTACAGGGAGCTTTCCAGTGGAAAGCATTTGGGGAAAGGGGAAGATTATTACTGGTTCAGGAAGACTTTAATGGAAATGAGTAAACGGAAACTCAGAAGCATGGCTCGCCGCTGGGGGAGGAGGAGTTAACTCGGGAAATAATCTGGAAGCGCTGAGCTTCTCTGTTCCCATGACACTTTATACGCACATGGTTCTGTTGGGATTCTTTGGCTGGCTGTGCTCTCCTAGAGGGAGTCCTCTCTGGTTTTATTCACTCCCAGGGCCTGAGTCCTGCCATAGTAAGAACTACTAAGCACTTAAAATGTGCCAGATACTGGGCCAAATATTTCATATACATTATTTAATCCTAACAACAACCCTGGTGCAGAAGACATTTCCACCAGATGATGAAATACCTTCTGAGGAAGCCGAGCCTCAGAAGTGTAGACTCTTACCTGATGATGGGAGTGGGGACCAGCACCCTATATCTGAATCTTCACCTCCTTGCTCTTCTGTCTCCCATAGTGGGAGCCCAGCCCAATAAATGTGAAGGGAAGATGACCAACAGCACACCAATGGGAATGTTCTTGATTTGGGCTCCCCAAATTTGCAGGACTAATCATCACCACTGGGTTCAGGATGCGGTGTCTGGGCCCATGAACACTCCTTCAGACAGCGGTACCTGTAGAAATGATTGTGAGTTCTACTGGGAGGGGGTGCAGGGCTTAATTAATCTTTATCTTCTAAATTCTTACCTTGCAAAAGAGTGGAGTGTGTCCCACTTTGTGCAAGCACAGTTAGGTAAGGTGTTTTCATAGTTCCTACAACACAGCAGTATCCTTCCAGGTACCAAGCCACTTGGGAAACTGCTGTTTTGCTGGTGTTAAATGAAACTATTAGTTTAGAAATGTTTTTTCTTCCTTCTTTCTTCTGAACAGACCAGTGTTCCTGTTCTTGGTCCCCTAATCACAGGAATGGACAGGGAGTTTATACTGCCAGCTATCAAGTTAGGCTGTGGGATCCCTTGTCCATTCCCAGGGAACTCTGCCCAGACTGCCCTGCTTCCGGTCAAGGCGTTGTTGCAACTGAAACATCAGCCTGTCTGATGCTTAATGCTGAAACTACCTGTGGCTTAACTTGGCGTATCGTTGTTAATTGGCATTTGTACATTTTTTTTTTTCATGTGTAATTACAAAGCACTTTACCTGTATAAAATACATACTCAGCAGGACTCTGGGCTGCTGTAAACAAATCAATATTTCTCCAGGAGTGGGGTAGACAGTGGAGGACTTAGAGACTGAGATCTTTTCTCCAGGCCTGCTTTTGACTAAGCTCTTGGCAACTTGGGCAAATTGTTCAGTACTTTTAACCCTCAGGTTTCTCCTGTATAAAAGAGGATTGATAACCCTGCTCAACCTAATTCAGTTTTGAAACTAAGTTGAAATGACTCAAATACTTAAGATTACTTATGTTAGTAGGAGGGGATGGAAGTAGCATTATTATTAATTCCAGGGAGTGCAGGTTTCAAATGTCCCTGTTCTCTTCTCCCTGAAGGTCCACCTTGGCTCCTGAGGTTCACTCTGAGATAGGAGTTTTAATTCTGACAGTGCATTCATCACTTGGGAAGTTTTTTAAAAATACAGTGTTTGGGCCCTACCCCCAAAGATTTAACTATTCAAGTGTGGGATATGGGTGTTAGTGGTTTTGTTTTTTAAAGATCTGAAGATCTGCAGATAATTCTTGTATGCCAGCCAGCACTGAGAATCAATTCTCTCAGGTTTTTGGAGTAGAAGTAGGCTAGAAGTAGGTATTGATTTTTAAGGTAAGATGTGGCTACCTATGTATTATGACCTACAGGACATCTAAAGGATCCCAGTAACATGGACCACCTTAGGTTTCTTATTTTCCTTTTCTCATTTTCTAATTCTATCCAAAATCCCATCAGGATTTCTCGACAAAACTGTATAGTAATATCACCATCATCATCATCATTGCCTAATACTTATGTGCTGTGATAGTGGGCTCTCATTTAATTCTTAGAACACTTCACGAGGTAGGTAGAACTTTTACCTGTTGTTCAGCTAAGGAAACTGGGGCTCAGACCCATTCATCAACTTACACAAGCTAATAAATGGTGGTTAGAATTCCTCTCCGAAGCTGTTTGACTCTAGAGCCCGCACACTTGACCACAGTGCTACAGCCTGATAATTCATATATATGGATAAATGCTGTGCTCTTCTGGACATTGTATTTACATTTTAGCTGGGGCTCTTTGGGAAAGAGTTCTTTAGCTCTGGGGAAATAATCTGCAGGCTGGAGTTTAATGTTTAACCACACACTGGTAGGGAGAGGCCTGCAGCACATGAAGGTCTGTGATACCCTTCAAATCTGTTACCCAGTCAGCCACATGGAATTACATTTTCAAACTTGCTTGCATATTGAATTCATCTGGGGAGCTTCAGAAAACACTACCTGGTTCCCACCCCTAGAGGTTGATAAAAGTAGGATGGGGTGTTGCCTGGCAATGGGAATTTGTGAAAGCTCCCTAGGTGGTTCTAATATGTAGTCAGGATTCAGGCTCTTGTCATAGTTGGCCACCCCCTCCAGCTGTGTATGTAGGAGAACAGCTGCTGGAGCTGGCCCTGCAGTGGAATAAAGGAACAGGTTGTTGGAGAATAGCTTGGTACTAATGCATTTACATTTGATGTAGGCATCTGCCTTCTCTAGGAAATATGTGGGGCTCTTTTCAAAAGAACTTTCCAAAAATCACAAGCTTTTCTTTGATAATTGGGTCAGACTTGCTATTTTATTTACTTTGATATGAAGGAATTAAGTGTTGTTAAAATAGGATAGTGACAAATTGAGTGGTATGGTAATTGGGTTGTATGAGTGAGTTTGTCTGTCTTATAGTCTGTTGGCTTATAGTAAATCTGGTAGTGGTCAGATTTGTTTGAAGACATTCCTTGAAGGTGAGAAAAAATTAAGAGGCAACACAGATCTTTGGTTCTAGAGAGTTTGGCTGGCTCATAAAATAATGGCCTTCTGTGAAAATATTTTACTGCTTTTTCATAGACTAGTAATGTGAACCGATGCCAGGAGAGAGCATGTACAAGATACTGTTTGCAATCTCTACAACCAGAACAGTGTGTGTGTGTTTAAACTGAGAAAAAATTTACATAATATAAAACTAACCATTTTAAAGTGAACAATTTGGCTTTTAGTACATTCAGTGTTTGCAACCACCATCTCTGTCTGGTTACCAAAACACTTTCATCGCTCCAAAAAGAAACCCTTCCCCTCCGAATCCTTTCTGTCTCCAAACCTCAGGTCATGTCTGCCTTCCTCAAGTCGTTCCCAGCTACTGTGGTCTTGTCTCTCCCTTCTTAGTTCATGTGTCTGTTTCTTGGCCATATATTTTATACTCATCATATACTGCTTTGTACTTGATTACAGAAGCAATGCATCTCGCAAAGCCAGCATATGAGGCAAAATTTGATTATGGTTAAAATTACCCTTGGAAGATCTATAAATTTCTCATTATATGCAGTATGGATGACATTGGGTAAACAGCCCTGCTCAGTAATTTATAGACACTTTAAACTGAGAATCCATAAAGTAAGATAAAAGTGAGGAGGCAGAGCGGGGAGGTGGCAGCTGGCAGCTGTGAACCATCCTGCACAGAACAGGGGGTTCACTTCATTCTGATTTAACAATGAACTGCTATAATCTCAATGTGTTCCACGTGTCTTTATTGTGGAGATTGACTGGACACATATCTTGTGCCCAATATTTACTAGATTTGCATCTAAAGCTTGCTTGATCAGATCTGCATATACAAAATCCTTTTCAACATCATGGAAGAATTTGGCTACCAACTTTCTCTCTTCCAAAGTCGGCATTAACTTGTTTTCCCCTCTCTCCCTGTCTTCCTTCTCTCCACTGGATAGATGTTACTCTCCTTAGGAGTTGGTCACATCACCCCATTAGGGCATATTTTTATGTGAGTTATCGACCCAACTAAATATACATCCCTTAGGTTCAGGAGCTACATCTCCATGTTCATACTTTGTTACATGGTACTTATCACAATGTGTTTTAGGTATAAACCAGGTGCCCCATGAATGCACATTCTCTGTTCACTGATTCCTATACTCAGCATGAACATTTAGTGAGCATCTGTTCCGTGCCAGGATGTGCTAGATCCTAGGGATACAAAGATGCCCAACAGTATATTTGGAAGATCTTGCTGTAATGAGGTGAAACTGATGTGAAAGAAATGACTGCAAAACCAGAAGGAAAGATAATCATAGAAGAATTTATAGTGGCAGCTTATGGTTGGGTAGGGCTAACTCTATAGGGAACAGGGAAGGAAGTGATCAGTGAGGAGATGGTGCTGGAAGTTGGACCCTGCCCACATGGACGAGTAAGGTAGGGCACTGTGGCCTGAGGAAATAGTAAGTACAAGGACAGAGGTTGGCATGCTTTCCTGTAAAGGATCAGATAGTAAACATTTTACTATGTGTTTTTTTTTCTCCGAGACAGAGTCTTGCTTTGTCACCCAGGCTGGAGTGCAGTGGTACAATCTCTGCTCACTGCAACCTCCGCCTCCCGGACTCAAGCGATTCTTCTGCCTCAGCCTCCCAGGTAGCTGGGATTACAGGCACCCGCCACCACGCCCGGCTAATTTTTGTAATTTTAGTAGAGACAGGGTTTTACCATGTTGGCCAGGCTGGTTTCGAACTCCTGACCTCAAATGATCCACCTACCTCGGCCTCCCAAAGTGCTGGGATTACAGGTGTGAGCCACTGTGCCCGGCCTACTGTGTTTTTAAAATGGCTTTGAACCATAGGGTCTCTGTCATTACTTTTTGTTTTTTGAGACAGAGTCTCATTTTGTTGTCCAGGCTGGAGTGCAGTGGCACAATTGTAGCTCACTGTAACCTTGAGCTTCTGGGCTCCAGGGACCCTCATGCCTCAGCCTCCTGAATAGCTAGGACTACAAGCATGTACCACCACATCTGGCTAATTTTCTTTTTTAAGTTTTGTAGAGACAGGGTCTTGCTATATTGCCCAGGCCAGTCTCAAACTCCTATCCTCAAATGATCTACCTGCCTCGGCTCCCAAAGTGCTGGAATGATAGGCATGAGCCACTGCACCTGGCCTTCAATTCTAGCATTAAAATGTGAAAGTATTAAATAGATAATACATCAATGAATGAATGAATATGGCTGTGTTCCTAGGAAACTTGATTTATGGACATCAGTATTTGACTTTCATGTGATTTTTTTCATGTTATGTGAATATCCTTCTTCTGAGCTTTTTTCAACCATTCTTAACTCATGGGCTATAGAAAAACAGGCAACACAGGCAGTGTGCTAGATTTGTCCCATAGCTGCAGTTTGCTGACATATTCTCAAAGGCAGGGGAGAGTGAGATGATGTTGCAGGAATGGAAGAGTAAGTAGTTAGTATGAGGATTCTGATGTGGTGAGTCTGGGGGAAGCTGAAATTCTATGCTTCTAACCTGCTCCTAGGTGATGACGATGCTGAGGTCCTCACCTGGAGGAGCAAGGAGCTAAAGTACCATTGGGGTCCCACTGTGCCCCTTATGTTGTGATAGGTTTTGTGGGTATGGGACAATATGAGAAGCCAATTGTATGCCTACCAGGTGCTCTCAGTCTCTTTAGAGAGGAGAGATTTATATAACTAGAAAGGTACATGAACTCCCCTAGAATAAAAGTTGAGATCAAGCCAGGCAACGAGATTCTTCAGTGCTGGATGCAACTAACCACCCCACGAGTGGCATATGGGCCACAGGGTGATGGCCAGCAGAGTCCTTGGCTGAGCTGGGACTAGGCTCCCTGGCTTCCAGGATCTACACAACATCACCTCCGTTCGGTTCCTGTTGGGATTTTCCTGTTCCTTTCTGGTTATTCCTCATTCTGTTATCTTGAGCCATTCCTGGCATGATTTACATGGAGTGGAGACTTTGCTTTAGGTAAAAATTTCTTGGGTATGCTGGCTGAAGGGGGAGTCCCAGGAGTGGAACTCAGTGACAAGAGAGCTGTGGTGAGGCTGAAGGACAGACACTCACCTGAAGCTTAGGGACAGCAGCTTTAAAGGTCATCACAGCTGGATGGATGGTGGACTTAAGCCATAGTGGAGAAAGTGAGGACACCTGGGGGTAGAAGAAATGTTGACAGTTAAGATCAGCAAATGCTCAGAAGGTTTTCTCTGGAGGTACCTCAGAACATTCCTTATATTTTACTCTGGAGCTCTCAGATGCAATAAAGCTCTTTGTTATTTTAAAGCTCTATATTATTTTACTATAAAGATATGATAATATCTTGCCATAAGGCAGCAGGCTTAAGAAGCAGGGAGAAGGTTAAGATTCTGTGAATTTGTTTCTTAGTAATGAAACAGATGACTTTGGCTTGTACCCTGAGTTGGGATGTCAAGGATGCAAAGTGGTTGATGTTTGCTTTCTCATTGACTGGTATTCTGATTCTGTTGCCTTACAACTTTCACTGTTCCATAGTATATTAGAGACAAGTGTAGGAGGAGTCAGGATCTTGCTTTAAAAAAAAAAAAAAGCCTCTGATTACCTGGAGGAAAACACTGCTTTGAAAAAAAAAGTCAGGACCAAAGTAAAGCCAGCTGGCCGCATGTGCACAGGTGACAGACTGGCCCAGGGTCTGTGCTCAGCTGTCACTCCAGGAGTGAAGTGGATGATACTGACCCAAGCACATGTTCTGGTTGAGCTTTTGGTCAAAAGAACCAGTTGTTTCAGGTTTCCTGATAATATTCTATGGCCAAAGAAGCCAGATGTATGTGTGTGTACTGACGGCTTCTACAGAAAATAGGCCCTGTGGAAGTTGCCTACCTATGAGATGAAAATGCAGAAATTGTTCTGACAGCTGTGCAGTAGGATCCCAGGAGATCCAGATGCTGCCATTCAGCACTCATTAGTGTCTCTGGGAGCTTTTATGTCACCTCAGATCCTGACTGAGTTGGTCTGAGGTACAGCCAAGAATTGATATTTTCCAGGCTCCCCAGGTGATTCTGACTGCAAGTAGGGCTGGGAACCTCCTAGTTATGTTGAGAATGTGCTGGGCAAGTCAGACAGTTAATCCTGTATCACTACTTTACCAAGGGCTGTGTTCTTTCCTGCCAGAACTTGGCCCCATTCAGTGACTTTGTCTGCAAATCAGGATAGCTACTTGGTGAAGGTGAGTGAAAGTTTTGGGTTTATGGCTTAAAGAATGGACAAATAGGCCTGGCATAGTGGTTCCTGTCTGTCATCCCAACACTTTGGGAGGCTGAGACGGGAGGATCACAGGAGTTGGAGGCTGCAGTGACCTGTGATCACACCACTGCATGCTAGCCTGGGTAACAGAGTGAGACCCCATCCGAAAAAAGAAAAAGAGTGGACAGATAAATTCAAGTGGCTGACAACTTGAGGATACTTAAATACACTTTCCATTTGCCGACCACTTTCTTTCACTTCTGCAGGAAAATGACTTTTTCTCTGAATGCAGAATATCAGCAGAGATTCCCAAGCTTTGAACATTTGCTATACTGTCTTGGCTTTTCCCTGTGTTGTTTTGTTTGTAGCCTGCTAAATAACTCCCTCTGACATTGCTATTTTGTAACACCCTTTGAGATAATGGTGCAATATCTAGTGTATATAAACAAATGCAGGCTCAACAGTCTCTTGGGTAGAATTTTAATTTCATTGATCTGCAACGTTCTTTTAACATCTAAAAGGTGCCCTCTGCTACCAGTCCTGTGAGTTGTTCCCCTGTTATCATGATATCGGATCACGTTGTGTCCTGAAATGAGAAGGTGGGGAGATGTGTGCAGATAGCTTTAGAAGTTCTCCTGATGGGCACTTTCTAGGTAGTGACACACATTTAGAAATCTGAGAGCTTTGTTCTGTATCTAAGTTTCTTCTGTTTTAATCTTTCAGTGCACAAGGGTCTGGATCCCTGACCCTGATGAGGTATGGCGCTCAGCTGAGTTAACCAAGGACTACAAAGAAGGAGACAAGAGCCTACAGCTCAGACTGGAGGATGAAACGGTAAGAGTGAGTCCGGGGCAGGGGGGCGGGGGTGAGGTGGGGCAGGGAGCTCAGGTGTGCAAGGAACAGGAGTAGATAGTACATTGTGGGCTGGAGTTTTCCCTGGACATTGGAGCTCTTGAGCCCTTGGATTCTTTCTTGTTGCTATTGATGTATGTGAAAGTGCTAAGCCAGGAAGCTGCTCTATGGATGTCACACAAAAAATAAGTGTTTATTGGGGTTAGCAGCTGAGAGATCATTGGTGATCAAGGCAGGAATCTTCAGTGGAGTGGAGGGAACAGGAGGTTGAGACCTCACTGGGAAGTGAGGGAGAGGAGCTGCTACAAGGGTCCCTGCAGGGCACAGTGGTTGGAGCCAGCCTGCCTGGGTTGGGATCCTGGCTCAGCCATCACTAGTTTTGTGACCTTATATCAGTTCACAATCTTTCTGTGCTTGTTACTTCATCTATAAAATGGGAGTGCTAGTTTATCTAGGGCTGTTTTGAGAATAAGATGGGTTAATATGTGGCAAGTACTTAAAACAGTGCCTGGCACATAAGTGCTCCCTATGTGTTAGCTGCTGTAGTGAGCATTTTTTATTTTTTGACCTTCAGGCTGTTTCTTTCAAGTGGAAGACAAGGTAGTAACTATGAAATTCTATTCCTCCTAATATGTCTGATTTAGTTTACCTTCTCATGAGCCTTTTGTGACCACTGCCTCTGCAACTGGTGCATTTCACAAATAATGGATGCTCACCCTATATGCTGTGCCAGGTCCCAGGGGGCAGATGGGTAAACGGTTGTGGCCCTGCTGTTTCAGATAGCTCAGTGCTAAAGGGGGGCAGTGAACATGAACACAAAAGGGAGACAAAGTATTATGATAAATGGCAGTAGGCATGGAAGTGAGTGCATGAGGTATAGGAGAGAAAAGGAACCCACTCTTTTTATTTTTAAAGAGATGAGATCTTGCTGTGTTGCCCAGGTGGGCCTGAAACTCCTGGGTTCAAGTGATCCTCTTCCTGCCTCAGCCCCTGGAGTAGCTGGGACTCCTCTTGAGGAGAGGGGGTTTTGGGAAGGAGCTGGCCATGGAAGATTCAGGGTGCGGTGACCAAGAGTAGGGTGTCCCAGGCAGGAACTGTGTGTGCCAAAGCCCTGAGACCTTCTTGTGTTCCAGGAAAGGGAAGGAGGCCAGTGCATCTGGGAGCTGTCGGGGAAGAGGACTGTTGGGTGGCTTCAGACTGAGGATGCAGGCAGAGGTAGTTCATGCAGGCTTTACGGTGGGGGAGACGACTGGGAGAAAAATAGGTTTGGAAGAAAATGGTTGGTAACAAATTAAGGGTTGGCTTTGGGATGGATTGAGTTTGGGCTGCAGAACAGACATTGCTTGGAGAAAAGGTTTGGGTTGGAGATACTGTTTCCTCTCTGAATGGCAACAGCACTAAAAGTGTGTACCATATCCTCTGATCATTTCCTGCCTATTCTTGGTCTTGTCTCCTTTTCTAGATGGTTGGTGATTAACTTGTTGATTGAACATCCTACCACTAACTTCTGTTTTGTATCAACTTAAGCATATCACTTGGTAAACCCAGAACATGAGCTTATTAGAAAACGTCTGTACTGAGGTGTGCACCCCTCACATTCCTCTTCCTAGTAGGCAGCTTTCGCTAGCCACCTCTTGCTTTTGAGATGAGAAGCACAACTCCCAACAGATGGAATTATGTTTACCATGTTGAATAACTTCCCACCCCACCCCCAGGAAAAAAAAATGAAATTAGTCCACCCACTTGAATGGTGTATCTTCTACTCTACTCCAGCAGATTTCGTTTCAGTTGATCTTTTCTAGTGGGTGGGTGTTTTTAAAAAGTTGCACGGAGGTAGTGAGGAATGATCTGCCATGTTGCTAAAACAGAGCAGATGCTCGCCCACCCTGCTGAAAACGAATTTGGCCCTGCATGACTAACTGTGGCAGCTGCCCAGACCCCATCTCCTCCTTCCCCTGCTACAAGGCCAGGCAGCATGTAATTGGAAGGGAAGCCTGGCTCTAGAGATTAGCAGTTCTCGAGAAATAATGGGCTCTGAACATCTGAGTCTGTCCAGGTTGCTCATGGGCAGTGGCTTGTCCATGGCTGGCTCTGAGCTATCATTATGAGTGACTTGGCAGAGCTGTGGACTAGAGGCAGGAGCACAGAAATTACGTGGCCACACTTTGAATGCAGAGAGTCTCCTCTGAAGCTGAAATTATCCATGGTGTACTATGCTGGCTGGAAAATCTGCCCCAGCAGCCTCTTCCAACCAACCTCGTGCATCCTCCCTCCCCCTGAAGTTCAATAGTGTGGGTTTCACTGCATCAGCAAAGGATTAACATCAGTTAGATTATCTTCCAGGAAGACAATGATATTCCTAACCTCTGACTTATGATAGGACCTTCCGCCTGCTTGCTAACTTGTCCCCTCTTGAAGACAGTCAAGCTTCTCTCCGTGCCTCTAAAAAGTTTTTTCACTCTGGTTTTCACTCATTCATTCATTCATATCTATTGTGGTAAAATATATGTAGCATAAAATTTACCATGCTAACCTTTTTTTTTTATTATACTTTAAGTTTTAGGGTACATGTGCACAATGTGCAGGTTAGTTACATATGTATACATGTGCCATGCTGGTGTGCTGTACCCATTAACTCATCAATTAGCATTAGGTATATCTCCTAATGCTATCCCTCCCCCCTCCCCCCACCCCACAACAGTCCCCAGAGTGTGATGTTCCCCTTCCCGTGTCCATGTGTTCTCATTGTTCAATTCCTATCTATGAGTGAGAACATGCGGTGTTTGGTTTTTTGTCCTTGTGATAGTTTACTGAGAATGATGATTTCCAATTTCATCCATGTCCCTACAAAGGACATGAACTCATCATTTTTTATGGCTGCATAGTATTTCATGGTGTATATGTGCCACATTTTCTTAATCCAGTCTATCATTGTTGGACATTTGGGTTGGTTCCAAGTCTTTGCTATTGTGAATAGTGCCGCAGTAAACATACGTTTGCATGTGTCTTTATAGCAGCATGATTTATAGTCCTTTTGGTATATACCCAGTAATGGGATGGCTGGGTCAAAAGGTATTTCTAGTTCTAGATCCCTGAGGAATCGCCACACTGACTTCCACAATGGTCGAACTAGTTTACAGTCCCACCAGCAGTGTAAAAGTGTTCCTATTTCTCCACATCCTCTCCAGCACCTGTTGTTTCCTGACTTTTTAATGATCGCCATTCTAACTGGTGTGAGATGGTATCTCATTGTGTGGCAGTCAGCAGCAACTCAGTGGTATTTACATTGTGTAACCATCACCACTCTCCTTCAGAACTCTTCCTCTTTTACAACTGAAACTTGGTCCCCATTAAACACCAACTTCCCAATCTCTTCTCTCCCCACAGCACCTGGAAACCTCCTTTCTACTCTGTCTCTGAGTTTGACGATCCCAGGTACCTCACAGAAGTGGAATCATACAGTATTTGTCCTTTTGTGTCTGGCTTATTTCACCTGGCATAATGTAAGATGTTTCATATTGAAGTAAACAAGATGATAAACTTCTTGGGGGAATAACATCTTATACCTTTTTCTCCCCAGAGCCATGATGGGTACAAGGTATCTAGGTGTGCCAACTCTTAGCACAAGACTGTTTTTAGAGTGGATCAGGCTTTCAGGGGATGCAAAACTTGGTGATGAGGTAGCTTCTGCATGCTCTGCCTGGAGCACCTCTGTGCAGGCCAGGCCTTCTCTCTCCTGGCCCCACCTCCCTTTTTGACTGCTTGACTCCTGCCTTCTAGTGTCAGGGAAAACTCTCCTTGTTTCCATGGTTTTTAATTTAAATTTCATTTTCCAACTGAGTTTGTATCTACTATCTATCACCCACCTTGATGATGAGTACTCCCTCTGGGCAAGGCCCTGACTTAGCATTCATGAGTGAGAGGAAGACAGGGGAGCATGTGAGCTTTTCAAAGAGTAACACACTCTACCGTCTCAGTATTTCCAAGCCCACCCTGACATTTGGAGGGCCAGGGCAAGAGAATGTAACCCTACATCTGTTTAAAGTATATTTTATCAAATTATTTAAATCTCATATTTTTAATTAAAAACATTGTTAAACATTTACTATTTTAAAAATAAAGATAGTTGCAATTCTATTCAGTTTCTATCCAGCTGCCAATATGTGGAATCACTATCTTGGTTTGGGCATGTTATACCTGCACATATGTGTAAACACATAAGAGTAGTATGAATTGTTCAGTATTGCAAAGCATTCCTCCTCTGTCATGTTGCAGAGGTTGCAAATACTTAGTACCCCTGGAACCACGACAAGAGCACGTGGAGAAGCAAGGACTTGGATGCTTGGCCTAATTGGAAAATGATAATCCATTATGTAAGAATCTTTTGCATGTGCTATCTGAAAGGAAGGATAATGAGTTTGTCCTCCCTTTTACCTAAGCCTCTTTGCTGTCTGATTCTTCCCCACACTCCAAAGCATCATTTCTCCAGTGCTGGCAGTGTTACAACCCATGAACCTCAAGGCAGCTGGGCACTGTTGTCTTATTTCAGAATCACAGGACAAGGTGTGGAGAAGCGTTTCTCTGAGGCCTGAAGGTGTTAGTCACCAGAGCGGCGTTGAGCATTTCAGGTCATGCTGTGACAGCACTGAATGTTGATCCCAAGGATGGAGGCACACCATGTATTCTTTAATAATTTATATTTTGTGATATTTAATGCCCTCTGCAACACAGTGTCAGGGAAGGGATCCCTCTTGCTCAGGTCTAAGGATGGTACTGAACATATGAAGACATTATAGCAAGGTCCTAATCAAACATGGTTCCTCATGTCAAGAAGCTATAGTCTCACAAAACCACTAGGACTATTGTCCTTGCATATTGGTGCACTCAGACTCGTTCACCTTGAGAATGCAGAGCCCTTGTGTACTCAGTGCAACTTAAATGCCTGCTGTGCACACATCTGGCAAAACCAGAGAGCTAAGAGTGTCTGAGGATACCCTTCTGGAGCCACCAAAGCTTCTTAGTAGAGGTAGAGTTTGATTACTTCTTCTTTTAGCTGGCCATTTTAGTTCTTATAATGCTGGTTTTTGGGTCTCCTAATAATTTTTTATTTTTATCTTTATCTTGCTTTCAGTTGCTCAGTTATGGTTATATTGTACACACACAAAATGTTTCAGCATAAAGTATAATGCATATAATTATCTACTGGTAATATTGCTACCACTAATTAGTCATCTTGTCTAAAGAGTCAAAGTGTAAAAAAAAATTGTGGTAAAATACACATAATGATTCAACATTTTCACTATGTTTAAGTGTACAGTTCAGTGGCATTAAGTATATTCACAATGTTGTGTGACCATCACCACCGTCTGTCTGCAGCTGAGTACCCTTGAAGCTCTAATTTATTGTCATTGACCTATTTTTCCTGCTAATTTTTTTCCCATAGATTAGGATGCTTTGCCCAGCTGCTTCAGATTAGAGATGAGTGGGGCAGCAACTTGCACCCCTGCCCCGAACATTTGGCAATGTCTGGGCACAGTTTTGGTTGTCACAACTGTCATGAGGAGGATTTGCTACTGGCATCTAGTGGGATGCTTCTCAGTGCTCCGTAATGCACAAGGTGGCACCCCCACAACAGAGAACTATCCAGCCCCAGATGTTAACAGTGACAAGGCTGGGAAACTCAGGTTTAAGCCCATAAGGAAAGTGGTCTGGTCTGTCCATTGCTGGAGTACACCAAGTTAGGAGTTAAACTGTGGCTCTATGGTTCTGACAGAATGTGTAAGCAGTGGAATAAATTGAAGTCAAAAGATGAACTTTGACTCCATATTTTTATGCTGCTGTATTCTTGTTTATAATTCAAACCTCTTAATTGTGTTGACCAGGCAGTTTATCAGTAGCTTTTCATTTATAGACTTTTCTTCTAATTACTTGCATCACTGTTGATTTATCATTCATTCATTAAAAATTATTATTGAGCAATTATGTGCCAGAGTCTGATTATACAGCAGTAAAAATGACATATCTGTACCTTTGTGAAGTTTTCCATCCAACTTATGATGAAAATATACAATATAGGGTTTAGAATATGAAAAACTTAATTTCAAGAATCTGTAGAAGTCTTTCTAAAACAGTGGTGGCCATGGCAGGATATTTGATGCTACTCCACTCACCCTTGTATCTGAGTCTCTGAGTCCTCCAACTTCACACTTTTTTTTTTTTTTTTTTCCTGAGATGGAGTCTCACTCTGTTGCCCAGGCTGGGGTGCAGTGGTGCAATCTCGGCACACTTCAACCTCTGCCCCCCCGGTTCAAGTAATTCTTGTGCCTCAGCCTCCTGAGTAGCTGGGATTACAAGCGTATGCCACCACGCCAGCTAATTTTTGTATTTTAAGTAGAGACGGAGTTTCACCATATTGGCCAGGCTGATCTCGAACTCCTGAGCTCAGGTGATCTGCCAGCCTCTGCCTCCCAAAGTGCTGGGATTACAGGCATGAGCCACCATGACTGGCCCACACTCTTTTTGAAACCCTTTTGGATACTACTTGGATTTCCTGCTGACTTCTCAGAGCAGGAACGCTTAGGGTGGCAGAGATGATACCTTCATGCTTCGCCATGGTTCGTAGCTCCCTTGCAGTTCAGTGGGACCCTGTGATTACTTTTGTCGAGTGGGTGCTAAGTAGAACTGATGTTGATCACTTCAGGTGGAAGGAGAGACGAACCCACAGGAGTTTGCTGTGCCCTTCTCTTCCTCTGCCTGGTGACTGTCAGGCAGCATGTTGGTGTCAGTGTGACCTTAGAGAGCAGAGCCTCAGTACCAGCCAGCCTTGTGCACCTAGCATAAATGAGAAATAAACCTTTGCAGTATTAAGCCACTGAAGTTTCAGGGTTAATTTGCTACTTCCTCATAACTTAACTGAATTTCCTAATTGGGAAGGTTACATAAATCAGAGTATTTTATTTTTCAAGTAATTGAGTGCCTGTGCTGTGCTTCATGGTGCAAGAGGAAGAATAAGAAGGTTCTCTTTAAGGAGAATAAGCTTTCTGGGGATTGGAGAAGATGGTGATAAAACTTAAACACGGGACTGTTAGAGAATGAGACACAGCAGAACAGTCATTAAATGTTTGTGTTTTTTTTTTTGTACACTTTATTATTATTATTATTATTATACTTAAAGGTTTTGGGTACATGTGCACAACGTGCAGGTTTGTTACATATGTATACATGTGCCATGTTGGTGTGCTGCACCCATTAACTGGTCATTTACATTAGGTATATCTCCTAATGCTATCCCTCCCCCCTCCCCCCACCCCACAACAGTCCCCGGCGTGTGATGTTCCCCTTCCTGTGTCCAAGTGTTCTCATTGTTCAATTCCTACCTATCAGTGAGAACATGTGGTGTTTGGTTTTTCGTCCTTGTGATAGTTTGCTGAGAATGATGGTTTCCAGCTTCATCCATGTCCCTACAAAGGACATGAACTCATCATTTTTATGGCTGCATAGTATTCCATGGTGTATATGTGCCACATTTTCTTAATCCAGTCTACCGTTGTTGGACATTTGGGTTGGTTCCAAGTCTTTGCTATTGTGAATAGTGCCGCAATAAACATACGTGTGCATGTGTCTTTATAGCAGCATGATTTATAATACTTTGGGTATATACCCAGTAATGGGATGGCTGTATCAAGTGGTATTTCTAGTTCTAGATCCCTGAGGAATCGCCACACTGACTTCCACAATGGTTGAACTAGTTTACAGTACCACCAACAGTGTAAAAGTGTTTCTATTTCTCCACATCCTCTCCAGCACCTGTTGTTTCCTGACTTTTTAATGATTGCCATTCTAACTGGTGTGAGATGGTATCTCATTGTGGTTTTGATTTGCATTTCTCTGATGGCCAGTGATGGTGAGCATCTTTTCATGTGTTTTTTGGTTGCATAAATGTCTTCTCTTGAGAAGTGTCTGTTCATATCCTTCACCCACTTTTTGATGGGGTTGTTTGTTTTTTTCTTGTAAATTTGTTAGAGTTCATTGTAGATTCTGGATATTAGCCCTTTGTCAGATGAGTAGGTTGCAAAAATTTTCTCCCATTCTGTAGGTTGTCTGTTCACTCCGATGGTAGTTTCTTTTGCTGTGCAGAAGCTCTTTAGTTGAATTAGATCCCATTTGTCAATTTTGGCTTTTGTTGCCATTGCTTTTGGTGTTTTAGACATGAAGTCCTTGCCCATGCCTATGTCCTGAATGGTATTGCCTAGGTTTTCTTCTAGGGTTTTTATGGTTTTAGGTCTAACATGTAAGTCTTTAATCCATCTTGAATGAATTTTTGTATAAGGTGTAAGGAAGGGATCCAGTTTCAGCTTTCTACATATGGCTAGCCAGTTTTCCCAGCACCATTTATTAAATAGGGAATCCTTTCCCCATTGCTTGTTTTTGTCAGGTTTGTCAAAGATTAGATAGTTGTAGATATGCGGCGTTATTTCTGAGGGCTCTGTTCTGTTCCATTGGTCTATATCTTGTTTGTGTTTTTTTGTGCTTGTCTAGGACATAGCACAAAACAACCTTTTAATGCATGTTAAATGAACCTAGAGCCACATGCTTGCTACTGTAGTGAGGGTAAGTGGACTTAAGCTTTGAGGCCTCCTCTTACCTGGGAATAGAGTTTCCTTAACATTGTTTTTCTTCTAGGATAGCTGTTGTAATTTGACAAATGAGAAAACCCCTGCATCCATGGACCTAAGTTAAAAACCTTCAGCCAATGAAGTTGGAATGACCCTTGAAGATTGCTGAAACTAGGCTTCCCATCTTACAATTAGGGAAACTGAGTTTCCTGGAAGTCAAGTGATGGGCTCAAGGCCTTACAGAACTTGGGTTCAGTTTTTCTCAACTTTGGCTGTGCATTACAAACCCCTGGAGAACTTAAAAGGCAAAGCCTAGGTTTCAGGCAGACTAATTAAACAATCTTGGGATGGGATGTAGGTTATCTTTCTTAAAAGCTCTCCCAGGGATTCCAGTGTGCAGGGAGGGTTGAGAGCCACTGCTTTGATGGACCAGGAGTTGAATACAGGGGTTGACTCCTATTCGGTGCGATTTCCACCTCTGGGTCAACACCAACTTCTTGCCAGCTGGTAACCCTGTTTTTACTAGCATATCTTTTTTTCTAGATCTTCTGGTTCCATGGGTAGATAATAAAAGCCAATTCTTTCTCCTCTTCTGTCCACTGTATGATTATTATTAGTTCCAAATCTTTGGGAGTGTCATTCAAACATGTTTTTATGATTATACCATCTTGCTGTTGTACTATGTAACACAGACATAGATTGAGGTATGGGAGAAGTTATCAGTGAATCAGACATTTCACTCAACTAATATTTTTTGAGCACCTACTAAGTAGTATAGGATCATAGGCCCACAGGGCTTAGAACAGTCTAGGCCAGCGCTACCAATAGAACATTGGCTGTGGTGGAATGTTCTGTATCTCAGTTGTCTAATGTGTCAGTCATTAGCTACATGTAGTTATTGGACCCTTAAAATGTGATGTGAAAGAAAATATATTAACTCTTGGAGGCCAGGATCGTGGCGGCTCACACCTGTAATCTCACACTTTGGGAGGCTGAGGTAGGTGGATCACCTGGGCAGTTCTAGGCCAGCCTGGGCAACATGGTGAAACCCTGTCTCTACCAAAAATACAAAAATTAGCCAAGTGTGATGGCACATAACTGTAGTCCGAGCTACTTGGGAGGCCGAGGCAGGAGGATCACTTGAGCTCAGGAGGCGGAGATTGCAGTTAGTCAAGATTGCCTCATTGCACTCCAGGCTGGGCAGTAGAGCAAGACTCTGTCTCAAAAAGAAAAACTCTCAGGACTCCAAACTCACTGTGCCAAAGGGAAATTTAAGCTTGGGAACTGAGTCACGCAATACTACTTTCCTTCTGTTTGCAAACAGCTGTAATTTTGCAGCCCTGTGTCATAGCCTCATCTGTAAGCCATGTTCCCACAGTGATAGAAAACCACATTATCTCCCCAGGTGGCTTTCCTCACAAATTGCTTACAACGAAATTTCTTGAGTCCCTAAATATTCCAGGGTACATGTCACTCCTATAAACTAGGCATACAAAACTGAGTTCTGTTGACTCTTAACCGTGACAATGTCAATTACCAGCCTATCTTCACAGGTACAGCACAAGGACAAGAACAGAAATCATCCCTCTGCCTACTCTGAGACAAATGCACAATGGACTTTTTCATTTTCTCCCTCTTTTCACATGTAAAATATGGATTTACTGAGGCTAATCAGAGCCTCACAAGAATGTAACCATGTGTCTCACTGCCTACCCTCCCTCTCCCTCCTTTTTCCCCCCTCCTACTTGCTCTTTCCCCTTTAAATACTGAAGCTCCCAAACCCCCCTGGACAAAGCATAGGCTGCAGATCTCCTGCATCTTATATTTTTCCCTGCCGGCATCCTCAGCCTTGTGTAGACAAACCTCTGTTAATCGAGACCTACCTCAGTCACTTTGTATTAACAGTGGCTAGTGTGACTGAGAAACTGAGGTTTCAGTTGAATTTAATTTTATTAATTTCACTGAAATAGCCACATGGGGCTCGGGGCTACCCTGCTGGAGAGCTCAGGTATAGACCAGTTCCTACTCTAGGCCTCCTGCCACTCTCACTCATCTAGTCCTGCTTGTCAGGCAGGGACCAACTGGGGACCTCCATCTGTTCCTGATTCCCAGCTCCTAGTTGCAGAAAGGAGGCAAGGTCCACTCTGAGTGGTGACTAAGTATTAATTTTGTGAGAATTGTTAACATTTAGCCTCCTTTTCACCTCTAAAGGCCCAGTTATTATGGAGTGGATGGAATCTTTTGTGCCAGAAAGTTCATGGCTGCGATCACTAAGTCATAAACACTTAGATGTCAAATAAAACCATATTAGCTGTAAATGCCAGACACTAGCAGCAATATTAGAATCAAATTCCTGTTACAGAAAAAAAATCTGCTCTCAAGTCTCTCACTCCTGCCTTCCCTCTGGACGTCCACACATCCAAGAATCTGCACCTTTGGCTGCTGAGCTTGCAGCCCCCACCTCTTTTCTGCTGCTCTGGGCATTTTTACTCCTTATCAGTTTTACTGAAACCAATACCACTTGTTTATTTGCAGCTGCAGTTTTCACAAAACTGCATGTGTGTTTGCCTCCACGTGCTTTTTTTAAAAAAATTTTTTATTGCCATAGGTTTTTGGGGAATAGGTGGTATTTGGTTAGATGAGTAAGTTCTTTAGTGCTGATTTCTGAGATTTTGGTGCACCCATCTCCCAAGCAGTGTACACTGAACCCAATTTGTAGTCTTTTATCCCTCACTCCTTTTCCCCTAAGTCCCCAAAGTCCATTGTATCATTTTTATGCCTTTGCATCCTCATAGCTTAGCTCCTGCTTATGAGTGAGAACATACAATGTTTGGTTTTCTATTCCTGAGTTACTTAGAATCTCCAGTCCCATCCAGATTGCTGCTAATGCCATTCATTCCTTTTTATGGCTGAGTAATAATTCCACTTTATATATAAATATATATTTATATATATTTATAAATATATTTTATATATTTACATATTTATAAATATATTTAATATATTTATATATTTATATATATTTATATATTTATATACTTATAAATATATTTTTATATAAAAATATATATACTTATAAATACATTTATATTTATATATAAAATATATTTATATACTTATAAATATATTTATATTTATATATAAAAATATATTTATATATGTAAATATATACAAATATATTTAAATATTTAATATTTAATATATTTAAATAT
The DNA here is from genome assembly GCF_000001405.40 of Homo sapiens. Taxonomy (NCBI): domain Eukaryota; kingdom Metazoa; phylum Chordata; class Mammalia; order Primates; family Hominidae; genus Homo; species Homo sapiens. Next base: position 50,043,422 of record NC_000018.10, on the reverse strand, counting down.
ATTTAAATATTTAATATTTAATATATTTAAATATATTTAATATATTATATATTATATAATATATTTATATTATATATAATATAAATATATAAAATATATATTTTATATATTTATATTATATATTATATATAATATATAAATATAAATATATTTATAAATATATGAATATTTATGTATATATATATTTGTGTATATATACACACACACCACAATTTCTTTATCCACTCATTGATGGGCATTTGGGTTGGTTCCAAATTTTGGAATTGTGAATTGTGCTGCTATAAACGTGCATGAGCAAGTATCTTTTTCATGTAATGACTTCTTTTCCTCTGGGTAGATACACAATAGTGGGTTTGCTAGATCAAATGGTAGTTCTACTTTTAGTTCTTTAAGGAATCTACACACTATTTTCCATAGTGGTTGTATTAGTTTACATCCTTGGGGGGAAGAGTTGAAGAGATTCATCTGAGAATCTAGAGGAGGCCAGCATTTCTGCCTCAGGAGTTGAAGCCGTTGGGCTCAGGTCCTGGCTTTCTAATCTGAAAGAGGAGTACTCAGGTCCTGGCTTTCTAATCTGAAAGACATGAGCTCTGTGGCTCTGCACCTGGCGGTCCCTGTGCTGCCTTCTGAGCTGGGTGCAGAGCCCGGGAGAGGAGGGCAGCTGTGCTCTCTCAGGTCCGGGGACATCTCCACCGAGGTGTGGTTGGGATGCTTTGTGGGGAGGGAGGTCTGATTAGAATCCTGCTAAGAATCCTGCTAATACCAGGAACAGTGGATGAAGAAGCCTGCAACTCTGGAATTGAATGAAATAAAAATCAGCCCTCGGACATTCGCCATTTCCCCCTGTTCCCACCTTTTGGAAATTTTTCTGCATCGTCTACATGATAGTTAATTGTTCACTGGTTTCCTGTATAGACAAAGTTTAATATAAATAAAAAAGCTTTTCACAAAAAAAGAGGCTTCATTAATATAAAGAAAAAAACAGGAAACTGTCTAAAGGAAATCCCACTAACAAAGATAACCAATGATATTTTGCACGGTCATCCATCTAGCCTTTAAAACAGTTTTAAATAAAGGGAATTCTCTTACAAACTTTATTCCTATAGGATACTTTTTTTTTTAATTCAGAAGAATGCTGTAGGTAGCTGCCTGACTGTCCCTGTAGTTTTTCTTTCACTATCTATAGCTTCAGTGAGTCCATATCTTGGCTCATTTGTGAAATTATTTCATGAGATCAAGGAAGGAAGAGTTCATCAATGAAAAATTCTGATTTAGGTATTGCCTGCTGCCCTCCAGAGATAAACCAATCTGTCCCCACAAGTGGTGTAACTGTTTGTCTGCCCTCTTCCTTGTTAGGGTCTTGTCAGTCTGATAATAGTGCTGATAATCTTTTACTTGAATCTCTTTGGTTACTGATGAAGTTGAATAGTTTTTCATCTGTTCATGTGCTATTTTGTGATTTGTATTCTAGGTATGATTTTCTGTTGGGGTGTTGGTTTTCTTTTTAATTTCTTATAACTCTTTGTATATTAAGATTAGGAATTCCATTGTATGATGAAGAATCGCTGTCTCCTTTTCCCTTTTCCCATTTGACTTTGCAAATGGTAGGTTTTATGATAGGTTTAAAGTTTTAAATTATAGTCAAATTTATAAATATTTTCCTACATGGTTTTGGCTTTTGCATAATTCTTCAAAAGTTCTTACTTCCAAAACTTACACAAATACTTGCCCAGTTAAAAAAATTTTTTTTTAATGTTTGTTCTATCTAAACTTATTTTGGTAAGAGAGAATAAGAATAAGAATACTGGTCTAATTTTTTTTTCCCTAAATGGCTAGCTAATTTACTTACCAATACTACTTGAAAAGATCCTTTTAACCTTTTATTTGCAATTTAACATTATAACATACAATTTTTCTGTATGTGCTAGTGTTTCTTTCTGTATCTACTACACTTGATTTATCTGCCTATCTTAGCCCTTTCATTGCTGGGTTTGTTAATATACCTTAACATTTGATAACCGAGTCCCTCTAAAGATGGGGTGAGAGGAACATTGATATTTATATTATCTTGAAAATTGACTATTACCCCAGTAAATTGAGTCTGTGTCCATAGAATTTCCTAAAAGTTTTATGTAAAACAGAAATTCTTAAAATATGATCTAAAAGCCACCTGTATCAGAATTACTTGGGAATGTATTTTAAATTTCAGTTGCCTGAATCCTGCCTCAGAATTCCTGATAAGTAGGTTGGGCTCAGGAAACTTTATAAGCGTCTCAGAAGATTTTTAAGAACACCATAAGAATCTTAGCACTCAGATAATACATGGTGAGCAGCAGCCAAGTTCCTCCTGTTTAAATGTTTAAAAACATCCCCACTACCTTCTTATAAACTACCTGTGTTAGATGTACATGTGTGCATACATGTACCGAGGGTTATAAATGTATCCTGTCAATGAACATTTTTGGGTGCTTAATGTTGTCCAAGTGCTAAGAATACAAGGATAACACCTCGCATCTGAGATTTGACCTTAAAATGTGTAATCCTACTCCCTGGTTATGCACATATGTCTCAAACTCCTAATATATTTTAGGTGAAAGCAAAATTACTGCCCTAGAAGAACGTGCAGTTAGTTGGGGAGAAATATATGCACAAATGGTTCAACTTGAGGCCGCTTATAGAGGGCAGTTCATCAGATACAAGATGATCCAGATAAAAATGGAGTGTGTTGGTTAATGGGGGAGAGTGTATGAAGTACCAGCAATAAATGGGGCCAATCAAGGAAGTTTTTCTAGATGGAAGAAAGAACAGCATTCCAATTGCAACTGAAATTAAAGACTCAGTATTTTTCCCTTAAGAAGCAATAGAACACTCTCTTAGACCTGGTTATGTTTCCTGAGCTCTGTGGGTTATGTTATCAGCAAATTTTCCATCTGGACTGGTCTCTCATGGCAACACAGGTATTTTGTTCAGCTTGTCTTTCTTTAAAACATTATCTTCATTACTTACTATCATGTTAAGATGGTGATTCCAGCTAAGAAGACAGGACATTGAATACAGACTTAACGCTTCATAACCACCTTTTTGTGTCTGCTACTTGCATGTCTTTAGATTCTGGAATACCCAATTGATGTACAACGCAACCAGCTGCCCTTCTTACGGAATCCAGATATCTTGGTGGGAGAAAATGACCTGACTGCCCTTAGCTATCTTCATGAGCCTGCAGTTTTGCATAATTTGAAGGTCCGTTTCCTGGAGTCCAACCATATCTACACTTACTGTGGTAAGTGGGGGGCATCTGTTGGCTGCATGCGTTGGAAAGTGCTTACCAGCTTTAGACTTGCTCAACTCAAATGCTTAGGAGTCCTCATTTCACTCTCTCATTTGTAAGTATCTCTCCACTGAGACCCTTGAAAGGTTTGCAATCAGTGAATGTGGCTTAATTAGGCTGCCCCAGTCTCTGTGGGATGATTGGTGTTAATCATGGATCAACCAGGGAAGAAATGGGTCACACCATGTGGTGCGACTGGCTTAGCTCAGTCCTTGGAGTCCTGGGAGAGGAGTAAGTACAGCATCGTGTCTGAGCTGGGCGCCTGCTCTCAGCACCGAACCCTTGTTTTGTTTTGCCTTGTTTTATTTTCTACTTGAAAAGCCTGCTTTTCTGTGATCTTCTCACTTGCCTCTGTTTGTACTGACATAATACCCAATGAGTATTTGTCAAAATAGTGAGCAAAATTCATAACATATTTTAAAAGTCATGAAATTATATTTGATTTTCTTAAAACTTTTCCTTTCCGCCGGGCGCAGTGGCTCACGCCTGTAATCCCAGCACTTTGGGAGGCCGAGGCGGGCGGATCACGAGGTCAGGAGATTGAGACCATCCTCACTAACATGGTGAAACCCCATCTCTACTAAAAGTACAAAAAATTAGCCGGGTGTGGTGGCGGGCGCCTGTAGTCCCAGCTACTCGGGAGGCTGAGGCAGGAGAATCGCTTGAACCGGGGAGTCGGAGCTTGCAGTGAGCCGAGATCGCGCCACTGCACTCCAGCCTGGGTGACAAAGTGAGACTATGTCTCAAAAAAAACAAAACAAAACAAAACAACGAAATAAACTTCTCCTTTCCTATATCACAAATTCTGATCTCTCTCTCTCTTTTTAAAGAGTATTGCTAAGTGGCAAAGCAAAAATAGAACCCTATAAACCGTTGTTTGAGAGGCAAATTGAGGATCTGGTTGGGGATTCCGGCTGCTGGGCTCCTTTGTGGGAGTCGCTCCTTTGTGGTCTTGTCCCGGGAGGGAACGCCTCGCATGTGCCCTGTGGTCTTGCTCATTGTCATAAGTGACACCTCAGGCACTCAGGGGTTTTTCACTTTTATATTCCACTTTGGTTTGGAATTGATAGTTTTAGCTGCTAAGTTAGGGTGAGTTTTTCTTCCAGATTTCAGGAGCTGTCGATAGCAAGTTGATTCCAGTGCTTGAGAGCTGTGATTTCCCAAAAGCTCCTTCACTCCAACTGCTGGTGGGAGTTTTATTTGAAACAAACTGTCAATTATCAGAGCCTTTAATAAGATATTTACTTCAAAAAGGAGACTTTTAAAATTTGACTCCTATTTTAGGAGAAAAAGATAAGTGACCATCAGGTTCTGTTTTTAAAGGAATACCCTCTAAGATGTCCCAGTGTCTGTACATATTTATCCAAATGCATCTTGACTCCTCCAGTTCAAGCTGTTCAGAGTGACTGAATGGCACAGAAGTCTGAGTCATCCAGGAAGCACTAGATGCTGCTCTGGAGGGGCCAGGATGTTTAAGGAAAACACGTGACCTCGGAGTATGATACGGAAATGTGAATTGCGTGCTACGTGAATTAGAATCTTATAGAACTCTAATAACAAGCAGAACATGTGAGGCTGTTCCTAAGAGGATTCTCCAAGTGATTAGCTGCATTAGTGGAATTTGTTAGGGTTCTGGGCCTTATATTTTGGTCTTTTCAGGCAAACTTCTTTCAAGAGGACTTGAGTGTCTTTTTTACCCCCTGGCCCTTTCCCCTTTATGTGGAATAATCTGGTTTATTACACTTCGCGTTCCCAGTGTCTCTTTTCAGACACCAGAAGGGAACACAATGTCGGAGACTTCCCATCTTAGCAGTCGCCCTTTCATTGCCTTCTCCTTCCCAAGTGACTGGAAAGGCTTCTGGTTTTTGTACCTCAGTCAGTGGGTCTTCTGACATCCAGAATGTGACCTTATGGGAAAGAAAAAGGCATATCTCTGTTTGTCTGAAAGATCAAATTCACAATTTTTTCCTTCTACAGGCTCAAATATCAACCTGCCTCACATCATCCATAAAAGATTATCTGAACTTTATAGCATTTCCTGGTTGCTCAATCAACATGTATTTACTGAGTCCATCACTGCAATCCATTCTTTAGGGGACACAAGGTGTAAGGGAAAAAAGTTGAGATGTGGTGTAATAAAAAATAGCAAACATGCAGTGCTTACTATACAAGGCACTGGTCTTAAGTGTTCTCTTTTTTTTTTAAGACAGGGCCTCACTCTGTCGCCCAGGCTGGAGTACAGTGGTGCCATCATAGCTCACTGCAGCCTTGAACTCTTGGGCTCAAGCATTCCTCTCAGACTCCTCGAGCAGCTGGGACTACAGGTCCATGCCACCATGCCCAGCTAATACTTTTTTTGTAGAGAAGAGGTCTCACTGTGTTAACCAGGCTGGTCTCAAACTCCTGGCCTTAAGCGATTCTCCTGCCTCAGCATCCCAAAGTGCTGGGATTACAGGCATGAGCCACCGTGCCTGGCATTTTCCCTCGCACAATTCATCATTTTTCCTTAGGATGTCCCAGATAAATGCAGTTGTTATCTCCATTTTATGTAACAGTTGAGGAAACTGAAGTACTGAGAAGTAATTGCCAAAAATGACATAGTTGGCTGAGCCAAGATTAGATCTCAAGATATGTAAATTGTATTCTCTGTCCGCATGTTATTTGTATTTTAGTTAAGATAACCAATATACAAATGAGAAAATGTATAATCCTTTCCCAGATTTTAGTTCTGAGATGGATTTTTAAGTCTCTCTAATATATACTGGTAGAATTTAATATCCTCTTCTCTCTGATCCTGGAACACCTTGCACATGTCTATTTTATTAACTCAATTTTTTTTTTTTAGCATTTGTGAGTGAGTGTGTGTGTGTGTGTGTGTTTGTGTGTGTGTATGTGTGTATGCTTATTCCAGGCTGTAGGGTATTTGGAGATCTGAAGCACACAGATGAGCCTTGATTGAGCTGATTGATTGGTTAAGACTGGTTCTGCTGCCCTCTCATTCTTTGGTTTTTGGCATGTGTATGAATGGATGGGTGCCTTGAGCTAATAATGCCAGGTGTCTTCTGTGCTGTCGGAATCTGACCACCTTGTCTGTTTGCAGGTATCGTACTTGTTGCCATTAATCCTTATGAACAGTTGCCAATCTATGGACAAGATGTCATCTATACCTACAGTGGCCAAAACATGGGAGACATGGACCCCCACATCTTTGCTGTGGCAGAAGAAGCCTACAAGCAGATGGCCAGGTGAGAATGTCCTCAGCCCAGAAGTCCTCCTGAGTAGTCAGTGGGCAGGAAGGGGAGTTTTTACCTTCCTCTGCAACTGATGCTCACAGTGAGGTGGTGAGATTGGGACTGAGGAAACATCTTGGAAACAAAGCAGCCCAAGTTCTACTGCCTACCTCATTTCTTCATGCCTTTATCTTATTCTTGTGAACTTGAACCTAGACTTGGAGAGCAGTGGCTCTTTAGACTTATTTCATTTTTTTGAGCAATGGAATAAATTCCTTGCATTTCATCTCTCTTTGACTTCCTTTTGGCCCCTTTTCCTCCCTTTATGGTATAATATAATTCATTTGCTAGCATCTCCATTCATTTACCCCAGCCTGATCTACAGATAGTCTCACTGAAGACTCCCTTTTGAAGAAACCAGGACTCTTTGACAACTTCTTGGGATGCCAAGCACGTAAGGGCAGAAATTGAAGTTTCAAACTGGCAGCTGTGCATAGTGGTTTGGGGTTTTTAGCCTGGAAGTGGAGCTCTGTTTAGGCATTTAAGTAGATCTCCTCCTTATTGCTGTTATTCTTTTCACTCTGAAAAATAGCACATCTGTTTCTTCAGAAAATGGGTTGGGTGATGGGCTGTAACTTCAGCATAAAGTAGGGAAAGATAGCTTTATCAATGTTTTGGGGGAAATGCAGGTCTCAGTTAATGCTAAAATGCTAGATTCTTTCAGCCAAGTTTTTCTTGTCACCTCTAGAGAACACTTTTTGGAGCTGGCAACATATAGCAAAGTCTTTTTGGAGAAGGAAAGCTATTTAGATTAATTTAGTAAAAGGAGTTAGTGATTTTTGTAGGGGGAGAATCCCATTCTAGGTGGTCTGTGCTTCAGTGGATTTCAGGGTATCATTTTCATCCCAGTGAAAATTTCCATGAGGGAAGACTGTTTTATGGGCATCCTTGCAGATTTATAGTGCTTTATTGCTGGCTGTAGAGATCAGTATATAAAAGGTCTGCTTCATTATAGATACTCAGTGATATATTCAAAATAAGCACTGATTGGAGAGCTGAAAAATCTAATAAACAGAATGATCTGTAACTATTTTATTTCTCCAAAGAGTGGAGCTAAAATTATTGCAATCTTTCACTTTTCTCTAATGCCAAAAGAAAGACCATACACTATATTAACCTGCTATCAGGGCTCAACTAGGAGTCCCTTAGCTTGGCAACTCATTGATGTGTACCTCTTACCCAATGGTGTGTGGTTCAGAAGATTGTGTGGAGAGAAGAATGAGCATTAGCATGTTGCACAGTATGCAGCCTGCGCATGAGTTTCTGTTGGAGGCCGCGGGTATGGCACAGAGGAGGGAGGCCTTGGGACTGAACGGATTCTGTGCTTTGGAAGAATCAATTCACCTGAGTCTACATGCACTTCATGTGAGAACAGCGACACTCTTTCCTCCTTTAGAAGATGGTTTCTTTATGGTTCTGAAAGAGAAGGTAGATGTGGCTTGGTTCTTACCATGTTATACCATGCCAACAGCTCTGACAGCGCTCTAAGACTTGTCCTGTCATGGCTGGATGCTTTCATCCCATTCTCTTGGCCATTGCACTTAGGTGTGTCAGAAGTTTCCATTCTTCATCAAAGCTGCTTGTGGACTCCTGTAGGCTTGAGAGTCTTCTAGCTTTCCACCCTGTGGAGTCTTCTAGCTTTATCCACCCTGTAGACCCTCTTGACAAGATTCCTCTGTTCTTCTCTGCCGTGCCTGAAGCTGAGTCCATGGTTATCCTACAATTGGGTTATTTCACTTGCTTGAGACCTTTGCACCCATTATGGGGAAGAGGACGTGTGGGAGTCTGGGGTGATGGGTGTGATACTGTCTTGCCCTAGGGTAATGAATTTGTCAGTAGAGAGTTTGGATGTTAAAGCTGAACTGGGATTGCTTCCTTAAGGATTTTCTTTAAGGTTTTAAGGTTTATACTTGTTTTACCACTGGGTCCCTAATTTTGCTGAAGTTCTTCTGCAATTTTTGCTTATGAACATGCATTAGAAGTAGGAAGACCAGCACATGTGGCCACAGGGGAGAGCTTTTTTGTTTTTTTGGTTTTTTTGTTTTGTTTTGTTTTGTTTTTGAGATGGAGTTTCGCTCTTTCGCTCAGGCTGGAGTGAAGTGCTGCGATATCAGCTCACTGCAACCTCCGCCCCCCAGGTTCAAGTGATTCTCCTGCCTCAGCCTCCTGAGTAACTGGGATTATAGGTGCCTGCCACCACACCTGGCTAATATTTGTATTTTTAGTAGGGACGGGGTTTCACCATGTTGGCCAGGCTGGCCTCGAACTTCTGACCTCAGGTAATCCACCCGCCTCTGCCTCTCAAAATGTTAGGATTACAGGCGTGAGCCACCACGCACGACTGAGAGCTAATTTTGAATTACTTCTGTTGTCAGCAGCTCAGGGTTTCTGTTACTGATCTGAGATGTACATTGGAAGCCTCAGCAGAATCTGTTGAGCCAAGAAAGAAGGGTGACCCATTGGTTAGATGCAGGACAAGTTTTTGCTGTATTTCCTGTATGGGTCTTCTCTATCAGTTTTAGACACTAGAACACATTCATTCAACAGTACTTGTCAACTGTCTGTTGTGCTTTTTCTGACTCATCAGTAGTCATTGAAATAATTATGTGGTTCAAGTAGCCATAGGCTAGCACAGTGTACTTTGAATTTGAACCTGCCTAACAGCTGGGTGAAATGAAAGGTGTAAGAAACTAACATTAATAGTTTTCAGTCTTTGGAGACTACAACTCAGGTGGCCTTGGACTCAGTGATTCTCTTGATTCACTGGGGACTGGATTTTCTTTCTTGATGTGGCTCACACAGGAACTCTTGATGCTTTGAGTAGGTGTGGAGACTCTGTGAGAGCATGAGGGACTAAGTATAGATCTTTATTCCCCCCCATACCCACCCCCCAAGAGTTCCAGGAGAGAACTGCTAGTGCTGGAGGAAAGTTAGAGGAGATAGCCGTAAGAGAAGAGGATTTGTTCACTGTGCCTATCTCTGTCATATTCACCAAGTCTGGGCTTGAGGGTGAATGCAGATTCACAGTGAAGAAAAAGGGGGTGTTAAAATCCTATGAAACGTCATTTTAATGAATTCTGTCCACTGCATGAGAATCCTGTGAGGAAGGGGCTTACCTCCACTTCTTAGCTGTGTGCTTTCTACTCCTCCTTCCCTGTCTGAGACCCAGAAGGCCCACTCACTCATTTTTACCTTCCTCAGCTCCAACCTCAGGTCCTCCATCAAATCATTATCAGCAGATGTTTATAAAGTATCAGTTATTTGATAGGCTCAATACTGGCCACTAGGAAATGTAAGACCTCACCCTGCTTCTTAAGGGGCTCACTGTCTGGTGGGAGAGAAAAGACGTACGTAGGCCAAGAAGCCTATAATTGCAGGAAGTATAAATAGAAACTGTGCCACGGTGTCATTTAAATTGCGCTTGGAGACCTAATGTCACAGATCGTCCGAGAAAACTAGGATTTTAGCTGGGTCTTGATGAATTGGTAGGATGCACAGAGTAAGAAGAGGGCCTCTAGGTGGGTGGAGTAGTGGACCATGACCTCAGAAGTGGGGCGTCAAAAGGCATCATGAAACCACAAGATACTGCCTTGCACTCACTAGGATGTCTACAATCAAAGATATGATAATGAGTGTTGGCAAGGATGTGGAGAAATTCGAATTCTTACACCCTGCTAGTGGGAATGTCAATTGGTGCAACTGCTGTGGCAAATAGTCTGATGGTTTTTTTGAAAAGTAAAACAAAAATCCCCCTATGACCCAGCAATTCCATTCTTAGGTATGCACCCAAGAGAAATGAAAACACATTTTTTTTTTTTGAGATGAGTTTCACTCTTGTTGCCCAGGCTGGAGTGCAATGGTGCAATCTTGGCTCACTGCAACCTCCACCTCCCACGTTCAAACAGTTCTCCTGCCTCAGCCTCCCGAGTAACTAGGATTAAAGGTACCTGCCACCACACCCAGCTAAATTTTTGTATTTTTAGTAGAGACAGGGTTTTGCCTTGTTGACCAGGCTGGTCTCGAACTCCTGACCTCAGGTGATCCACCCGCCTTGGCCTCCCAAAGTGCTGGGGTTATAGGCATGAGCCTCCATGCCCGGCCTGAGAACACATATTTACACAAAAGCTTACACATGTTTTTAGCAGTGTTATTCACAATAGCCAAAAGGTGAAAACAACTTATATGTTCATCACCTGATGAATGGATAAATCAAATGAGGAATATCCATGCAATGGAATATTATTGGCCATAAAAGGGAACAGAGAACTGATACATGCTACCACATTGATAAACCTTGAAAATATGCTAAATCAAAGAAGCCAGATAAAAAAGACCACGTGTTGTCTAATTCCATTTCTATAAAATGTCCAGAATAGGCAAATCTATAGAGACAGAAAGTAGATTTACAGCTGCCTAGGGCTGGAGGTTGAGGCAAAATGAAGCATGATTTCTGAGAGTTATGTTTTTTTGGGGGGTGGTTGTGGCGGGTGATGAAGTGTTCTAAAAATTGGTTGTGCTGCTGGATGCACAATTTGGCAAATGTACTAAAAATCATAGAATTATACACAGTAAATGAGTGAATTGTGTGTTCTGTGAATGATATCTTAATAAAGCTATTATAAACAAAAAGACATGGCCAGGAGACTGTACCTAGGCAAGTTTAACTTACATGGTGAATGGATCTGCAGGGGTGTTCTGGGCTGTAAAGTTAGAAACAAGGTGAAGCAAGACTGTGGAGGCCTTTGCAGGCTGGGGTGAACTTTGGGGAAGAAATGTATTCTATTAACACAGTACAAAGTTGGCCAAACGAGTTTGGGAAACCGTGGGTTAACCAAGTTAAACGTCTTCCTTTAAGGCAGAGCTTCCCAGAGCCCTTATGTTGACACGCCTTCTGAGTTTCCAAGATAGGGATCCATTATGCTGGGTTTGCAAATCATATTTAGACACAAAACTGTTTTCAAAGATTATTTCGAGGGACTAATGTTCTGTGCAACACTGTTTGAGAAATGCATAGGGCAATGGAGAAATTTTAGTGTCTTGGATAAGGAAATAATATGATACAAGAGATGTTCAAAGAAAAATTTTTCTCTGTTGGGTCCTGTTTCTTAATGATATTTTCTTCTCCATATTCCTGTACATTTCCAAGGATAAGAATACCTTCTCATCAGAAACTTAGCTTGTTGTGGAAAGAACTTATCTGTGTATAGTATGGATGAAAGGCAGGGAATTATAAAGTGTGAGACTTTGTGGCACAGTGTTATGTTCTATTTCTTTTGTCTTCCATGCTTTACCCCAGTGCATATGATTGGTGCTCAAGAAAGAATAGGAATTATTCTCATTAATGCATCTAATTCTCAGAGTTGCTGTCTGAGATTAGTTATCCCCACAATACAGATGAGGATAGAGACTTTCGGATGCTGTATAGTTCTCCAAGGTCATGAAGACAGTAACTGGGTACAGATGGAGTTCAGACCCAAGCCTCTTTGCTGCACAGCTTCCTCCATTACCTGAGAAAAATGATACTACCTCCCTAGATGGGCAGAGATGGAACCCAGACCCAATCTGATTGCCCAATGCTTCCTGCATTAGCCAAGAAGCTGTTCTACCTCCCTTAATGGGTAGCAATGGAATTTAGACCCAATCTGTTTGCCCCAGAGCTTCCTGCATTAGCAAAGAAGCCCTACCGCCTCTCTAAATTTTGTCTGCTCAGCCCCAGTCTTGTCAGAACAGAGCAGATTCTGGTCCCCCAAGTAGCACTAAGGGGCAAAAGGGATAGATCTTTGTCCTTACAGTTTTGGTGTGTTTTCCAGCCTTGTTGGTGGGAGTGTGCCATCTTATTTGGCTGGCGGTGTCTGATTGCTTTTTTGAGCCATGTGTTTTATTTGTGCTTTTTTTTTTTTTTTTTTTTTTTTTTTTTTTTTTTTTTTTCTGAAAGGGAGTGGGGATGCTGCAGAGCAAATTTATTTGCTCAGGTAACCAAGGTAATACAGCACCCACATTCCCATCTGTCTCTGCTGTGTTGCCAGCTGTGACTAATAATGAAAGATGAGATTGCTGTTGCCTGGGGTCCTGGGGAGGGGTGTGCAGCTTGGAGGCCTGTGGAGGGTGGAGCTGGTGAGGAATGAAATGCACCCTTGCTAGAGTGGGAGCCAGCCTGGAGATGGGATCTGGAGCCCATGAGGGTGAGAGCCTGTGCTCGGCAAGGATAGGGATTCTAGTTAGTGGTCCTGGTTGGGCTCTTGGAGGAGGGTCTCTTGCTTGATTTGGATCCCCATAAGTGTGAAGAGCATGTAGAGAATTTGATGATCTTCCAGGGAAGCAGTATGGAAATGAGTGTCCATCGTGAAAAAGCCAAAAGTGTCCCTCTTGGTAAACAGGAGGGAAGAGGTTGCAAGGCTGATAGTATGAGTGGAAGTGACAGGCTGTCCTCTGTTGCCGGGACAACCCTTAGTGAGCACATTGACTCCTCAGGGCAATGAGAGAAATTCCTGATTGTGGAAATAAATTGCAGAAGGGAAAGGGAGCGAGGAAGCTATGCATTTTCCATTTTTGGAGGTCAAAACGACAATTAAAAATAGAATTGACAACTTTATCTTCCTAATGATGGGGATGGAATGCTCTGGGATGCATGAGAATGGACTCAGGACTTTTGCAATCAACTCCAGGCTGCAGATTCTGTTGAACTTGGATCTTCGGAAATACATCTTTCATAAAAGAATTATACAGAGGTGACCTAAATCTTCATGTTGCTTTGAGATCAAGTTTTAAATAAAATAATGTTGGTTTCTTCCTTCAGTTTTGGCATAAGGTGGTTTGTTATTCTGGGCTGTTACATTGTTTGGGGAGGTTGGGGATGTGGAGTGCTTCCTAATTGAGCCTCAGGTTTTCAGTGAGAGAATGTGGTCATGCTGATCTGAGTGTGGAGCCAGGTTTTTCCTGTAAGTGGTATGCTATGCAGGAGTATGCAAGGGTCTGCCCCCAGTAACCTCTTCTCTCCCAACCTGCCATGTGTCCAGGGGTAGACTCTCTGACCTCTGTGGTTCTCAGCATCTTCACACTTTGAGGGGAACATTGGCCTTGCTTCTGAGAGGAACTTGGATCCAGTGAGAAGTCATGAGGAACCTTTGAAAGCTCTTGAGTGCCGTAAGACTTTGGGCACAGTTGTTACAGCTGACAGATTCATGGGCTATGGTTGAGTACAGTGAATGGTGGAATCCTTGGGGAGGTCAGTGAGTAGGGAGCAATGACTGGGTGAATTTTATAGTAAAGTCTGAAACCAGGACTTCAGTCAGCCCTGAATTTTGGGTGAACTTTTCTTTCCTTTCAATATAATTTCAAGTCAGGGTTAGTCAGAATTGCTTTAGGACAAGGTATAAGAGATGCTTAAAATGTCTGAACACAGGAATGGTTTTTAATCTCTTCTCCGGCCCTGTCTCTTATTTCTTGAACATGCCCTGAGCATTCCACATTCAGATTCCTTCCTGGGATGCTCCGGGCTGTTCACTTGTCCCTGTTCTTCCCTGCTCACCTGGGTCTCTCGTTCTGTGACCTCCTGCACAGCCATGCCAGTGCACACCTATCTCCCTCCCCTAGGGATGATACAGCACTAAGGTTTTGTGAAATTGTTTTTGATCCTTAGATGGTATTATTGTTTGTGTCTACCTATCATATTCAAATTGCTAGTTTTATTGTTAAAATTTCTGAGTAGGGGAAAGTTATTTAAGTGTGCAGTGAATATGGCTAATGATGACATTCCTATTTTAAAAGAAACTGATAGTAAATGGATATTGCCATCTCCTTTTAAAATTATGCATTTAGGAAAGAATAGGAGAGGCAGTTTCCTTTGCCTGCCTTCTATGACCCTGCAGAGGTCATAAATATTATTAACAGTTGCATATCTGCAGTGTACCCAACATGATTTGTGAGGTTAAATCTCAACTTGAAATCACAAAGCTAAGAGATATTTTAGTTTCTTAATATTCACTATTTTACTTGGAGAAGCACAGCATGTTAGAAAGGAGAGAGCCTGCGTCACCCGGTGGAAATTAGTTGTGCAGGATACTGTGTTCTGGCAAGTGGTCTTTTGGATGCTGCCCTACCATTCCCAGTATAGGATGCTTTCTCAAATGAGTTACATTTTAACAGCTTTCATTGTCAGGAGTTTCTGTATCACACAGCAGTTTACTGAGTCTCTATTTGCCTTCAGGCATGGATCTGAGCTCTTCCTGTGCAGCTGTCCAGGATAATGATCATTTTCTTATATGGCAGCCCCTTCTGTCCTTGCCCCCCACTCTGGCCCAAGCCTCCTGGCTCCCCCCACTGCCATTCCTTATGAGCATGGCTTTTCAGACACTCTCCTATCTGGCCACCCTGAGATGTCATCTGGTCTTTCTGTCTGATGTTGATGGTCGCTGGATGTGGTCTGCAGAATGTGACGTGATGAGGTACTCATGCAGAATTTCTAATGGAGCCTGAAAATGCATTTATTTTTGGCAGGTGTTTCATGTTGTTTACTTATTATAAGTTTACAAGCCACTAAATTTCCATCCTTTCCCTGCCCCACCCACATGCACACTCAAGAACTGTTTTTAATCACAGCTTTAATGGGATGTAAATAACTAGCAATAAACTACACATATTTAAAGTGAAGTCACACACATTAAATTGCACATACAATTAGACATTGTATAGTATACATCCCTGAAACCATCACCACAATCAAGATAGCAAACATTTCCTTAATCCTGAAAGTTTTCTTGTGTTTTTTCTTTTTTCAAAGTCTCCCTCCATCCCCAGGTAACCTCTAATTTGCTTTCTGTCAGTGTAAATTCAGACTGCTCTTAAGGTATGTTGCCTTCATCCTGCACTTGCTCAATTGATTGTTTTTTCCCTTTGGTATGCTGAGCAGGATTCTATCCATATTAAATTTCACCCTTGTACTTGTGTTCTGCTATTTTGTGAATGTTATCTTTTTGAATTCTGAGTTTTGCATCTAATAGATCAGGTCTCCCTAGCTTGATGCACTGCAGATGTAACGAGTCTGTTGTGTCGTTCTTATCTAGAAGTGGTAATCTGGATAGATTCCTGTAATGTGCATAGATTCCTGTAATGTGCATGGAGCAGTTTTTTCTCCAGGTACTAGTCACTTAATCTGGTAGAACTAAACATTGAGTCAAGTGTTCATGTGTACTAAGTCTTGCTAAAACCTGCACACACTGGGTTAGTCAATCATGACTTGTTCTTGGAGCACTCTTGGTTGTGTGTGAGGTGGACTAGCACAGACCCCAGTTAGCGTCCTAGCTTCACCCGGGTCAAGCTCCTTCACTTAAGGTGTGCCATTTCTTTATTGGAGCAAGGGCATGTGTGTGTGCACTTGTTTCCTCAGGTCACTGTAAGGCATAAATGGGCTCAAGTATTGGAGCACTGAACATGGAGCCCTGTGCAGGCAGAACCCTCCTGGGTGTGGGCTTCTGTGGCTCCTACACGCCGTTCTAGTTACACAGCATTTTCCTGATGTCAAAGTCAAACTTGTCACCCTACATGGATTTCTTTTGGAATTAATAATGGTGCTGACATGTGAGTAGGATTTAGTTTTTCAAGGTGTGTCCAAAATAATTTTCATTTAAAAAAAGCTAATAGAATGTGAAGCCTAGCAGGATGAAATGGCATTGCTATTTACCTCGTAGTAATGCCGTTCATGCTGTGTTAACCACTCTTTCTTTTTCTACTGTGTATTTTCACATTTATATCCCAGAAGACAGAGCAGCTGAAAACCTAGTCTGACAATGGGCCTGAGTTTTGCAGCAAAGGAACATGCTGGGAAGCAAGGCGGCTAAGAGTTGAGTGTCCAGGGACAGTAACGAGACTGGCTTAAGTTCTTAAAACACAGTAGCTGTGTGGCCCTGAGCAAGTTTCTCAAGTTCACCTCAATTTGCACCAGGGTTTGTGTCTCTAAGATAGGCATACATGTCATGTCTAACTCACTAAATTGTTAGAATTAAATCAGTTGATAAATGAAAATGCTTAGTATGATTTCTGGCACAGAGTGAGGGTTTGCTGAATGTCAGGCACAGTGGTGGTGATAGTACTGATGGCACATCATAGGTGTCGTATCCCTCATCATGTCACAGTATCCAAAAGAAGGAAACGATGGAAGAATTCATAGTTGAGTAAGATTCCATTTATAGGTTGTCCTCAGAACAGATTTTACTTTCAGGGCCAAGTGAAC